>NC_000007.14:142806779-143106779 GCF_000001405.40 Homo sapiens
AACATATTCCCTGCCTTATTCTAGGGTTGAATGTTCTTTCCTCCTATCTGGAAGCCTTCCTTTTCTTGCTGTCTGTGTTTGTGAATTTGAAGTTCCTGGGTTCCTTAACATCCCTACATCTCTGCCTGTCCTTTTATTTTTTTTATTGTGGCAGAACTTATGAATCATCTCCCTCCAACAGACATGATATTTTCTATTCGCCATCCCCCTCTCCTATAGACTCAACTACATGCCTTTCTCTCCCATCTCTATCCATAGTCTTTATCTCTGCTGCTGGTGGACTCCTGAGAGGGCTTCTTGGGGAATATGGGGCCCCAAAAATGAGTGAATGGCTTCTGTAGGTCAGCAAAAAGGATCTGAAAATGAGCCTACACCTGTGACTATTTCCAAAGGATTTTTATCAGCTTGCTCTGCAACTGATCTCAACTGCCCTCTGTGAATATGAGCATTTAATCCACACAACATGTAAAGCTAATTCTCAGCTCCTTTTTGCCAACCTACAGTTGCTATTCACTTATCTCTGGGACCCTATAGTCCCCCCAAAAGCCCTCTCAGGTGTCTACATGCAACAGAGTGCCCATATTCTGGCAAGAACCCATAAATCTATGCGAGACAGAATCATTAGAAACTTTAAAACTTGAGTTTTTGGAATGGAAAAAAAGCATGTAGTGGATGGATGAAAACATTATCGTAGCAAAGAAGATGTTGTAATGCAGAGACCTGGGTTTAAGCCTTAGTTCTGTCATTTATCAACTATGTGACCCTGGGCAAGTGATCACCTCTGAGACTCAGTTTTCCTTGCTGTAAAATGAGCTCAATTACAAGCCCAACTTCATAAGATCGTTTTATCTCATTTAACCCACACAACATGTAAAGCTTTTAGAACAATATCAGTAAGTATTAGGTGTTATTATAACTACTACCAACCTGAAGATTTTTTTCAGGCAAAACATTTTCAGTTTTCTCAATTTTGTTATTATAGGGCACAGTTTTGAGCACGTCCTACTTTCCATAGCCCAATCACTCCCTTCTGAAAACATTAAAGTTTGTTTTTATCCCTCTATCTTTTAAAAAATGTGTTGTACAGGACCTGACCCAGCACCAGGTGGGTTCTGACCTACAAAGAGTAAAGGGGGAACTTTGCCTCCTCTTTCTCAACATCTTATACGTTAGTTGGTTCCATTAGGACAATTTATCTACTTTTTGTACGCTCACCATCCCGTTGACTCACAGAGCTCACTTTGACTCACCCCCTGGGTGTTTTTTCACATATCCTTCTTTCACATATTCCCCTTCCTGTGTTCATATAGATGGTTTTCTCTGTTTGGTGGGGGAGGAGGGAGAGAGAGAATGTTTATCATGTTTATTCAGCTTATCTCTCCAACCTATTAAGATTCTGCAGGATTCTAATTTTGTGATTCATTATATTTATCCTTCTATCCTCATGCCATCTCAGATATGATCATCTTGCCTGATTCATTACTATAAGAGTGATTCATGAAATTCATAGCAAGATCACAGCTCAACAGAGACCCCACATTCCCCAAGCCTTGTCTGAAGTCCAGGAGCTGCTAAAACACAGAGAATTAGCTTCTGGTCCTCCTCTGGCCCCAGCTGCATGGCTCTGAACAACTCATTTTTATTCTCTGGGCTTATATGTCCTCCTCTGTGATATGAGGACATTGGGTAAAGTGATCTCTAAGAATCTTCAAACTCTGCTCTTCAGATTCTCTGATTCAAAGCCTGCAGTCTCTGAAGTACCAAGAGAATGGGAACTCAGAGAAGCTAAGCTCTTCCTGGCCTCAAATCATACATATCTGTGACATAGTCTCAGACAGTCTGATGGTGGAAGAGGACAGCACTGGCACTGGAGTCCCACAGTTAGCAAGAGTCAACTGGAGCCCTGACACCTGTTCCCTGGCCCTCCTCCATCAAAAAGGTCTAGGGCCATGAATGACAAGAAAATTGTGTTAAAAAGGAGAGTGGCCCTGAATCAAAAGGTGGGAAGTAATGAGATGTAAATCGGGGTCTTTTAGGTAATAGCTGACAACTGGGGTAGGAATGGGGGTTCTGAGCCCAGTGCTGGCTGCCGGGCTGTTTATCTCTGAGTCACATCAGCACCAAGCCACAGCAGCCACCTGCCCTAGCTCCATCTCTTACAGTCACAACAGGATGTGGTTTGACATTTACTGGGTCCTGCATCTGGGGTGCCTGTGAAAGTTGCTCCCTCCACCCACCCACCTTCAGAGCATCATGAGAACCACACTCACCGCATCCGGCACCCAACCCCCTCCTATGCTGCTCTTTCTACCTGGGCCCCTGGTTAGCATCCTGGCAGTAGAAATAGAACTTCAGAGGGGAGGGGCAGGGTCTCTAGAGGGGAATCTAGGTATCCCAGATCCATGTGCAGGCCTCCCCTCCCCCAACACATCTTTACACCTGCTGGAGGTTATGCACAAGATCAAAGGCCACAGTGGGCACCATGAAGATAGTGGAGAATGAAAAACAGCTGCAATAACTGCTCTGACCCAGTTGGGATCCCTTCTGGTCCCACATCACTCAGGCAACTCTCTCTTCCCACCTGCCCCCCAAACTCCCTTCCACCTCCCTCCACATGTATCCTCCCACTTCCTTCCACTCATGTAATGAGAGGTGCTGATGAGTCACAGGAGAGGTAGCCCTAGATAACCAACAGACTGCAAAACGGACAGTCCCTGGATGTCTGAGCCAGTGTTTGTGCACTGCATTGACTGGCTCCTCGTAGTTTTTTCCTGTAGTTGCTAAAGCCTGTAAGGTCTGTGTGATGAATATTTTCTAACACATCTTAGAAGAACATAATGCAAGACAGAATGAAAAACTAGAGAGGCAGAAACCCCCAAAGTAAGTAGTGGGAAATTACCAGGTATATAATAGGTCAAGCCTGCTCTGCAGGAGCTCAAGGGATTGTAGCATTCTTATCCCAAACCACTGAATCCTGGGCAAAAATAAGAAGTCGCCTAATTTTAGTATTACCAGCTTCCCAACCCCGGGCATTCTTCATCTTACTCAAGCTGTCCAGAGGCCCCAGGGTGACTCCCTATAAGTCCCATGGGTGGCTGAGATCTATTTAGAGGCACAAGGGTATCTCCTTATAAGTCCCATGGGTGGCTGAGATCTATGAGAAGCATCTTGGGGAGAGTGCCTCTGGCCACCAGCATGTGGCCCTGAATCTTCCATGTGCAACTGGCCAGGGAAGGAGATATATGGAAATAGTCATCCTGCACATCTGCAAAATCAGATGCAAATCCTGGAAGCTCTCCTAGAAAAGAGACAGCCTCATCTGATTAAAGGGGCAAGTGAGTTTGATGAATTATTGGCAAGAGACAGCATGTCTGAACAGGATCGGTCATCCTAAACTGCTTTCCTTTGTCCCCTGGAATTATAATGACTGTGGATTTCTGAGTCCTAGATGGTATGGAAACAGTTATGGGAATGAACAGTCTTGCATGAATAAGAGCAGATAACATGGAGGATGTTAATTTGTTCTGCTGAATTTAGGTGGCTTTCAAGCCTCTCCTTCAATGCTCACCTGTCTCTAGGATGCTCTGTGCAATGATCAGGACTTTTTTTCTTCAGATTCTCTAAAACTTACAATATTCACATAGACCTGCACATTTCTACACAAACTGACTCTCCTGCTTGCAATGTCATTTTGCTTATATAACTATTAGCCTCCTAAAGAGCTAAACTTAGCTACAATTTTATGTCCTTTGTGAAGTTTTCCAGAATTTTTGCAGTATATTACAGGAAGGAAAAATCTGCCTCAAGTCTCTACTAATTCTACTTGACTAGTGGTGATTGCCTGAGACATTTCTCTATTAATGAGGATTCTGAAGCTGTATAAAGCCCCTACAGAATCAGCATCTGAATAGGCACAGCATAGGGTTCAAGTTTCATGGTTTTGCCATCCAAGCATGTTTAGCATTTTAAATATTAATATTTATTACATACTTGTAGTTTATGATTTGAAATTTTTTAACTAAGTCTTCCTCTTGGGTAAGTTGTAATGAAAATAATCTTGTAAGCTTAAGGAGCGGAAAATAATACCTGTTGAAAATTAGAGCTTGTAATAGGGCTTTATAAACACCATCTCATTTAATACACATAACAATTCAATGAGGCAAGTTTTATAGGTGGGGAAAAACTTGAAACTTAGTAAAATTAAATAACTAGGTCAAGTTCATAACAACTAGCAAATTTTTAGACTACAAAAATCAAGTGCTTTGACTAAATCATGCTATGACTGTGCCCAACACCATCTCGAGTACATTTTATTTTTCTTTTTAATCCTCAAAATGACTCACTGTGTCCAGCAAATAATAGCTGCTTAATACATAGGTGATCCTTAAAGTTCAGTAGGGACCCCTGGGCATTATTCCATATGTTCTTGATCACTCTGTGTCTACATCTCAGATTTTCCACTTCAGATTAAATGATACTAGAAATATGCACGTGTCTGGATTGATCTAGGTTAAATGATGCCCGGAATGGAGTATTTTAAGACATCTTGTGCCCCCTTGTGGAGGGGAAGGGACATTAGAAAGAAAATCTTTTTAAGAACAAGGACTAGGGAGGGATGGGGATGAGGAAGGAAGCTCAGTTGCCAAGGTAACCATCGAACCTCTTCCCAGCCATCCACATCAGCCTTTTCCTCTCCTTCATTTCCATCCAAGTGATTTCTCTTTTTTAGAGCTCAACCATTACACACACGGTCCTCTTCTTGCGTATCTCTTGGATCACCATCTGTCTGTCTTTGCTACAAAGGAAGGGCTACAAGATAGTACAACAGGACATTTTTTAAAACCTCAAACATCACCAAAATTTCTAAGTGCAAGCTTATTTTTATTTTTTTTTTTTTTGAGACAGAGTCTCGCTCTGTCACCCAGGCTAGAGTGCAGTGGCATGATCTTGGCTCACTGCAACCTCCACCTCCCAGGTTCAAGTGATTCTCTTGCCTCAGCCTCCCAAGTAGCTAGTATTACAGACGCCTGCCACCACGCCCGGTTAATTTTTGTACTTTTAGTAGAGACAGGTTTCACCATATTGGCCAGGCTGGTCTCAAACTCCTGACCTCAGGTGATCCTCCTGCCTCAGCCTCCCAAAGTGCTGGGATTACAGGCATGAGCTACCACGTCTGGCCTAAGTGCATGTTACCTATACTAACAAAACCACACTTCTGCCTCGAATGAGAACAGTCTCCTGAACATCTTGCCTCTTTGCCTGACTCAAAGCCTCAGGTCTAAGCCTCCCCATAATTTCTAGTCTCAGCAGAAAGATCAATGACAGGAGACTCTCCAGGTGATGAAATTAACCAATTAAGTAACCTGGGTTGGCATCCTCCCGTTTGTTCACCAGCTCACCTCCTGCCACAGGTATATCCTTTCTCTCAGCCATATATGCACAAACCCCCTCCCCACGGCACACATAGAAGAATTTGGAAGACTAGAAAATCAGGCAAGGTATAGCACACCTTGAGGGCTGGAGTATGGTAGCCTGGGCCGGGACATCCATACATTGAGAACTTGACTATGTGCAGGCAAATCACAGGTTCTGCACACATACAATTTTTTGTTCTCCCTGAGAACTTAGTAGAGTCTTTTGTAGAATTCTCGCTTTATTCCATTGCTTTCACATTGGCCAGCAGTCAGAAACCTACTTACAAATATCCTCCACCCAGTCCCTAAGTGAAGGCCCCTGGGGAGTATGGTTAGGGCTCAGGAGAGGGTGGGGTTTTTGCACAGATGTCTGCCCCACCCAGCTCAGTGTGACACTCCAGGCACAGAGATAGAAGCCAGAGTCACTGAGAAGGAGCTTCTTAGAACTCAGGATGAACTGCCGGTCCTGGGGTCTGGAGGCTGAGAGATTCTGGGGCACCTCAGAGCTGATCTGGCCAATACCAACGGAGTAGAAGAGCAGCTGGAGGCCCCTGCCTGCAGCCTGTCGGTACCAGTATAGGTTGGGGTTTGATGTTCCCTCCACAGTGCACTCCAGAGAGAGCGGGCTGCCCACAGGCTGCACCAGGGTCGCTGGCCATTGATGAATAGTCTGAGATCTGACCCCTGTGGGAAAGATAAAGTGCCATTTACAGAGGAGCACCCCAGCCTGGCTTGCCTTCCCCAGACAGAGGGGCAGCTCAAGCTCTTGCATGACACAGGCACCTGGAATCCATCATGGGGAGTAGACTGGGGGAGCCAAGGATGCAAAGCATCCCTGGGCCAGGGAAGACCAACAGAACGAACTCCTTCTCAGGAGATAGAGAGAACTAAGAATCATCAGATCAGCCCCTAAGGCTAAATTCCCATATCTGTTCCAGACAATCAGGAATAGACTCAAGAGTGTCAAACCAACAGCTCAGACTCTGCATTCACGGGATTGGGGTGAGGGTGAGGATGAGAAAAGAGGCTTGCCAGAGAGGAGGGCACCCACCAAAGAAAGTGCCCAGGAGAAGGGCAAGGAGAGAGCAGAGCATCATCCAAGCCAGCCTTTCCTTCAGCTAGTCTGGGGGACAGACGCCTCCTCTTCTGGGCCAGTGATGTGGTCAGGCTGCTCCCTCTGGGAGATCTGCTGCCAGAGCAGAGGAATCCTACCCCATGAGCTGGGGAGGAAATGAGGCTAGTCTTCTTTTAAGAGTGTGGTGAATCACCCCCAGCCTCCCTGGGAACCAGCTATACTCTGCACTTGTTATCTTCTTTGCATTCCTGCTGACATCCTGGTATGTAAATATATTTAATGACTCATTATTTACCTGTAAACTAAAGGTAACTCTCCAGCTCCCCCGGGAGACATCAGAAGCCTGGGAAAGCTTCAGAGAAACTGTGATACTGATAGAAGGATGAAAAAAGATTTTAGTTTATCTGAAATTGGAAACTAGAGCTAGACATGTTACCTGGGAGATGAAAGGATAGGGCTCAAGAGATTCAGGTATTTTGGGGTAATCAAAGCAGAAATGCTCAGTTCTGAGGGCAGGAAGCTTCTATGACAGCCAAAGGGATCGCCTGCATAATCTTCATCCCTGGCAGACAGATTTTGAGACCTGGACAGGCATAATTAACTCCTGAACTGATCAAAGTTGGAATCTGCTCCATGTGTCTCTAATGGGCCAACTAGATCTAATTTATCCTCTAAATGCAATATGAGTAATAGGAAACATCACAGAGACTTGGAATCATATGGATTTGGGTTCATTTCACAGCTCTGCTTCTTGCTGGCTTGGGAACTCTCAAGCAAACCCTGATTCTCAATTTTCTTATCTATAAAGTGAAAATAATGATGACAATATCTAAAAATTGTTGAAAGATGCATTTTGCCTGGTGCACTGCAGGCAGGCACTCTTACATATGTTGGCTTTTTTTTTTTTTTTTTTTTTTTTTTTTTTTTGACTCCCTATGTCTGCAGCAAAGATTGGGAGATTTACAATGGCATGGGGTGGAAGGTAGGGGCTGAAGGGATCACGAGCCACAAAAAACACAGTCAAGCCACGAATTCATAATAGTAAGGATTCATAATAGCTAAGCATGGGACTCTGCTAGGTAGCTGCTAAAATGTCATTCTGCTGAAATGGGACAAAAGACCTTCAGATGCCTGGAGGACACCAGCACACCCTTGGAAACTCCTCTTCCCTCTGTCTTTGCCATGCTCTGTATTCTGAAGGATTCATATTCAGAACAATTACTTAGTTTGGGTTGGATGTGGTGGAGCGGTTTGAGATGAAAACCCAGGAAAGAAAGCCGTAAAAGTGGCTGAACAGGGAGAATAAGCTTTAAGCAAATAAAGCATTTGTAACACTTTCCCATTTCATCAGGGCCTAGTGATGTCATATGTTTGTTGTTGTTGCTGATGCTACAGTAACACAATTCCAAGTTAATGTTGGGGTTCTTGCTTCTGACAGTTTTGGCTGTAGCACATTTTTTTGTTTGCATTTGAATACACCATATGTATAGGGGAATGTTTTGTTTTTTATCATTTCAAAATGGAATTAATCCTCTTATAACATTTATTTAAATGATAAATCAAGTGGTAAATATAGTTTGCTTGCAGTGAACATTTGGAACATATGATGAAAAATAGCTATAGCCAACGCAAGAGCAGTTTTCATTGAACAGTTGTTCAATCTCAGTTTTTAATAAATCTGATAATATAATATCTGTGCATGTTAGGATTGCAGAGAGTGAAGCCAAAATAAATATGTGCACACATAGCCTATTCCTCCCTTTCTTTCCATTTCTGTTCTCTTTCCTCTTTGCTTTTGAAATTTTTATTTAGTCCTGAGTGGGGATGGGGTGGAGAGAAAGTGGACAGTGGGTGGTGGGAGATACAGGGAGAAAGAATGAGAATTGCTCTTGTTCTCAAGGGTACCGCATCACGTTTTCCTCTGGCTGGCAGTCTTTAACACCAGCGTATCCTATGAGACCTGACTTCACTCATCAGCTGCATCAGCTCAGTGTCATTACCACATGTAGACAGCAATGTAATCCTCCTTCTTAGAGATGCTGCAGCAGATTGGAGGGTGAAGAGATGTATCAGTCAGATCAGAGTAACCAGCTGGCTCCTGGCTCCTGATCATTGTCACAGCTCAGTAGCTGGAAGCTCCTTCCATATGGCTGATGCCTTTAAAAAAATCTCCTCAATCTCCATCCCCATCTGCAATACTGTTTAGTTATTCAATCATTTAAGTCATTCATGTATTGAAAAGAGGATGGGGATATGATCCCTCTGCTCTGTGGCAGTAGATCTACTAATGGGAGAGTCCTGGCCGCACATCTGGCCTGGGTCTGGAGGTGCCCTACGGAATTGAAAGCTGGCTGGAACTGTCATCTTAACATGTCCTGGTCATCTTAACGTGTCCACCTCTCTGGCAAGCCTCTTTTCAAGTCTTTTTGTTACCATCTTCAGCTTTTTCCCTCCATACTAGATTCTTAATGAATTGCTGCCAACAAGAGAAAGCTTTATACATGAAGAGAATGGCAATAAGAACTAACTCGTCTTTTTAATTTTAAAACTGGTATATATTCCTATATAATAGGAATGGAAGATACTTGCAAAGCCTATTTGTTCCTCTACAGAAGAGTTAAAAATTACCTGGGCTAATGGAAAGAAGGGAGAGTCAGCCAATTAGATGCTCCTGAATGCCCTGAATTGTGACTTACCTCTTCTTATCCACATCCTGATCAAGGAAAGGGATGAGAGAGAGGTGGAGAGAGAAGAAATGGAAATTCAAAAGTTTTGACGGCAGAGGAAAATTGTGCTTATTTCCAGAATGAGACGAACAAGGTCCTGGGTCCCTACATGTCATACTGGCTAGAGACTGGTAAGTAGAAATGACTTGTGGTCAGCAGAATAATGGCTCCCAAGGATGTCCACATTCTAATCCCCAGAATCTGTGCATGTGTTAGATTACATGGCAAAGGGGAATTAAGGTTGAAGATGGAATTAAGGTTTCTAATTGGATGCCCTTAGAACAGGGAGAGTAGTCAGAATTAATCAGGTGTGCCCCATACAATCACAAGCATCTTCAACATGGAAGAAGGAAGCAGAAGAGAGTCAAAGAAAGAGATGTGGACATGGAAGCAGGCAAGAGAGATGCCATGCTGCTGGCCCTGGAGGTAGAAGGGGGCATGAGCTAAGGAATGAAGGTGGCCTCTAGAAGCTAGGAAAGGTAAGGAAATGGGTTCTCTTCTAGAGCCCTCAGGGAAGAATGCAGCCTAGCTGACAGCTTGATTTTAACTCGGTGAAACCTGTGTCAGACTTCAGAGTTACAGAACTGTAAGATAATAAGTTTGTGTTGTTTTAAGCCACTAAGTCTGTAGTAATTTATTAGAGCAGCAGTGGAAAACATACATGGCTCTAGAATGTGTCTTAACAGAGGGACCTGAGGTAGTCTCCAAGAATCCCCAAAGATCTCAGGATAGATCAGGAATAGCCATTTTCTCATTCACAGGGAAACAGATTAACTGAGAGAAGCCATCAAGCCTGAAGAGACATCGTGTTTGAAATGTGTAAGGCACAGTGTACCCGCCGTGGATCAAAACAACCTGAAGGACAGACAGACAGACACACCGAGGATCAGCAGATATCAGTGGGGACAGGTGCTGATGATGGTGCAAATGAGAGTCATGAAGGAAAGTTAAATGATGACCAAAGACCAAGTACCTTCCCCACAATGCTTTGACAAGCGCTTTTATAAGCACCCTGGAATTTAGACACTACCCGGGGAGAAAAGGAAAGGGAGACAAGCATGAATTGTCTGAGAAACCCCTGAATTAATCATGTGTACCCCAATGCAACAAGGATCTAGATATAGAATAATTTTAATTATAGAAAACAAAATTATATTTTACCCACCCATATTTGATGCCCATGAATTTCACATCTACCTTACGTGCACATAAAATTCAAGCTTAGATAGACGGAAAACAAAAAATCAAGAAGCAATATTTGCCTTCTAATAACTTATCTATTGGAGGAGGTAAAAGATAGAAAAGTAGTTCAGATGACAAATACTAAAAGAGTTAGGAACTTCTGCTTCCACTTACGATGAAGGAACTTGTACTCAATCCATCCACTTTGTAATTCTCCTTGAGCTGCTGTAATAAAGTACCACAAACTGGGTGACTTAAAACAACAGAATTTATTGTCTCATGGTTCTGGAGCCTAGAAGTCTAAAATCAAGGTATCAACAGAGCTATGCTTCCTCTGAAACCTGGAAGGAAATTCTTCCTTGCCTATTCCTAGCTTCTGTTGATTTGCTGGCAAATTTTGACATTCCTTAACTTGCAGCTACATAACTTTAAACTCTGCCTTTGGCATTACATGGCATTTTCCCTGTGTGTTTCTGTCTTCCCACGGCTGTCTTCTTACAAGTACATCAGTCATATTAGGAGTCCACAGTGCTCCAGTATGACCTCATCTTAACTAGTCACACTTGCAATGACCCTATTTTCAAACAGAGTCACATTCTGAGGTACTGAGGGTTGGGATGTCAACATATCTTTTTCTGGGGGGATGGTGGGTATAATTCAATCCATTATACCCTCCAATAATAAACACCTAGAAAACTGGGCAATATACGTGAGATAATTGTTTTCTAATATTGGACAAGAGATGGCACAAAACTGTGATCCATAAGTGAAAGGAGACAAATGAGGTGCGTGCTGTGATCATTTCCGTTTTCTACCCAGAATTTCCTGGGTTACTGTACAAACAAGAGGGACCCAAGCAGAGCATGGCACCCTGAAATTCTTACTGAGCTGAGGACACAGCTCAGAGAAGAGGAGGCCATGCACGGAAAGAGCCCCGCAATTTTCATGAGGTCTCATTGAGTCTTTGGGTAAATACTAAGCTGGCATCCATTGGGTGAAACTCCACAGGGGCAGGCAAAGAATAAGTACTGGAGAATTAACAACTGCTGGTGAACTACAGTATGAATAATTACTAGATCTTGGTCGAGGCTGAGAGAGATACAGCTCTGAGCCATCAGAATAGCTTTGTTGAATACCTGGAACATTGAACAGGTATCCCAGGAAGCCCATAACTTAGAGTAGGACTCAAATGGCATAGAATAAGTCTACCGTCCATTAACCCTAACAAAGCTTAAAAGAGCCCTTGAAAGGAAAAGCAGACAAGTTGACCTGCAAGCAAGTCAACTGCCCACTAGAATAAAGCTCAACACTCTTTGAGAGAAGAAAACAAAATTCAGATAATAAAAAAGTAACATTCATAATGTTGAGCATCCAGTCAGAAATTATGGGATATACTTAAAAGCTGGAAAATGTGTCTATGCTAAGTAGTAATATTAGGCAATTGAAATCAACCCAGAAATGGCAGAGATGGTAAATTAAAATAATGGGACTTATAAATGGCTAATATACTAAAATGGCTATTATTAAATATGTTCAAGGATTTATAGTGAAACACAACATAATGAAGAATGAAACAGAAACTATAAAAAAGCTAAATAGAACTTCTAGATCTGAAAAATATCTGAAATGAAAATTTTGCTAGATAAGCTTAAGTTGGAGTAGACACTATAGGAGAAATGTCTATGAACAGGAAATCAGGACAACAGAAACTGTCAAAACAAGAGAGAGGAAAATAAAGCTAAACAACTACAAAAACTGGAAGAGGTCTCAGGGAACTCCCAAACAATATCAAGCCACCTAGCACACATATCATTGGAGTCTTCAACATAGAGGAGAGAAAGTGGTGGCAGAAAACAATTATTTTTAAAATAGTGGCCAAAATGTTTCATACATGATAAATAATATCCACCTACAGATCCAGGAAGCTTAGCAAAACCCAAGCAGGATAAGCTCAAAAAAGTTTGTTTATGAAAGAGATTACTTTCAGGTATGAGGCTCAGTTTAACTTTCACATAAGAGACAGACTCTGAGATGGTCCTTGAGAAGTCATAGGGTTTTAGACTGATAAAAATGACATTAAAAGGCAAGAAAGGATGAATGGTACAGAAATGACCAAAGGTACAGAGGCTGAAAGTACAGGACATCGGTGAAGAACAGTAAGAAGATGAACCTAAAGGGAGAGGAAGAGAATACATGAAGATAGGTTACAGTAGAATTTCCTAAAGCTTAACACATCTGTGTCTGAGGGAATTCTATGATGGGGTAACAGAGGCTGAATTTACCCTCAAACCTGAAACAATTAAAATGCATGAAATATATGAAACTCTGGACAACAGATGGCTCAAGACCGTGATCCCTGAAAGAAGTGAAATGAATAAAGTGAACCCTGTGATGGCCTCAGTTTATAGCCTGGAGATCTTTTTCAGGCAGTATTATAGGGAGGAGAAGCCCAAACAGCGCCTGGCAGTCTCTCTGAGTTAAGGAGACTTGCATTCAGGGTTTGAGGAGGCCAAAATGGCTAAAATTCCAGGGAAGAGACCCAGGGAGGAGAAAGCGGTGGGTGGGAAGTGCTCTGGAATGTGCATTGGACTCCCAGTGACTCTTCAACTGCTCTGACCAGTGAGTACAAGAAAACAACCTGAGGCTAGGGAGAGACCACTCGATGGATCAAGCAGAACCATCTCAAAGTCCACACGGGGCCGGGAAAAGATGGTGCTTCCATCAACCAGAGTGGGAGACCTCCTAACACAGAGGGCATTGAGGAGAATTCTCAGAAGCGGATCACCCCAGTCGCGGGAAGCAAATTTGCTGTACACTAAAGGCTGTCCTAGATACAACTTACAAAGCTCCAAAACAAGACTCAGAAATATCAAATTGTTTCTATGTAATCTATCTGCATCACAAAATAAAGTCCCAAATTTATTTAAGGGATACAAATACTCCAGTAGCTAGAAACGTAAAATTCAAATATCTGATATCCAATTTTAAAAAGTCATATATGCAAAGAAAAAGAAAAATATGGGTCATAAGGAGGAGAAAAACACTCAATAGAAACAGATCCAGAAATGATATACATGATGGAGTTAGCAGACAAGGCTATTAAATATATATTCAATATGTTCGGCAGGATAGAAGAGAGTGTACATATGTTAAGAAGAGACGTGGAAGATTTAAAAAAGACTGAAATAAAACTTCTTCCGATGCAAAATACAATGAATGTGATTTTATAATATACTGGATGGGATTAACAGCAGATTAGGTATCTCAAGTCAAACTTAAAGATAAGGTAATAGAATTCACCTAGGATAAAAACAGAAAGAAACTGACTTAAAAAAAGTGAGCAGAGCATCAGTGAGCTGTAGAACAGCATTAAGCAGCCTAATATTGAGAGTCCTATAAAACTGGAGGACTAATGCAGAAAAAAGAAATTGAATAACTAATAGCTGAAGCAGTTTTAAATTTAATGAAAAGGAAAAGCCACAGATTGAAGAAGTTTCATGAACTCCAAGCACAAGTAACATGAAGAACACTTTAACAAGATATAGTATCATTGGATTGCTTAAAACTAATAAAGAAAAATCTTGAAAAGCAGCCAGAGAATAAAAGACACACTATGTACAAATGAACACAGTTAAGAATGACTGCAGTCATCTCACTAGAAACAATTCAGGCAAAAGAGTGTGGAGAAACATCTTTAAATTATTTAAAGTAAAAAAAATCCTCTTAACCTAGTACTCTATATCCAGTGAAAATATCTTTCAAAAACATTGGCACAATAAACTTCTCAGACATGAAAAAACTAAAATAATTCTTTGCCAGGAGACACACACACTATAAGAAATGTTAAAGGATGTCTTTCAGACAAAATGAAAAAAAGTCCAGATGGAATTGGTAAGCCAGCTCCCTGTGAGGGATAAAAAGGAAAAAAGGGAAAAGCCTGGATTTATAGCATTTTGACCAATTTTGTGAATATAAATATTCCCACCATGGCCAAATTCAAGCAAACAACAATTTCTAACAACTGGTTCACAGAATTTCTGGATATTTAACAACTGGGTCCTATGAGCTGATACAAACCAACTACAGACTATTACAGATAGAATATCATTAGTAAATATGTAATAAATATAAAAAACAGTATTTGTGCCATTTAAAAAATCTCTTTAAAAATAATTGACTTTCTATTTCCAGTGAAAACAAAGTAAGGGACAAAATACATAAAGCACCAGTTGTCAAGACATTAGACATCAGGCAAGGAAGGACAAGAAAAAATGAGGTGAGTTTTATAATAAAACAAGCTTACCACCTTGAGACAATTTCCAGGCCATGGCACAGAGAGGGGAAATCCAGGGGGAAACCATCAAACTCCTCGAGTCAAGGAGACACAGCTGAGAGGAGAATAAGTCAAGTAGAGTTCACAGGGCTGAGGATAGCAGAGGAGAGAAGCGGGCAAAGAGAGAATTTGTGAGGTCATCAGAGAGCCCACCCTCAGTATTCAGTAGGGTATTAACAAGAGCATGAGTGTGAAAAAACCACCTGAGATTGGGAAAATAACCACACAAAGGATTAAAGAAAACAGTAACTGAATTTCATGTAGGGCCGGGAATAGTGTATAGTTTCACCAGCCAAACTCAAAAACATTAAAATTCATGGGGCATTGGGACAAGAGCTCAGAAGTGTTTGGGCTCAGAAGTGGAGGATAATGATCTCTAAACTAAATGCTGCTCTGCTGTCATCTAACAAATGATTAAAGCCAGGTACAAAAGCATCAGATTATTTCAAGAAATGTAACTGTATTCTAAAACAGGGCTCAAAAATATTTATAGAAAAATAAAAAGTCCAACACAAAATTAAAACTCAATGTATGGAATAAAATAAAAAAATTACCAAGCATACAAAAATAGCAGAAAAATGCAACGTATAATGAAAGGAAAACTGGCACAGATGTTAGAATTAGTAAAAAAATAATAATAATTTAATTTAAAAATAAAATAGTTAAGCTAGAGATGTTAAGCAGACATAGAAGATATTTTTAAAAGCTGCAAAGCCAACTTCTGGAGATGAAAATGACAATATCTGAGATGAAAAATACACTGGATGAGATTAATGATAGATTAGACAATGTAGAAGAAAATACTAGTAACCTAGGAAGATATAGCAACAAAGGCAAACCAAAAATGGAGGATAGAGGAAATAAAATAATTTTTGAAAGGAAACAGACAATTAATTGTTACAGGACAACTTAAAGTGAACTAACATAACTGGGGTTTTAAAAGAAGAGAAGAAAGATGGGAAGAAAGAAAAAACTATTGGAAGAAATCATGACTGAAAGTTTCTAAAGTCAATAAAACTCGAACCTCACATATCCAAGAAGCCTGACAAAACTCAAGCATACATACACAAAATACACCAAAGAATATCATAATCAGATTTCTGAAAATTAGTGTTAAAGAGAAAATCTTAAAAGCAGCCACAGGATAAAAACATGTTTTGTACAGTAGAACAAGATAAAGATGACAGAAGATTTCTTGGTGAAAACAAAGCAAGTGAGAACACAGTAAAGCAACATCTTTAAAATACTGAAAGAAAAATACTGTCTTTTTGATAATGACCAGCCTAACAAATGTGAGGTAATATTTTATTGTGGTTTTGATTTTCATTTCCCTAATGATTAATGATGTTGAATACCTTTTCATATCCCTTTTGGCCATTTGAGTGTCTACTTTAGAAAAATGTTGAATAATCAAAAAAGATGATTAGTGATGTTCAGCACCTTTTCATATACCTGATTATCTTCTTTGGAAAAGTGAAAAAATGAAAACATATATTCTTTGAAAACAGGCGGTTTGCCCATTTTTTTAAATGGATATTAACCCTTTATCAGACATATGGTTTACAAAATTTTCTCCCATTTCATGGTTTGCTTTTTCATTTTGTTGATTGTTTCTTTTGTCATGCAGAAGCTTTTTTAGTTTGATGTATTACCATTTGTTTATTTTTACTTTTGTTATCTGTTCTTTTGTTGTTACATCAAAAAAATTGCCAAGACCAATGTCATGAAGCTTTTTTTTATGTTTTCTTATAAAATTTTTGCAGTTTCAGATCTTACATTTAAATATTTAATCCATTTAAAGTTGATTTTCCGTATATAGTGTAACATAAGGGTTCAGTTTTATTTTATTTTATTTTTTTGGATACAGATATTCAATTTCCCAGCACCATTTATCGAAGAGGCTACCCTTTTCCCGTTGCATACTCTTGGTGCTTTTGTCAAAGATTAGTTGACCATATATGTGTGGGTTTATTTCTGGGCTTTCTGTTCGGTTCCTTTATTCTATATGTCTGTTTTTAAGCCAATACCATACTGTTTTGATTACTATAGATTTGTAATATAACTTGAGACTGGAAAATGTGATGCCTTCAGCTTTCTTCTTTCTTCTTAATATTGCTTTAGCTATCTAAAGCAATATTTAATCTGTGAAAATGCCACTGGAAATTTCATAGAGATTGCATTCAATCTGTAGATGACTTTGGGTAGTGTGGACATTTTCACAATATTGACCCTTCTGATCTATGAAGGTAGGATAGATTTCCATGTATTTGTATCTTCTTCAATTTCTTTCATCATTGTTTTACGGTTTTTAGTGTACAGATCTTTCACCTCCTTGGTTAAATTTATTTCAAGGTGTTTTATTCCTTTTGATGTTTGTAAATAGGATCATTTTCTAAATTTCTCTTTTACATAGTTCATTGTTAGTGTACATAAATGGAATTGATTTTTGTATGTTGATTTTGTATTCTGCAAATTTAATAAATTTGTTTATTAGTTCTAATACTTTTTTACTAGAGTCTTTAGGGTTTTATATAATTTAAGATCGTATCATCTGCAAACAGAGATGGTTTTACTTTAATAGTAATTTAGACACCTTTTATTTCTTTTTCTTTAATAATTGCTCTAACTAGGAATTCCAGTACTATGTAGAATAAAGGTAACAAGATGGCATATTTGTCTTGATCTTGATCTTAGAGAAAAGGCTTTCAACTTTTTACTGTTGAAAATGATGTTAGCTATGGGCTTGTAATATATTACCTTTATTGTGTTAAAGTATATTTCTTTTATACCTAATTTGTTGAGAGTTTTTGTCATGAAGGGATGTTGAAATTATCAGATGCTTTTTCTGCATCCGTTGAGATGATTATATGGCTTTTGTTCTTCACTCTGTTAATATGGTGTATCGTTTATTGATTTGTATATGTTGAGCCATGCTTGCATCCCAGGGATAAATCCCACTTGATTATAATGTATGATCATTTTAATGTGATGTCAAATTCAGTTTGCTGATATTTTGTTGAGAATTTTAACAACTATATTCATCAGAAATATTGTCCTGTAATTCTCTTTTCTTGTAGTATCCCTGTCTGGTTTTGGTATCAGGTAATGCTGGCTTCATAAAATGAGTTTAAAAGGACTCCCTCTTCTCCAATTTTCTGGAAACATTTGAGAACAATTAGCATAAGTTCTTCTTTAAATGTTTGATAGAATCTGGCAGTGAAGCCATCAGGTCCTTGGCTATTATTTGATGGGAAAAATTTTATTACTAATTTAATCTCCTCAATCATTGATCTGTTCAGATTTTTTTCTTCATGATTCAGTCTTAGTAGGTTGTATGTGTCTAGGAATTTATACATTTCTTCTAGGTTCTCCAATTTGTTGGTGTATAATTCTTCATAGTAGTCTCACAATTCTTTGTATTTCTGTGGTATCAGTTGTAATATCTTCTCTTTCATTTTGGATTTTAATAAAAAAAGAATCAAGTAGTACAAGTTACATTATCTCTCTCCAGTGGGATTATATTAGAAATTAATAGTAGAAAAATCTGGAAAATCTCCAAATACTTGGAAACTAAATACATGTATATAAACTACCTATGGGTCAAAGAATAAATCAAAGGAGGAATTATAGAGTATTTTGAAGTAAATAAGGATAAAAACGCAATATATCAAAAATTTTTGAAATGCAGCTAATTCAGTACACAGAGGAGAACTCATAGCACTAAAATATTTACATTAGTGTACAGTAAAGGATTAACCTTGCCCAAAGAAAGTTTTGGTCCTCCCTTTTCCCTAGGCTTTGGATCATAACTTTTAAACCCTTGGAATGTCCTGCCTGATTAAAATAACTTTGTTTATCTGGGAGGGTTTGGGCCATACCAGACAGCCTATGCTAACAATGATTTATGGTGGGGACTTTAGGCTACACAGTGTATTAGTGTGTCCAAACCCCTGTAAAAAGCTCTGGACAAACCTCCAATAAAAACTCTGGACACAAAGCTCAGGTGAATGACTCCAGTTTTAAAAATTCGAAATTTGTGTGAAACCACCAATAACTAAAGTAATATTGAGAAAAAAGAAAGTCAATACTTTATGCATACTGTGACACATCATTGCTGAGAGAAATAAGTGCTGTTTGCACATCTCTGCTGGGGACAACTGGAAGCTGCATGCCTACGCTCTCTTGAACCCTGCTCTATGAGCCTCTTCCCTTCACTGTCTTTAATCTGTATTTCCACTCTAATAAACTGTGAGTATTGTGGCCTTCTTGAATTCTTTGAGTTCTTCCAGTGAATCACTAAACAGGAGTGATTTAGTGGAGTCCTCTTGAATTTGCCACTAGAAAATGAAAGTTCTCAAATCAATGACCTCAGATTCCACCTTATAAACTAGAAAAAGAAGAGCAAATTAAGCCTAAAATTAAGCTGAAGAAAGAAGGTGATAAATATCACAGGAGAAATTAGTGAAATGGAGAACACAAAACCAGTAAAGAAAAACCAAAGTAACCAAAAGTTTGTTATTTGAGAAGATCAATAAAATCGATAGGGTGCTAGCAGACTAATCAGGAAAAAAGAGAGAAAATATAAATTACTCATATTAGGAATGAGAGAGAAGGTACTGCTACAAAATCTACAGGTATTAAAAGAATGTTAAAGGAATATTATAAACAACTTTATGTCAAAAAATTTTGAGCAGAATAGAGAATCCAAAAGTAGATCCACACATATTTGGACAACTGACTTTCAACAAAGCTGAAAAGGCAGTTCACTGGGGAAAGAATAGTTTTTCAGTAAGTGGTTCTGGAGCAATTAGCTAACCATATGCAAAATAACAATAATAAACCTCAACCTTGCCTTATACCAGCAACACATACTCACTCAAAATGGATTATACATTTAAACAGATTTGCTAAAACTATAAAGGTTCTAGAAGAAGACATGAGAGAAAATCTCAGTAATGTTGGGCTTATTAGTGATTCTTAAATAAAACACAAAAAGCATGAAGCATAAAAGAAAAAAGCTGAATTTCATCAACATTTAAAACTAGATGGTGAAAAGATAACACTAAAGGAATGAAATGTTTGCTGGGTGCAGTGGCTCACGCCTGTAATCCCAGCACTTTGGGAGGCCAAGGCGGGAGGATCACTGGAGGCAGGGAATACAAGACCAGCCTGTCCAACATGGAGAGACCCCATCTCTAGTAAAAATACAAAATTGGCCGAGCGTGGTGGCACATGCCTGTGGTCCCAGCTGCTCGGGAGGCTGAGGCAGGAGAATTGCTTGAACCCAGGTGATGGAGGTTGTGGTGAGCCGAGACTGTGCCATTACACTCCAGCCTGGGTGACAGACAGAGACTCTGTCTAAAAAAAAAAAAAAGAAAGAAAGAAAGGCACAGGTCCACACAAAGACACAAATTTTCATAACAATTTTATTTGTAATAGTCAAAATTTGGAAAAAATCCAATTGCCTATTAATGGGCGAACTAATGCTGAAATTGTCATGTATCCACACAAAGGAAAATTAGCAATAAAAAGAATGAACTATTTAAATTTAAAACAACATAGATAAATCTCAAAATAATATGATGAATAAAAGTAAAGAAACAAAAAAGAGTACATAGTTTATAATTGCATTATATTAAATTCTAGAAAACACAAAGAAATCTATAGTAATAGAAGAAGCACTCTATCAGTGTTTGTCTGGGAACAGCATGGAGAGAAGGATGGAATTATAAAAAGCCACAAGGCTATTCACAATAGCAAAGACATGGAATCAAACCAGGTGCCCATCAATGGTAGATTGGATCAAGAAAATGTGGTACATATACACCATGGAATGGTACGCAGCCATAAAAAAAGAATGAAATTATGTTCTTTGCAGCAAAATGGATGCAGTTGGAGGCCATAATCCTAAGCAAATTAATCCAGGAACGGAAAACCAAATATCGCATGTTATCACTTAAAAGTGGGAACTAAACATTGAGCATACATGGATATAAACAATGGAACAATAGACATTGTGAACTACCAGAAGGGGGAGAGAGACAAGGGGAAGTGTTTTGAAAAACTACCTATCAGGCACTATCTTCTGTACCTGGGTGACAAGATCTGTACTTCAAACCTCAGTACAAACCTCAGTATTAGGCAATATTCCCATGTAACAAATCTGCACATGTTCTCCCTGTATCTAAAATAAAAGTTGAAATTTAAATAAATAAATAAATAGCGGGCCACAGCAAAACTTTTGGAGGTGATGTGTAAGTTCATTACATTAAGTTTTATGATGGTTTCCCAGGTGTTTGCGTATGTCAAAGCTTACCAAATTGTACATTTTAAAGATGTCTATTGTTTGTCAAGTGCATTTTAATAAAGCTGTAAAAGAAAGAATTATTTTTGATACAGTGTTAGGACAACAGAAAACCACTGAGAAAATTTAAGCAAGAGAATGTCAATAATTAATGCCACATTTTAACTAATTAACTGCAATTAATCACAATCAATCAGTAAGAAAAGGTTTTGTGCTGAAGATTTTCCAGAGAGATAAGTAAGCAAGTATATCATGCATGCAGTGGAGCAGGGCAGAGCCTCATAAAATCCCTCTTAAACGTGTCTGTTCTTTTGCCAAATTTCCATTCTGGTTGCCAGCTACCTTTTTCCTCCTCTTTCTTTCCACAGCCACTGCCATCCTCATTATAGCCCCAGACAATTCAGCTCTTGAAAGTGTATCCAGCAAAACAAAAGTGTAACAGCAGCTCAGCACCACTTGGAAAGCAGTTGCATAGCCACCTCTTTCTCTACAAGCTCAGTCCTTCCTGAGGTTGCCCTCTCACCTATTCCCCTACATCAAAAGTGACTCATCAAAGTATTCAGTAGACAAAATTAGTCTCTATCCAGGGAGAATTCACTACTTGGAAAGTAAGATGTTCTGTTTCTCATTACATACAAAAAAAAAAAAAGTTGATAAAATCACAGAATTCAGTTTGAGAGAGAGGAAGATACTAAATGTCATTTGTCATTCTGACCTTGAAGTCACATTGAGTCCAATTCAATCAGAAAAGTGCAAGTGAAAATTTGGATTTTTAATGAGACACCAGGACTAGAAATACTGACTTCAGGGGTCATCCGCAGAGAGAAAATAGTTGAAATGTTTGGAATGGATGAGATCTCCAAAGCAACAAGTGAAGAAAAAGGAACAAAGGTCCAAAAATAAAAACTGTTGAACATCCACACTTATAGGTAAAAGGAGGGGAAAAGTAAGCTTAAGAAATTAAGAAAGTAGTTCTAGAGGGAAGACAAGAAATGGGATGGTATCTTGGAAGTTCAGAGGAGACTGTGGGTACAAAGAGGTGGCAGCAGGATTTAAAAGAA
Organism: Homo sapiens; assembly: GCF_000001405.40. Lineage (NCBI taxonomy): Eukaryota > Metazoa > Chordata > Mammalia > Primates > Hominidae > Homo > Homo sapiens. Next base: position 142,828,875 of record NC_000007.14, read on the forward strand.
CTTTAAAAATTCAGTAAAATTAGGACTGAATGACTTCACCGATGTTGTTGACTAGAGGAGGAGAAAGTAGCAGATTCAGAGCACTCATTTGACAAGTTTAGGGGCAGAGCGAGTAAGGGAGAGGTTAAAGGGAATGGTAGAGTTGAATACAGTCTTTTATTCCAACGTATTTATAGTCTGATTATATAGAAAGCCAAGAGGAAGAACTACATAAAGACAGGAAAATTGAAGATGCTAAAGAAAGAAGATATTTGAGAAACAAAGAGGCATGTGGATTAATTATTGGACATCAAGAAGGGGGAACTTTTTTCCTCTGAAATAGGAAAAGAAGAGAAAATGCGTAAAAGATAGACCTGCACTGAGGAAGGCCAACATACATACAGAAAGAGGCTAGATCTAATGATCGGTTGAATGTAATGTTTTTAAAAACCCACCATTTCACCCATCAGATTGGCATAATTAAAAGAATCAATAGTATCTGATGTTGGCAAGCATGTAGGGAAATAACATGCTCTCATGCACAGCTGGAAAGTAAACTGCAACAGTCTTTATGGAGGGTAATTTGGCAGTGTTTATTGAAACTCCACATGGCCGGGCGCAGGGGCTCACGCCTGTAATCCCAGCATTTTAGGAGGCCAAGGCGGGTGGATCACAAGGTCAAGAGATCGAGACGATCCTGGCCAACATGGTGAAACCCCGTCTCTATTAAAAAAAAAACACAAACATTAGCTGGGCATTGTGGCACGTGCCTGTCGTCCCAGCTACTCGGGAGGCTGAGGCAGGAGAATTGCTTGAACCCGTGAGGTGGAGGTTGCAGTGAGACGAGATCATGCCACTGCACTCCAGCCCGGCGACAGTGCAAGACTCCGTATCGAAAAACAAACAAACAAAAAAACACAAAAAAAACAAAAACTGCACATAACATTTGACTCAACAACTTACTTCTCAGAAACAATTCCATAAAAATACATGCATAGGTGGGCAGAAAATTTTGCCAGGACTTCTGTTATAGCCTTATAAAGGGCAAAGTATAGGCAATATGTAAATATCCATCAGTAGAGAATTGGACAGATAAATATCCATAACATACATTTTAACAACAGTTAAAATGAACAAAATAGAACAAGATGTGGTAACATGGAAATATCCCCAAGGTATGTTGTTCAGTGAAAAAAGTAAGTTGCCAAGTAATATGTACAAAGCAATATGGTTTATATCAAAACACATTCAAAACATACACAAAGCAGTTAGCATACACGTGTGTGTATATATGTGTGTGTGTGTGTGTGTATATATATATGTATGTGCCCACACACACACATATATATGTATGTGCCCACACATACATATATATATATGTATGTGCCCACACACACATATATATATATGTATGTGCCCACACACACATACACACAGATACACATTCATTCATTTAACCAAGAGTAATGGGGTGCCAACTATCCATTTCCATGAAGTTTATTTTAGTAGAGAATGCAAATACGTAGAGAGAAAAAGGACCGGAAAATGCACACAAGATTGATAATAATGGTTATTTCTGGAAAAGACAGCAAGAAAGAGAAGTGTCAAGATAATCTTTGATCTGCAGTGTTTATATTTTTGAGGTACATGTATTTTTAGACTATGTATTGAGAACCACCAATTATGAGTCCAACTTGCACTCCATTTTACTTATTTGAGAAGGTAAATAAGAGAATTCAGAACATTAGGCTCAAACTCCAATTCCTTTGCTTCAGTCTATAGTAAATACCTATTGAGAATAGCACCAAAAAGCAGTCAGAATGAGAGGAAAGAAAAAGAAGCAATGATGTGAATGGATGATCCCAGAAAGAGTGATACTATGTGGATTGAATATGCTGGAAATTTTTTTTAAATGTCAAGAAAGACCTGTCTTGTGAGACAAAGGCATGCAGTTTTTGTCCCATGTGGTGTAAGATTTAAGATCTAAAGGGTTACTCAATAGATAGGCTGTCCTCATAAATAAAGGCCAGAGAGAGAGAAACGAGAAAAGAACATTAATCAGTTACTGCATCATCTTTGGATGTGAAAATAGGTCAACAGAGAATGTTAAGTCATAGATTTCAAGGGGTCTGTAGACATTAAAGGCAAAGACCTCAAAGAATGACAAGCAGAGATAGGGTGGTAGAGATGGCCAAAAGCATATGAGTCCCCCACCACCCACCAGGGCCTGTCCTGCAGTGTTGGTTTTGGAGAGCCCATTGGTAGAGAAAAGTAGAAATTTTAGTATCCAAAGAGAAAAATCATGGTTTAGATAGGGCAAGGATGTGAATCTAGAAAGACACTGAGGAAACAAGAGAACAGCGTATACAACATAGCAGACATTAACTGCATAATGTGATTCACAATAGGGATGAGACTGGATGTGACCAACAGGATGGCTCAAAGGAACCAAGTCAAAACAGCCAGGATGGGGGTCCAGTGCACTGCCTCTGGGAGTGGTTAATTGGGATAATGGAAACATTGGGGCAGCGAAAAGAGGAACCATTCAGAGGAAAGTCAGAATGAGGACTGAGGTGTCTGGTTGCTCTCACTCCCAGAGCAAGATACATCAAAGAAGGAAAATCAAATTCAAGGAGCAAGAGGTCAGCATACGTGTGCACAAACACAAACACACACACCCCTACATACACACACATATACACATGCACACACATGCACACTTTCATACATGCACCCTAAGATTCCAAATGTAAGGATTGCACTGAGTCATACCAGCAGCAACAATCACTTGACCTGTCAGGGATGTTTATTTGTGACTATATTATGAAGAGAAGTGAGGATGTGAGAAAGTTTTACTTCATATCTCTGCTTAAAATCCTGCTGTGCTCTGTTAAAAGTAATGTGCTATATTATAATTGAATGGTCACTGACTAAGGGATGTTGAGACAAAAGAAATGTGGAAAAAAATTTAGGAAAGTAAGGAGTTACGAAAGAGGTGTTTTATGAAAAACAACAAAGTTTATGTGCAAATTGAAAATAAATGACAAAGAAAGTCCCAAATCAGTTTTGAAATTAGTAGACCAGCCTGGCCATCATAGTGAAACCCCATCTCTACTAAAAATACAAAAATTAGCTGGGCATGGTGGTGCGTGCCTGTAATCCCAGCTACTCGGAAGGCTGAGGCAGGAGAATCCCTTGAACCCGGGAGGTGGAGGTTGCCGTGAGCCAAGATCGCACCACTGCACTCCAGCCTGGCAACAGAGAGACTCCCTCTCAAAAAAAAAATAAATAAATAAATACATAAAGAAAAAAGAAAAAATTAGTAGACTAAAGAGACATAAAGGATGGATAATTTCTTTTATTCTTAACAGATAACATATTATATTATGAATACTTGCTGTGTCCAGGTGCCATCTAGTTGTTTTTAACATTATCACCCTTAAAATAAAGCTACATAATCCTGAGAGGCAGTTGTTATTTGTCCCACTTAACAAATGAAGGCATTGAAGCTTGGAGAGACTAAATTACTTGCCCAGAGTCACACTGCACAGGCAGCATCTGGGTCCAATCTAATGCTGACTGACTATGAAGCTCACGTGTTTAATCTACACACTGTATTATTTCCCATCATACAGCAAGAGCAGCAGGGATTTGTGTCGCAACTGTGCAGACACTGCAGTTTCTCTGAAATCTATTAGTTCTTCTTGTTCCCCAGGCACTGTTCTTAGTGTTGTGTGTGTTTAATTCAACTTTATCCTGATAAAGTCCCTATGCTGTAGGTGCTTATGTTGTCACCTCTACCCCACAGATAAGAAAGCTGAGTCAGAGATGAGTTTGAGGATTCTGCCCATGGTCAACAAGATTAGTATTTGAGCCAAGCTACCAAGCCAGGAGTCTGACTCCAAAGCTTTCAGTGGTAGAGAAAAGTAGAAATTTTAGTATCCAAAAAGAAAAATCATGGTTTAGATAAGGCAAGGATGTGAATCTAGAAAAAACACTGAGAAAACAAGAGAATACTGTGTGCAACACAGCAGACATTAACTGCATAATGGGATCCACAATACGGATGAGACTGGGTGCAACCAACAGGATGGCTCAAAAGAACCAAGTCAAAACAGCCAGGATGGGGGTCCAGTGCACTGCCTCTGGGTGCGGTTAACTGGGATAATGGAAGAAGTGAAGGATCAGAAGATAAGGATTAAGGAAAGAGAAAAGAACATGTATCAGTTACTGAATCATCTTTGGATGCCAAAATAGGTCGACAGAGACTGTTAAGTCATAGATTTCAAGGGGTCTGTAGACATTAAAGGCAAAGACCTCAAAGAATGACAAGCAGAGACAGGGTGGTAGCGATGGCCAAAAGCACGTCAGTCCCCTAACACCCATCAGGGCCCATCCTGCGGTGTTAGAATCTGTTACAGAGATAAGAAAGCAAATAAGGAGGGTAAAGAAACAAGTGCAGAGGCAAATAGCTTGTGAGACACGGGCAGAATTCATGAGATGTGCTAAGGATAGATAAGTAAGTTTGTAAACTCTGGGACACATATGACCAGATAAAATGTCATCTGAATGTGCCAAACATAGAAAAGAATAAAAAAAGCAAAACAAACAAAAAAAAAGGAACAGAAAGAAAGCAGTTGGTACAAGTGAGACTGACCACATAGGCAAAGGGAGAGAACCTTTGGAGCAGGCTCCAACTGAAGGCAGAGTGGTAGACACAGGGAGGATGAGTCATGATGAGAATCTCATTAAAGGAGTGGCACTCATCAACAGGGCCTACAGGCGGGAGGACACTTGGCTCTTAACACAGGACATTATTACAAAGCATTAGCCACTGTTTTTCTAGACTGAATAAGTAAAACAATTATCATCTGGGAGCCCTTGAATTATATTTACATAAAAAATAAAATCATCTCTTTGGTTGATTATATTAGGAAGCATTGGTCTAGGTAAATCGTTCCAGTTCACCATGAGTCCATAGATTCATTCATTCCCACAATGAAAGGTATTCATAGTTCATTAAGGTCAACTCATTACATTTGTGGATGAAAATAATGAGCACTAAAGTTGTTAAGCAATTTTCCTCACTTGATCAGTTTCTCATGGTCTGTTCAAGCTCAAAGAAAAGGTTGCTGTATAAACTAGACTGTCAATTTATAAATTTAAAATTCCATAATGAAAAATATTATTTCCACTGATTCTGGGGATGGGCTCTTCAGCCAGCACATTATTTTCCTGGAGTGGAGACGTGTAGGGAGACAATTGATAATTGGAGGTCATTTTGTAAGTTCGGGTGGTTCAGATGATTTGTTACATTAGCCTGGCTTAATCCGCTATGAATACTTGAACAAAAGGAATTCTCCTGCATTAAATACTACTTATTTATTCATCTGTTTATCTATACCTCTATAGTACACCTTTTATATTATCTAATTAGATCACAATGACATCCTCTTAACTATCTAAGAGGATGAATGTAAAATTTAAAAATTAGGCCCAAAAATTATAGAATAATGGAGAACTTGAGTTGAATAAGTGGATTGATTTTCCAGATGTGCCCCTGCTTTGACCTTTTGTGTGACCTTAAGATCTTTGGGATAAAATATTGACTACAAGGAAGATTTTATATTAAGAGCCTTATTCTTTTTCCTCTTCTCTTCTTTCTCCCTCTGATTTTCATGTCCTGCAGTTCACCCTAGCCAGTTAAATAAAGCCATCACCAATCCACAGAACTATCCTCTTCACTCCCATATTGAACAATGGGGTGTCACCTCCCCTGGGAAGGGGGACAGAGTTTGTTGGGATAGCCATAATAGATAATTATTTCGTTTACTTATCCCTTCTAACTAAGCCTCAATGCTCCCACATAATTATATCACTATTCATCAGATTCACTCTTAATTGGCTGTGTACCTCTAAGCAATATTCACACTTCATATATCCTTACATCTTTATTCTTTGATCCTTTAAAAATCCATAGTATCTCTTGACTCTTCACTTCACAATATGATGATATTGGTATCCTCAAACTTTCCTTTGTTTCTTTTATTTCCTTCCATGCAATACATTTGTCATCTGCACTTTTACTTTCACATTGTCAAGGCTGATAATATTTACATTCTATTAAGTAGCATAATCAAGTATTTTCATGCCTTGTCTATAAGTTGATTCTAAAAGTTGAAACAAATTGTGTTTACATTATTAGGACTTCATAAATAACTGTTCAGCACAAGGTCATACAGATATAATTACAGTTACTCTCTTTTATAATTTGATTTTTTTCCCCTGGAATAAAGTTCTGCTTTTCTTAAAACAGTTGACTTTATCATATCCTCAATTTACTTTTTACGCTATCTACCAAGTAAAATATTCTGCCGTGGCAAAAACCTGCTATTTGTCCCTCCAGTATCTGTTCTCCAATTTCTGCTCTAATAAACCAAAATTAAATTTAGCTTGGAGAGGGACATTCGGGATAAAAAAATGATAAAACTTTTTTTCAGATTTGCTTATATTCAGGTGCAGTCATTGACTTAGTTCTGATGAAGGAATGTAAGGTTCAGTGTTGTGTGCAACTTTCACTAAGAGTCCTAAAAAGAATCTTTTAGTACTGTGTGTCCATTCTTTTTCCCTTCCTCTATTCCGCTTTCTGGTATCTTAGAGGGATAGCTTGCACTCAACCTTGGGCTACTATTAGTACTTCAAGGGGAGCAAAGCAGACCATTGTTCTGGGTCCTAGATTTTGATGTAGCTGCTGCAGCTACTTGAAGTACTTACACTCAGGCTTTTATGTGAACGGAAAATAAACTTCCACCTTGCCAAAACTGCCCTGCAGCCTTCGTAATGGCTCAAGACTGCCTCACTCTGGGCTTCTTTCATGAGAAAAAACAAAACAAAACAAAACAAAACAAAACAAAACAAAGAAAACTTTTTTAGGGGGAGGTTGTTTGAGCTACAGTTATTTAACATCTCTTCCTAGCAGAAAAATTATAACCTAACTGACATAAACTCAGAAAGAATATCATTGTTTTGAACAAGTGCTTGACTCATTTACTTCATAAAGCAATACATGGAGGATGTTCAGAGTTTATTCTGGGTCACAGATGTAGGAAACTAAGTAAGACACAAGGACAGCTGGAGTGAGTCTAGTGAAACATATTCCTAATCAAATGAATTTTAGACTGGACGTCAATGGAAAACTATGGCTTCATTTAACTGGCTAGGGTGGACTTCAGGACACAAAAATCAGAGGAAGAAAGAAGAAAGGAGGAAAAAAATAAGGCTTTTAATATAAAATTATCCATGTAGTCAATATTTTATCCCAAAGATCTTGAGGTCACAGAAAAGGTCAAAATGGAGGCACAGCTGAATCAATCCACTTATTCAACCCAAGTTCTCCATTTTCCTCCAATTTCTGGACCTAATTTTTTAATTTTACTTTCACCTTTCCATATCCAAGATTATCCCTTTACCCACAATATCACCCTACTTCTGCTCACTTTATTCTTTTCAAAGCTCTGTCCTTCCTCCCTGCCAGCTTGAGATAAAAATCCTCAGAGCTCTTGAGTAGACCAGAAATCTGGCCTCTGTGTACCTTTGTCATATTCATATATAGACACAGTGGGAGTGGGGGGTGAGTAGAAAATCACTTAGCCACAGTGATGGTGTACAGGAAAGAGAGGACAGCAGTCTTATGGATAAATTGCTTACACGCAGATGCTCAGCTGAATCTGTAATGAAAAGGAAATCTGAATGCTTGGCCAAGGAGAAGTAAATTCCCTGAGGTCAATCCTTTGTTGTTCTCTTTGATCTTCAGTAATGGGTCAATCAGACCACCTGCCCCGAAGCTTAGATGCTGTCCACATGATTTGCTTGCTGTCACTGTGTCCTAGCCAGAGTCTTGGGATTTAGGTTACTCTCGCATTTAAGAGGCCTTTATTGGGAGAAAGGATAATAATACTTAACAATTATATTCTACTTATATGCCACTTCTGTGTATTTTTACATATATTATCTAATATAATCCTCCCAACCAACCTGAGATACAGGCAGGTGGTTCATTTTAAAAATAATTTATCATTTTAAAAATAAAATGTACTGTATATTTAGTTTATGATAGGCATGTATGAAGTATATGTTTAATCTTTACAACAGCCCAAGACTTAGACCATGTTTTACAGTTGAGTCAACCAGGGCACCCAGTTAGTAAGTGCTACTGGTATATAAATAAATTGTTAATGATTTTTTAAAATGCTAATGCCTACTGCTGATGGCCTGTGAGACAGTAGGGTGTGTATTTCTGTAGAGCAATTTGCTATACGTACATGAAGTCATAAAAAAGCAAATATTTTCTGACTTGGCAAATTTGCTTCAAAGAATTTGATCCAAGAAAATAATTAGACATCTAACACCTCAAGTACAAGAATATCCACTGCAGAGTTTTTTAATTGTGAAAAACAATACTGGCTGGGCGTGATGGCTCACGCCTGTAATCCAGCACCTTGGGAGGCCGAGGCAGGTGGATCACCTGAGGTCAGGGGTTCAAGACCAGTCTGGCCAACATGGTGAAACCCTGTCTCTACTAAAAATATAAAAATTAGCTGGACGTGATGGTGCATGCCTGTAATCCCAGCTACTTGGGAGGCTGAGGCAGGAGAATCACTTGAACCCAGGAGGCAGAGGTTGCAGTGAGCCGAGATCATGCCACAACACTCCAGCCTGGGTGACAGAGCAAGACTCCTTCAAAAAAAAAGAAAGAAAGAAAGAAAGAAAGAAAGAAAGAAAGAAAGAAAGAAAGAAAGAAAGAAAGAAAGAAAGAAAGAAAGAGAAAGAAAGAGAGAGAGAAGAAGGAAGGAAGGAAGGAAGAAAGAAAGAAAGAAAGAAAGAAAGAAAGAAAGAAAGAAAGAAAGAGAAAGAAAGAAAATACTGAAATAACTTAAATATTCAATCAGAGGAAATGAGTAGGTAAATTATAGTAAATTATAAAATGGAATATCTTTTATATTTCAAAACTTACTTTAGAATATTATTTAATGATATGCAAAATAGTTTTATTGGCATGAAACATCATATTACGCTAAGTGAAAAATTTAAGTTCAAAGTCATAGATTGAGAAAAACTCATTTATCTCCCCTCACTCCAAAATAAAAGCAATAAAGTATAGAAATATGTTATAGGAAAAAGTATAAAAGAGAAGAAAAGAACATAATTGTCAAATACTGGATGGAGAATATTAACAAAATAAGATTTTAAGGCCGAGGCAGGCAGATCATGAGGTCAGGAGATTGAGACCATCCTGGCTAACACAGTGAAACCCTGTCTCTAATAAAAATACAAAAAAATTAACCAGTCGTGGTGGTGGGCACCTGTAGTCCCAGCTACTCGGGAGGCTGAGTCAGGAGAATCCCTTGAACCCAGGAGGCGGAGCTTGCCATGAGCCGAGATTGCGCCACTGCACTCCAGCCTGGGTGACAGAGCGAGAATCCGTCTCAAAAAAATAACAATAAATAAATAAATAAGATTTTATGAGTTTCTCAAAGACCGGAGATGGATATGGCCAAGGTGATTTAATGTAAATCAGAGCGAAAAGAGACTAGCTCAATAGAGGTAGAAGAGAAAGCAGCAGGTGAGGCAGGGTCATTTTTATAGCATTCTATAAGCCCTTAGAGATGTAGTCAAAGCATGAGAAAGTGCTTAAAGTAAGACAACTGATTGAAGAACTGTATGTCCAATGGCTGCTGAGTCACACATCGCACACATGAGTATGTGTAAGGAAAGTGCCTATAAAGTGAAGCTGAATGAACTATCAGCCTAGGATGGGCAATGGCTTTCAGAGTACAGGCTGCCAGCTTGCTTATCTTAGAGTACAGCCTGCCTGTCCACATACCACACCCACAAACAGAAATCTTGCAGTCTTTGTATGCAGGGAAAAGGAAACTACTATCAGAAGAAATGTTAGTCAGTTACAGGTAATAATCAACATTTCTAAATTCATAATCATCTCGGACAACTGAGTATCAGCAGACATTTGATTAAAAAGAAAAGCAAAAGGCTCTGGCAAAGACAATTCTATAGATTTATCAAGCCATTTTATCATCCTCTGGGGAGTACAGAAAAACTACATTTCCCAGTATCCTTACATCTAGATTGGGCCTGATGACCAATTCTAAACAGGGGAATGCAGTAGAAACATAAGCCACCCAGGTTTGGCCAGAAACACAAAATCTCCTACATGTGATACTCCTCTCTCACTTTTTGCAGCAATAATGGGAATCCTAGAGTAGTGGTGCTCTGCATCTCTGAGTCATCCCTTATAGGAAAGTTGCCCCGGAGAACTCTCTGACCAGGATGATACGCATTGGCCTTTATGTGAGGTGAAAGCAAAACAAGAAAACTTACATTGGATTAAGGCACTAAGAATTTTGAGATTATTTGTAATAGCAGGTAGCATTAATTATTCTTACTAATATAGCAAAATAAAAGAGAAACACCAAGATAATTAAACAGAATATTGACCCCAGAGGAAACATATATAATTTTAGGAAAAGACAAAAACTTTAATTGAATTATAAGTCTAATTTTTCTTTTTTAAAATTTTGAGGCTGGGTGAAGTGGCTCACACCTATAATCTCAGCACTTTGGGAGGCGGAGTCAGGCGGATCACCTAAGGTCAGGAGTTTAAAATCAGCCTGATCAACATGGTGAAACCCCATCTCTACTAAATACAAAAAAAAAAAAAAAATTAGCCAGGCTTGGTGGCGCATGCCTGCAATCCCAGCTACTTGGGAGGGTGAGGTAGGAGAATTACTGGAACCCAGGAGGTGGAGGTTGCCATGAACTGAGGTCGTGCCACTGCACTCCAGCCTGGGCAACAGAGCAAAATTCCAACTCAAAAAAAAAAAAATTGAGAAAACGTTATATTTATTTATTTAAAAAAAGAGTAAAATGAAAAAGAAAAAGAATAAGGGACAGTTGACATAAGTTAAAAATTATTGCTTAAATGATAATTTCAGGAGAAAAGCTATTAATAGAAAACATATAAATCACAAACAAAAAAAAAGGATGAAAAGCAGTCAGGGGAAAGGTAAGCACAGTAGATAAATATTTTTTACATATTCTTATACAACTTCAGAATAGAAATGATAAAAAGAAAACCCTACAAACTGCAGAAAAAATAAATAAAACAAATTATCATGGGCAGAATTGAATCAGATTGGCAGCTGACTTCATACCAGCAACATTAAGTACTAGAAGTAAATGAAGTCAGGACTTCAGTCAGACTATAAAAGAAAATGTTTTACATCTCAAATACTATAACTAACCAAAATATTAATAAAGCATTAAGATAGAATAAAGTCATTTAATACAGACAGAGATGAAAGTTTTTCTATAAAGTGTATTAAAATATGAATTCCAGCACACACAAAAAATGTAGTCCTAAGGGAAAAAAAGCTGAAGATAAGAAATCAAAGTACAGTGAAACAAACTCCAAAATTCAGTAAAATTAAATCTCAGGATGGCCAGGATGTTGGTTCTGTGGTAAAACCAGGGAATAAGAAGTTCATATTAGAACAAGAAGTAAGAGCATTCTGCTAGAATATCTTAAGGAAGAAAATAAAATTTTTTAGGAAGAAATAGCATGCTAAGGAGGATGAATGATCTTAGTGAGAAAGTGAATGGATGCTCCATCCCGGGACTTTCTCCATGAGCCCATGTGCAAGGCCGCTCCAAAGACATCAATGGAAGTGCTACATGGGCTCAGTTACATGGACTTCCTTTGCAAGGCTAATAGGAGGTTATCAGCACCAGCAAAAGGAGATACTAAAGTTTAGTCCCCATCATAGCACCATTCTCAGGTGTTTAAGGAGATCTCCCAGAAGCCTGATTACTTTGAATCCCTTCTATCTATCTATCATTAGGGAGACATAACTTAATTTCACAGGAGTATGTACATATTCTCAAGAAGAATTTTCCTTCCTTACCCACAATGTTTCTGTCAGCACCATCATTCTTGGACTTATTGAATGACTTATTCATCATTTTGACATCATCTCTGACCAAAGAACATATTTTATGGTGTTGTAAGTGTAGACGTAGACTTACGCACATAGAATTATCTGGTTTTATCATGTGCCACACCACCTAGAAGCAGCTTGATTGGTAGAAAGACAGAATGGCCTGCCAATGGGTCAGTGAGGAGACCACCCTCTGAGAGGTTGGGGCACTGTTCTATAGTAGTGTTATATGCCCTAACCTAGTGGACAATATATTGCTTTATCGCTCATTGCCAGAACACTCAGGCCCAGGAAACAAAGAGTGGAGATAGGGATAGATTCTTCCTATCACACCTTAAGTGGACCACTTAAGGAATTTTGCTTCCTTTCCCATACCTTGTACTAATTTCTATCCAAGGGAGAAATTTTTCCTCTAAGAAATAAAGTCATTGTTCTATTAAATGGGAAGCTGAGATTGCCTTCTGGCATTTGGAGCTCCTCATGCTACTAAAATAACAGGCAGCAAAGGTGGTCACTGGCTTGAATGGATGATCCCCATGACCATTCATGGGAAATTCAGTGGCTGTTCCATAATAGTGACAAGCAGAACAATGCCTGGAACCCAGAGAATTCCCTGGGGTGCCTTTTAGCATCCCTTGTCCAATATATCTAGATAGGAAACACAGCAGCAACTCAATGAAGCCAGGATCCCAAGGACCAAGGACTCAGATCCTCTGGGAATGAAGATATGACTCACCCTACTAGAAAAGAACTTTGGCCTGCTAAGGTGCTGGTGGAGGACACAGGGCATAGGAGGTGGAATAAGGTCGTTTTGATTATTAATTTAGTACTCATGATCAGCTACAGAAGCAGGGACTGGGGCAGCCATGTTTTGTGTCATTTCAAGGACTGGGGCGGCCATGTTTTGTGTCATTTAATGCTTTCTTTTCCTCCCCTCCTTACAAGGCACACATTATGGGACGAGTCCTGGAATAGTGGCTAAAGCTTTAGGTTTCAGGAGGATCCAACTCAAGCCTCTGTTCAATCTCCTGGCTTCTTAAGGCAACTCAGACATCTGCTTTCCTTGATCCCTATACTCCTGAATCCACATTTACAGTTTCTGTTTCCTCCATACATCAGTTTGCACATAGGGTATATTCGTGAGGGTAACATTAGCTGCTGTAATAAGCGAACTCCAAGCTACATAGTGGCACGATCATGATGGAAGTTTATTTCTTGCTCATGTAGAGTGCTAAATGGTTGTTCCTGGTTGACGGGAGTTGCCTCTCCAAGGAGTAATTCATAGACTAAGGAGTTGTAATGGTTGTTCCCATCTGTCATTTTAAAAATGTAACTTCTGAGATCCTTCTGCTCATCTGTATCAAGTGAGTAAAAAGAAAAGAAAACAAAGATAAAGCACACCTGTCTATTGAGCTGTTTGGTCTGGAAGTGACACAGGTTATCTATGACTGCAAACACCAGGGAGAACTAGTCACCTGCACCCCTGGAGATCTCTCTCTCTCTCTCTCTTTTTCTCCTCCCTCATCTTCCAGCTTTACTGCGTCTTTTGTACTGCCCCAGATCCTCCTTCCTCTATCTCAGAGCCCATATGAAAACTTCCAAGTGGCCCTCCAGGCAAAGCCATATTGTGATTTTGCTATCTTAGGAAAAATGAACAGAGGTACATGATTATGACTGATTATGACTAATTATGGCAGATCATGACCATTATCCAAACAAAGATAACCCAGGGTTATCTGAACCTTTTCCTTAAAAATGCATGCCTGTCTGTACTGATAAAAAAAAAGTGAGCCTTACCCACCAATACTTTGTTCAGGAATCTTGTTTGCTTATACTTTTGCTTCCTTAATTGATTACAAGGAAAGTTGCCTTTTAATATCTCAAGGCAAAAGTAATTGCTAATGGATTTTCCTTCAAGACACCTGAGGAAGCACACCTCAGGGTTCTACTTCAGAAAGAGTGACATTAATGACCATAATACACCCTCTTCGTTGGTAGAATAAGAGCCTGCAGAAACCCAGCTTAAGGCCACCAATGACTCTCCTGTTGTCAGCACTCACTCTGTCCCCACCAGAATTACTGATGAAGCACGGAGACCTGAAGTAGCATAGCTGATAGCTGGATCTCCTTTGATCAGTAAATTTTATTGAGAAAAAAGAGTGATCCCCTTTGACTGCCCTCACTTTTTTGATATAATGAAATACACATCTAATTGCTATTTAAAAAATAATTAAACACAAAACCTTAAAATAATTAAACACAAAACCTTAAAGACTCACCCCATTATTACATAAAGCAATTCAGCTCTGCCTAAGCAATTATACCCACATTTATATATGCAGGACACACACACACACACACACACACACACACACACACAAAGGTGAGTCAACCTAATGTAGTCCCTGGATTTAAAGGGCAATTTCAGAGCACTTTGCAGTACTTAAGCATGCACACTGGAATCTCCCTTGCCCCAAATGTTTTACCAACACATTTCCTCCAAATAAAACAAAATGAAATAAAACAACACTCCCCAAGGAGAACTTTCAAACCAGCTGCTAAGAGGAAAAAACCAACAACGTTCTTTATCACTTTACACAAACTTCTACTTAGAATCTTGAATGTCTCACAAACTAGCTTGTCTCTCTGCCAACTAGTTTCTTAGCAGCCTTTTTATTATTATTATTATTCAGTGGCATTTAGCAGACGGAAAAACCCTAGATCACAGAGAAAGGCTCAAATTATAATCATACACAAACTTATCTGAGTTCCAACAAAAAGTCTTAAAGGCCCTAGTCACTTATTTATAAACACATGAAATTATTTGTTTCCATTTGGAAAAATAGACTGACATAACTGGAGAACACACTTATTACTCATAAAGCAGACGAAGCAAAAGTAGACATTTGACATATAATAAAACAACTTCAATATAATTAATGTAAATTACAGAAAGTTCCCATTTTTAGGAGTGTTGGATCCACCATCCTTACCACCACCACCACCATTACCACTACCACTAACATTAAAAAAAGAAAAAGGTGTTTAACTGGAAGCAGAATTGTTTTATAAAAATGCTTACAGAATAAAATTTTGTCAATATACTTCTGAGTGTTCAGAGTTTAAAGCATTCACCAAGGAAGCTATTCTAGAATCTCAAATTGTCTAGTTTTAAATAAGAAAAGAAAACTAAAAATAGAAGCAGACCTCATCCTTTTTTTCTTGTTGACCTCTTAGAACCGTCAGTTGCATACAAAGTTATTTCTAATTATAAGATATAAAAGTTCATAATACTTCCCACTCACTTGGCTTATTTGAAGTCTATTACAAGATATGTATAGATTCTCGTAGGAAACTTTGTTAACTTACCATCGCTATTAGTCTTCAGAATGAATTACATAAAATCAGAATGCATTGCTATGCCCCTTTGTAATCAGCTGCTTTGCTCAATTGCTACCAAATTCAAATTAAAGCAAATGATGGCTTTTGGAGACCATTAGGAATAATTATCCTTTCTACAATCCATAATTTGATCGTGGATAATTATGTGATGTAACAATAGAATAATTAGACTTATTTCTCTATCTGTGTTTGTGTGTGGCCTAGTCATGCCACATTTGCCAAATTATATTTTTAAATGACCTATTAAAATTATTCATCTCTATAAATGTAACTGCTAGAAAAGATTTAGATAATTGCAATGGATGTGTTACTCAAGATTGTATTTTATTTTCCTTTCTTATTACTAAAAATATTAATTTCAGTAAAAATGTTTTATACTGAATTATTTCAATGGGCTAGATACTATTAGTAGATAAGTAAGCAAATCTGACTTGGAAATCATTATGGAACATCAGTCCTGGGGAGGAGAAAGACAATCGTCAAAAACCACACAAATAAATACAGATTTACAATTGGAAACATGATGAAAGAAAAAACAGTCTTCTGTGAGTGAGTGTGATTGAAACAGCAACCTGTGAACTAAGATTTTTTTATTGTGGTAAAATATACATGACTTCATATTTATCATTTTAACCACAATTCACTGCCATTAAATATATTCACAATGTTGTACAACCATTGCCACCGTCTACACCCAAAATGTTTTCAGCATCCTCAACAAAAATTCTCTACAGATAAAACCATAACTCCTCCTTCTGCCCCTGGTATCTTCTATCTATTTTCTGTCGCTACAGATTTGCCTACTCTTGCTACCTGATCACTACAGTCTGAATGTTTGGGTCCCCTGAAGTTTTGTATGTTGAAATTCTAGCCCCCAAGCGGATGCTAATAGGAGGTAGGGCCTTTGGGAGGTAATTAGGTCATGTAGTCAGCGACTTCATAAATTAGACTAATGGCCTTATAAAAGAGGCCCAAGAAAGACCTCTTACCCTTCTGCCACGTGAGGATGCAGCAAAAAGATGACCATCTGTGAACCAGGAAGCGAGCCCTTATCAGACACTGAAGCTGTTGGTGTCTTCATCTTAGACTTCCCGTCCTCCAGAACTGTGAGAAATAAATTTTTGTTGTTAATAAATTTCTGTTGTTAATACCAGTTTATGGTATTTTGTTCTAGGAGCCTAAACAGACTAAGACACTGATACAACTGGAATCACACAGTATTTGTCCTTCTGTCTCTGACTTATTTCACTAAGTATGTTTTCAAGATCCATCCATCTTGTAGCATGATATAGTTTGGATGCTTTTTCCCCTCCAAATCTCATTTGGAAATGTAATCCTTCAATGCTGGAGGTGGGCCTAGTGGGGAGTGTTTGGGTCATGGAGGCAAATCTCTCATGAATGGCTTCATGCTGTCCTTGCAGTAATGAGTGAGTTCTCAGTCTGTCAGTTCATGCGAGATCTGGTTGTTGAAAAAACCTGGCATTTCCTCCCATTCTCTCTGCTGGCTCCTATTCATCTTCCACCATGACTGGAAGCTTCTTGTGGCCCTCACCAGAAGCAGATGTGGACACTATGCTTCACGTACAGCCTGCAGAGCTGTGAGCCAAATAAACCTCTTTTCTTTATAAATTACCCAGCCTCAGGTATTCCTTTATAGTGACACAGAACAGACTAATACAGAACACATACCATTCTGGCTAACACGGTGAAACCCCGTCCCTACTAAAAATACAAAAATAAAATTAGCTGGGCTTGGTGGCGGGCTCTTATAGTCCCAGCTACTCGGGAGGCTGTGGCCAGAGAATGGCATGAACCCGGGAGGCGGAGCTTGCAGTGAGCTGAGATCATGCCACCTGCGCTCCAGTCTGGGTGACAGAGCGAGACTCCATCTCAAAAATAAATAAATAAACATAAATAAATAAATAAATTACATTCTTTTTATGAGTGAATAGTATTCCATTGTGCTTGTATACAACATTTTGCTTATCTATTTATCTGTTGATGGGCATGGATTGTTTCCACCTCTAGGCCATTGTGAATAATGCTGCCATGATGATGGGTGTACGAATATCTGTTCTAGTCCTTATTTTCAATTCCTTTGGGTATACACCTAGAAATAGAATTGCTAGATCATATAGCAATTCTGCATTCAATTTTTTGAGGAACTGCCATACTGTTCTCCACAGTGGCTGCATCATTTTACATTTCCCTCCAGTGATGTACAAAAGTTCCAATTTCTCCACATCCTCACCAACACTTTTTACTTGCTGTTTTTTTAAATATAATGGCTATTATATTTTAAAACATTTTAATTATATTATTATTTTTAAAAATTATATGTTATTATATATAATATATTGTATAATAGCTATTATATATTACATACAATATAATAATATATATTATATATGTAATACAATAGATAATATATATCATATATATTATATAATAGTCATTATATATTTTTTATATATAATGGCTATTATATCCTAGAAAGCATAAAGTGATACCCCATGATTTTAATTTTCATTTCACTAATGAGGCTGAGCATCTTTTCACATACTTATTGGACTGTATATCTGCTTTGCAAAAGTGTCTATTAAAGTTTTTGACCACTTTTGAATTGCTTTGTGTTTTGTTGTTGAGTCTTAGGAGTTCATTATATATTCTGGATATTAATTCCTTAGCAGATATATAATTTGAAATTATTTTCTCCTATTTGTTAGGTCGTGTTTTTGCTTTCTTAATAATATCCTTTGATGCACAAAATTTTTTTAATCTTGATGAAGTTCAATTTATCTACTTTTTGTTTTGTGGCCTGTGCTTTTGGTATAATATTCATAAAAGTGTTGCTAAATCCAATCTATTGAGGATTTTTCCTAATGCTTTCTTCTAAGAGTTTTATAGTTTTAGCTCTGAAGTTCAGGTTTTTTTTTTATCCATTTTGAGTTCATTTCTGTATATGCTATAAAATAAGGGTCAAACTTTGGTCTTTTGCATGTGGATATCCAGTTTTCCCTGGAAAAAAACTGTTGAAAAGATTGTCCTTTGCCACTGAATAGTCTTGGCACACTTGTAGAAAATCAATTGACCGTGTATGTGATGGCTAACTTCTGGGCTGATAACTGATGTTTTAAGGATGGACTGGAGTTAAATTAGTCTGGCATTTAAAGTCTGTTTGGGGTAATTCTGAGTTATTCAATTTACTCTGGTTTTCCAGCAGCATAATATAGGGTGACACTAAATCCATTCTTCTTCCTCATCCTGCAACCAATGTGAGTCATAAATATGCCAGTTTTTATTTTTTCTAGTATCCAACAGGTCATGATGATTCAGAAAAGCAAAACTCCCAAGGCCACCTATTAATTCTCATAAATAGTACAGAATAAAGTTGCAAGGAAGAAGAACCTAATTATCTAACAGTTAGTGAAGCCCACCTTGCCCACAATAAGATTAGTAATTTACGCTATAATCAAGAGCAGTATCAGAAAAATTTCTTCCAGGCAATTAAAAGATTTGTGGCAGGAGAAGGGAAGGGGAGTTGGAGTTGTCAGTGGGGATTTAATGACAGTTAACGGGGGAAATTTCTGTAATTTGAACTAATTATATTTTAGATTTTTATTATCTATCAAATGTCTCTTCTTCATTAATTTACTTTGAAGGAAGGAATATATCCAGTTAAGGAATTTACTCTATTTTCCAATATGAAAATAAATAATTTCATGTCTTCACTTAAAGGGATTAAAATTTTATGCCTATATTTTTGTTGAATTTAAATATGAGTAGACCATGATTTTAAAAATCGTGTCCCACTTTCAAACTGCATCTTTTTAGGTTTCTAATAAATAAAAAGTGGGCTCATTTTCAAGTTATATACCTTTTCATGATTGCTGCTTTAGCTACACAAAGACTTAGATGAAGTTTGAAATTATTGCTTGTAAGAGCCTAATCAATTTTATAGACAAGTCAACATCACCTTCCTGTCTCTCCTTGGGTTGTGAAGGTGCAGGGAAGAGGAGGAGAAGAGAAAAGGTGGGAAACAGGGTAGGGATGGCAATTCCCCCCCTCCAATTACGTGTGTGAGTATGTTTATTTAAACTCCATGATTTAAATATTTCAAAATTATACATTTAATTTTAACAGCATTCATTTGTACTGTCACTGATGGTTGCATTGCTATTTGAAAAGTGAAATGGTCAAGTGCCCCCAAAATATTGTGTCTCTTTTATGTAAGACACAAAAAAATTGTGTTTTCTTTTACATAAATGTTTCTAGAAATGCAATAGACAACATTTATGTGTATTATGAAATGGGAGAGAAGTTTTTTGCTACATGAAGAAATTTCATGACGTACTTATTCCAATGACTTACCATAGAATTGTTCTGGAATATTATGCTTATTAAGACCTTGTACTTGGTTTGACATCTGTCACTTTAATTATGCTTTCTGTATTTTAAGGCTTTCTTGTTATCTTTTACCTATTTTGCTTTTGGATGAAGGAACCATGTCCATTTGCTTGTATCTTTTATCCATGACTTGTGAGGCTAACACCCTATTTTAAAGATAATCTTTCATGATTATCTTAGAACATTAAAATTCTTTTACCTAATTATGTCTGCAATAACTATTGACTTCCTCTGATGGATGTCAAGGAATTTTTCACTGATGACATCCCTGTCTTTGCTATTTCTCTTTTATATTTTGCATTATGACAACCTGGATATTTAAAATATTCTTTTAAAAACAGACTTTGTTATTATACTTACATATGATATTTTACTTTTGTCATCATAATTACCCTCAATTACTTAATTTTCCTCTTACTATTGATTCATGATTTGCAAGTTTGTATTTTGTTTTGTGTTTTATTTATCCTACAATTTTAGATAGTTTAAGTGATTATAACCACTTTTTCTCAATCACATCTTCCCTAATGAAGAATGCAATTGATTATTCATCTCCTAATTGTTCAGAGCACATTTGTAATGCATCTTGCTGGAAAACAGACTTGAGTGGCAAATTTTCTAAGAATTGCAGATTTGAAAATGGCCTCATCTTGCCTTTTGAGAATAATTAGCCCTTGGCTAAAGATCTAATGTCTGCGTCTGTATCTATTAGAGATGTGTGAAGTTGCAAGTAACACAAATTGCAATCACAGGTGTTTATTTTCCTCATGCAACAAGAAGTCTAGAAGTATATGGTCGCTAGCTTTGGCTCAGATGCCAATATGGTGCTGGAACTCCAGCCCTCATGTCTGTGGTAGGCAGAATATTGGTCCCAAAGATGTCTACATCCTAATCATTGGGACCTGTTGATACGCTCATTTACATGTCAAAGGAAAATGAAGGTTGCTAATCAGCTAACCTTGAGATGGGGACATAACCCTGGATTATCCCGGGGGGCCCGAAGTAATCACACAAGTCCTTAAAAGCGGAAGAAGAGGCCGGGCACGGTGGCTCACATCTGTAATCCCAGCACTTTGGGAGGCCGACGCGGGCGGATCACGAGGTCAGGAGATCGAGACCATGCTGGCTAACACGGTGAAACCCCGTCTCCACTAAAAATACAAAAAATTAGCCGGGCATGGTAGCGGGCGCCTATAGTCCCAGCTAGTCGGGAGGCTGAGGCAGGAGAATGGCGTGAACCCGGGAGGCGGAGCTTGCAGTGAGCCGAGACTGCTCCACTGCACTCCAGATGTTGCTGGATTTGAAGATAAAGGAGAAGACCTCAAACTAAGGAATACAGTGGCTTCCAAGAACCACACTGGGAAAAGTGAGGAAACAGACCCTCCTTAGTGACTCCAAAAGGAACACAGCCCTATCAATACCTGGATTTTAGCCCACGGAGGTCCACTTCCGACTTCTGATCTTTGGAACTGTAAGATAATAATTATGTGTTGTTTTCAACCACTAAGATTTTTTCTGGCATTGATAGAAAACCAATGCAATGTTTATGTTTATTTCAAAGTAAGACAGAGGAGAAGAGGCCGTGCCGGGGAATTTGATTATACCGGGAATTCTAAATTTAAGTTTAGGATTCCCTGGCTAATTTTCATATTTTTAGTAGAGACAGGGTTTCACCATGTTGGCCAGGCTGGTCTCAAACTCCTGGCTTCAGGTGATCCACCCTCCTCAGCCTCCCAAAGCGCTGGGATTACAGGCGTGAGCCACCACGCCCTGCCTGACTGTTATGTTTGTCTTCCCCCCGCCACTGTCCCTTTTTATCTCAACCTTTTAATATAGCTTCCACATCTGCTTTTAACTCATTAAGAATATAAAGTGAAGACTTTTTCTTTGAACTCTTACATCTTCATTCCTTTTCTACTTTGCTTCAGATTGTTAAAAGATCTCAAGTGCTGTCGTTGCTGTTTACTCATTCTTCATGTTGACTAGCTCCACTTTGTCGGTGGTGCTTTAAGTTCTGATGGGATAGATTCTCAGAATCCATTTGAATGTAGAGAGAGACGTATACTATAAGACAAGAGAATATGGGAACCAGGAAATGTGTCAGCCACATCTACAAGTAGAAGGCAGATCTCATAGAAATGCAGGCCACCCTTTCAGTTTAGGAAATGCAAATGTTTTCAGAGAGCACTATCTGGAGGCGCAGCTCCAGAAATAGACTGCATTCTACTGGAAGAGCCGACCAGGGGACCATCTGCTCCACATCATAGATCATCCCATCTCCTATATGCACCTGAATGGAAAAGATACAAACCAGGAAAGGAGCAAAGAATGGTGTGGAGTGTTGATCACTTCTGCTCTGCATATGAGGACTGCCCTGCCCAAAATCTTATTAAAATCTAGAATGTTTTCAAGTCCTATTGTTTGTATGGGTAACTGCAAAGGATTTGTTATTTTTCTTTTGAGATCATGTCATGGTTATTTTAGAAAGAGGACACTCCTAGCATTTCCCTTCACTCCACTAACTTCCTGGGGACCATCTTTGAGCATTAAACCTATGTAAAGACAGTGGTCTGGGGGAAAGTACCAGCAAGTATATCCTATAAAAAGGAGATAGAGATCTCTGTTGATTGCAGGGAAAAATGTAGATTACCGTGATCATTTTATTTCATTTGTGGCAGAGGCTGCTGTTCCCCTGGCTAACACGCTTTCTTTCTTCCTCTCTTAGGTTTAACAGCTTTAATTTCATTTTGTGCAGCATGTATTTTGCAGGTTTCAAGCAGGTAGGGGTGGTCACGTGACACTGTCCTGGCCAATAATACATATGAAGTCACTGAATGGATCTTCCAGAAAGGTTCTTTGAACAGTGCTAATTCAGCTGGATGTAGCGTTTTAATCCTGTTCCCTTCTTTTTCTTGCCTGAAATTTGTAGACCTCATAGCTGGAGCTCTGGCTAAAATGTTGACAATCTGAGAACAAGTCCTCATCCTAAAGTTGGAGTCTTGTTGACTTGGGACCTTCATCGTATTTCTGTGTTATCTAATTTGTTTAAACCACTGTTGTACAACTTTGCTGTTACATATAGCTGAAGTCAACCCCTAACTGAGAGAAAAGCCATCCTCTTTCTCTTGGAGGCACTAATATCTCTGAATACCTTGTTATTATTGCATGGTTAAAGTAATATCAAAGTGTAGGACTATGATGGGTAAACTTTAATACCACCATGAAGGGTATCCATTACCCTTGGTCTACAAATCAGTTGCAATCTAGGTTTGACTTTCAAACAAACCAGTAACATAGGAGAATTTTTGAACATTCTAGAAGTTTCTGAACAGAAAACAATAAAAGCTTTAGTTGTACAAATGGGCATTTAACACTTCCATTGGTAAAGTGTTTGGAGACTAGACTCCAGCTTTTAGGAAGTGCAACTGCACCTAGAGGCCACAAAGCCTCAAGACAGTTCAGTGAAGGGCCTGAGCCCTGTGAGGTCATGCATTGGGAGCTATAACTAATGTTTTGGAATAAGAGATAGGGGACTCAGAAGACTCCTTTATGGCTTTTTACTAGAATTCTTATCAGTGAAATTATTTGTAAAGCTCTTTGTTTATGACAACATCAGCTTACATTAGCTGTTCTAAGGGGAAATAAGGAAGAAGAAAATTGCACATCCTAGGGGAGTGAGCAAAGCCCAAGAAGGAGGCAAAAACTCAGAAAAAATGAGGCAGAACCAATCTAGGAGCCTTCCTATCTCACCTGGAGTTTTCTACTCAGCAGTTCCTTTTGGTTCCAAATTTACATAATAGATTGTTGTGTGCCAGAAATGATTAATTCTGTGAGCCATAAACTTTATTAGGTCCTGCCCATTAGCAATACTCCAGGGTTTTTTTTTTGAACAAGTCAAAAAAAAAAAATATATATATATACACACATATATATATAGAAAGAAACAGGGTCTCACTCTGTCGCCCAGGCTGGAGTGCAGTAGGACAATCTTGGCTCACTGCAACCTCCGCCTCCCGGGTTCAAGCGATTCTCCCACCTTGGCCTCCTGAGTGTCTGGGACTATAGGCATGCATCACCATGCCTGGCTAATTTTTGTATTGTTTGGTAGAGATGAGGTTTCACCATGTTGGCCAGGCTGATCTCAAACTCCTGACCTCAAGTGATCCTCTCACCTCAGCCTCCCAAAGTGCTGGGATTACAGGCATAAGCCACTGTGCCCATCCACATAGAAAAAGTTTAAATATTATTTTTTATTGATTCATTCTATAACACTTCTAAGCACCTGGAGTGTCCCAGGCACCAAACAAATTATAGCAAAAAATTTACATTAAACTTTAAAAAGGAATTCATTACTTTGCTTTTTAATAGCTGCAGGTTGCAGCATACTTTAACAATGCATTCTATGCTCTCCACCTACCATTAAAACTTGGTTTGATAAGACATAGGCAATTAGGATGCAAAGCCGACTAATCACAAATTTAAACCTCTTTGCATCCTGAGTATGACACTTCCTTTGAAAACTAGATGCCTCTCAAATTTTATTAACAAGACAAATATAACTAATTACACAAGCCTTGAGCAGCAAAAACTTCATTTCATATTATAGTCACCTAATATGAGGTATATCATGAAATAGAAAAGAAGGCAGATATTTTTACTGTTATGTCAATACAGGATACGTTGCAAATTACTACAGGAATTTCTGGGTTTTATAAAGTAACAACTACGGTTTGGTTTTGTCCATATTTTTATTTTAACATAATCTAGTTATGTGTCTTTTTTTTAAGTTTTCAATATAACCATAGATGTCTAGCAATCAGGCATGTTAATGTATGAGTTACGTAATTCCACACACAATGCAAATTCTGTTTCTTTGCAGAAGTCTTTGAAAGCCTTGGAGATAACCAGAAAATGAAGGAAGCCCTCCACCACTGAGTTTCAGGGCAAAGGGAAGAAACAAGATAAAGTAGAACCGTCAGTACAAGTGGAATTATTAATGACGTCCAAATGCAGTCATTAAATACTATCAGACTTATTTATTGACTCCTGATATTAAGAGTGAACAAACCCCTGGCCAAGTGGGAACTTGCTCGGTAGCCTTTATCTTTCTATCACTCATTCAGTCAATTCATTAAAGCCTGTTTGTCTCTCCCAGGTGACTCTTACTGAGTTTCATTGTTTTGTTTATTGTGTTTGTTGGCTCATAGATCTCTTTCACAATTTTCTTCGGCTTCTGAATGCTCTTTAAGTACCAGTTTTGATCAGCCCATTTGCTTTAATAAACAGGAGAGCAAGATGGGACAGGGCGATACAGGGAGAAAAGGGGGCAAAGGGAATCGCACCGGGTGCTTGTGCTCCCTAGAAAAACCAGCAGGTGGTAGCAACACTTCGTGGCAAGGCCCCAGCCCAGCTCTGTAGGACCCAAACAATAGACCCCAAATCCCCGTCCTCGGCTAGAGAAGGGGTTAGAGGTGGGCGGAAACACTTTTCCTCGCGGCGCCCCCTCGGTTCCTCAACCCTGCCTCCAGGCGCCAGCTGAGAGCACCTTGCACCGCCCCTCCTCACTGCAGGGAGGTTCTCTCCGGAGCGCGGGCGAGGGAGGAGGCACCCAGAGGTGCAGCGACTTGCCCAAGCCATGTCAGAGCCAGGCGTACAGCAGCGCTTCCCCTTTTCAACCCGACTGCCCTGCCCCTTGGGGAGGGTAGATGGAGGGAGGTTCGACTCAGAAGCCCCAACGTTGACCAAGATCCAGACACGAAAAGAGAAAAGAGTTCCCGGCTAGCACGGCGACGCTTTCATACCGAGACGCCCCCCTCTCCCGCTGCCTCGGCTCCCCCTACCACCGCCCGTACTCTCCCAGATTTCTCAGTTTGTCTTTCCCTCCACCCCCTGCTTTTCCTTCCTTCTCTCTTGCTCAGCTCACGCCCACCTTAGTTCCAAGCTGAGTAGGAGCCCCACTGTTTTAGTTCCTAGAGTTAAAGCCGAAGAGGAGGGAGGCGCGAGGGGGTGTGTGCAGGGCTCTGCCCTGCCCTGAACTGCCACGGTCCGCCAGTTGCGCTTCGCTCCGCGGGTGTCCGACCCAAGCCGAGCCCGAGCCCGAGCCCAGGCAGGGGCTTTACAGACAGCCTCTTCCCTTCCCACTTCCTGCAGGCGCCCCACGCGTGCGATCCTCCCGGCCAAGACCCGCGGGAGGAGGCCGCCCCCTTCCCGGCGCACAGGCGGGGCCCCGGGCGCGCCCCGCGTCTCCCCCGCGCGCCGGGGCGGAGGAGCGGGCGCCGCGCACTCACCGCCTAGGCCGGGAGGGCGGGCTCGGCTCCCCGGAAGAAGGGAGTGGGAAGGCGGCCAAAGGGGCTGAAGGGGCGGGCCGGGCCGGCTTGGGAGGGGACGCGGAGGGGGCGGGCCGGGCTGCGTTCGCTCCAGCCGCGGCTCTACAGCAGCGGGCGGCGGGACCCGGGACCCAGCTTGGCGACGGCGATCTCGACGCGGGCCCCCAGGATCTCCCGGCGCCCCACCTCTGGAGCAGCCCCTGCCGCCAGCGTCAGGTCCACCCCGGAATCCCAGGGACTCTCGGCGCCGAACGGACCCGGGCCGGGTGCAACGGGGTCCCCGGACTGGAGAAGACGCGGGTGGCACCGTGCGAGCTCCAGGAGCCCCGGGTCCACTGCGAGGCCTCGGGGGGCGCAGACCTGCAGAGACTGCGGCCAACGGGAAGGTGAGCCCGCGGGGTTAGCAGGCGGCGTTGTGGGGGTCGGGGACAGTATGCTTGGGGACAGAGGAATTAAGGTTTGCAAGAGTAGTGGGGCTCCTCAGCCCCTAGGTGGCTTCCTGAGGGAGTACTGAGGATCCTTCCTCAAGGCCAGAGTGGGGTTCATGAAGGGTGAGGAAACGGTCAACCTGGCTACTCCCCTCTCACTCCACTCTGACCTGGCATCATTGACACCGCATTACCCTTGCTGTTAGGATCCCCCAGTTGCGTTCCCAGACATTCTCCTCTGGCTCTGGCTTGGGAGTCCTAATCTGGGAGGGTCCTCGCAGAGACGGAGCTCCACGCTTGGAACAGGATTGCCACCCCTCTGACTCCAGTGGCATCACTCCAATCCCCTTGGAGCTGGGAGGAGTCAGGAGGCTGACCACACACCTGTCCCCTGCTCCCCACAAGGCACTGTCCCCCCCAGCTCCATGACCACAGTTAAGCCTTGGAGGTGGAAGGAACGCTTGGTTCCTGCTGCCCAGCCATCACCCCCAACGTGCAACCAAATTCTATTGCGTGCTCCTGCCCCAGCTCCACCCTCGCTCTGCTCCCTCCATCTGGGTGCTTGGCCCTGCTTGCCCCACACCCCCACCCACCGATCTTGGCCGTCTGGCACCCTCTCTCCTCCCATCCCTGGGGGAGCTGGCATGGACCCAGCATAGCAATGTTGTAATGTCCCTGGCAGCGCCCATGGAGCGGAGCTGCTGGGTCTGTTCCCAGTTAACCCAGGCCCTCCGCCCGCCAGGGGAACTTGACTGAGGCTCTAGGAGGGGAGATGCTGGTCCTGAGCTGAGAGACCAGTGGGAGGGAGCTGTGTGGGGCTGTTAGTAGACCACAGAAGCTGCCCAAGTAAGGGGCATTGGAGCATTGAGGCTTCTGAGTGCTGCTCAGTGGGGCCACTTGGCTTTTCAGAGCAGTGGGCCTTTTTTCTCAAAGGAAGATTAGCGTGGGGGTGTCTATGTACTTACCTGGTGGCCTCAGAAGGAGGACTTGTTTGGAGTCTATTACTCCATTCAGGGTGCAAAAAGATGGTTGGCAATGACACTGAGTTACCAGAATGCTGGGGAGCAACAGGCTGGGGTGGGCTGAGCATGGGAAAGGCAGGATCCTCCTTCTGGGACGGCTGTTCTGCTATCACTCTGTCCTGAGCCTGGGCCCTAGACCCTGAGTTCCCACTCTAGGTAGAAGGAGGATGGCAGGTTCTGGAGGGTTTGGGAAGCCTCAGGTTTCCCTTTCTTTACCCACTCCTCCCCGCCCCCCACTTGGCTCCCTCTCCCAGCCCAGGTGTTTCTGCAGAAGTACCTCCTGGGGCCAAGAGCAACTCACAGCCAGACTGGGGGTAGAGCAGGGGCCGAAGGTGAGGAAGAAGGGCCCATGGAACCACTCCGGAACCAGCACTGATGTGCATCTTCTGCCACAGGAAAGCAACAGCCCCCATCTACACAGACAGCATCTGCTCCCGCCCACCTCATCTCATACACATTCCCTTACACACTCCACCAGGTAGACACACATCCTCAGGCACTGCTGACGCAGGTGCTACTCCTGGCACTCAGGGGCTTTCTTCCACAACCTTCCACTTACTCATCTCTCAGGCACATTTGCCTCCTGCCTTAACACCCTCCCTTATGCTCTTTTCCAGAGCCACGCATGTCCCCGGTCAGTGCACAGAGTGGCTCATTCTAAGTGGCTGTCTGGCTAGACCTAGACACTGCCTGCATCTTAAAAGCCTCCCCCAGCTCCACAGCCTGGGAGTGGGAGGCACATTTGTCTGAGTCACAGTGCTCTGGGGGACATTCTCAGGGGCTGGAGGCCTCCAGGGACACAGGACTGTCCTCTGCTAGGTAATCTACAAATTGGCTTCTCCAGCCAAGGAAGCAGGGACTAGAAGAGCCGGAGGACAGCCACCTCCTCACTGTCTGTCCTGGATGCCTCCATGAAGCCTGATGATGGGATCCTTCTCAAGGCAGGAGGCCAGAGCACGAAGAGATCTCCAAGGTGGAGATTAAAGGATAGAGGCTTTGGCATTAAACTGAGCAAGGATTATACTGGAATTTCCTGGGCGTTTAACAGCTGTGGAACAGGATAGGGGACAGGGCCTGTGGTACTGACCCCTCCCACACTGACCTGTGTGGCTCACAGGTGTAAGGACCAGCCCAGCAACCACACCAGACATAAAACCTCGAACCGCTTTGCCCTTGGGACTGTTCTGTCCCTGCTGGACTCTGCAGCCTGCTTTGTCTCACTAAATTGTTCCTGTCTGGGCTCGGTTTGGGGCCATGCCCTTTACTATGTGTTCCCAGTGGACAGTCCCCTGGGTTCCCCTCTGTCCCTTCATAGCCTCATCCCTTTGCTTGACATCGTCGAAGAGAAGCATGCATGATGTCAGCAGCGGGACAGTTGGAACTTCTTGGGAGACAAGCTTAAAGACTAGCCAGAGATAACAATTATTTTGGTTTTCTTGTTGGCATTACTTCACTCATTCATTCTCAGCTCCTACTGTATTTCCACCTCTACCTTCTTCTTATAGATGAACATTTCTTGATATTTTGAAACATAGAAGGAAAATGGCATGGGGAGTGAATAAAATGTAAACGTATGCTTATTTGTCTAGGTTTTACAAATATTTTTCTTTTTTGTTTAGATTTTAATTATGAGATTTTACGTTAATTATAAAAATAAGGTATGCTTACTGTAACAAGAAAAATAATTGAATTATGTGTAAGACAAAATTAATGCCCCCACCTACAATCCTTCATTTCTACCTCCCACAGTAACCCATTTTAATGGCCTAATATGTCTTCTGCCTACCTTCCTCCAAGCTTATTTGGCTTACATTATTTAATCTTTAAAAATTCACTTTGTGGATTGAGGTGCATAAACTATATTAAGTAAGCTTGATTTGCTCATGAAAATATCATATTTAGCATTTAATTGGAGCACGATTAATTTTTTAAATTCTTACCAATTTACCAATTTAATTTACTTTTAAGTCATTCTTTTTTTTTTTTTTTTTTTTTTTTTTTTTTGAGACAGCATCTTGCTCTGTCGCCGAGGCTGGAGTGCAGTGGCACGATCTCGGCTCACTGCAAGCTCTGCCTCCCGGGTTCACGCCATTCTCCTGCCTCAGCCTCCCCAGCAGCTGGGACTACAGGCACACGCCACCACGCCCAGCTAATTTTTTTTTTTTTTTTTGTATTTTTAGTAGAAACGGGGTTTCACCGTGTTAGC
Source organism: Homo sapiens (assembly GCF_000001405.40). Classification (NCBI taxonomy): domain Eukaryota; kingdom Metazoa; phylum Chordata; class Mammalia; order Primates; family Hominidae; genus Homo; species Homo sapiens. The sequence continues at coordinate 142,858,656 of NC_000007.14, forward strand.
CAGGACGGTCTCGATCTCCTGATCTTGTGATCCGCCCACCTTGGCCTCCCAAAGTGAAATATTTCATTTTTATAGCAACATAACTCGTAAGCTATGCTTTGTAACCTATGATTCTACAAATCTTTACTTTTTGCCAGTTTCTGAAAACAAAACACAACCTTGATACCTAAGAAACAGTCTTATTTTTGTAAACCAAAGAGATGTAGCAGGCTTGTGGATCTATTGTCTCTACTGTATCAAAAAGATATTAAGTGATATATCTATAAAAGAAGCTGAGAACATATTATAAAGTCATAGACTGCAATTTTTGTTACCTAAAACTTTGTCTAATCCGTCTCGTTTTCTCCACCATTGTTTTATGTTCACATTTCTGCTGCTTCTGGTTTTATATTTTTAAAACCTTATACACATCTGAAATGTGAATATTTTTCTAAAGGAGATAAGTTCTTTTGCACATTCTTGTGTTAGAGAATTTCTAAATACTGACCAGTTCCTTTTGTAAGTCAGAGGAGAGAGGACTCTCAAGCAGGCTGTGAGAGAGGAGCAAGGGGCCTGGCTTTGCAGAGGCTGCTTCCCATCTCTGTGGCAGGAGAAATGTACTGGCCTGTCCCTGGGATGCTCTCCTGGACCAAATGCAGAAGATGCTCCATGCCCACAACCATTGAAGACACCTTTGAAAAATCAAGTTCTGAGTCCTGCTTACTTAGCATTCCAGGCATGTGGAGCAGCCGTGTTCTTGTCACTTATGTTTCTGCCTTTGAAATTGGCTTCAAAAGAATCTGCAGTGGTATGAATTTGCTGACAGCAATTTATTCCATATCTTAATAAAGCTTCCTTTTTCTTTATTTGGATTCCTGCAACAGGGGTACACCCATATTCTTTTTATATATTAAAATTAAAAGTCTTGAATTTATCTGGTTTGTTTGATAAGTAAGAACTCACCTAACTTCCTAGTCTGACTCAGCAACAATTTTTTTTTTCTGAAAAAATGTATTTATAACCTTCAGTCATCTGGATCTGAATCTAAAAGAGGTCCTCATCAAACATTAGAAGTATCCTTCTGGGTACTTTAAGATCCTCAACCATTTCTTTTTAATGAATATCTTTGTTCTTAGTAAAATTTCAAAAAATTGCTGAAGTGGTCATCCACAGGCAGTGTCTCCATTTTCTTCTTTTCTTTATGCTGTTTCTTGATGGCAGAAGCTGAGTGGCCTTAACATCCATGTTTCATAATTGCTTTTGCTCTTTTCTGGATCTTCTGGAGGGAGGCCAGCTTCGTGTTGTCATTACGAGGCATGCTAAGGCTATGCAAGCACGCCCTATTGCAACCACAAGTGACTGTGTTCCTTGTAGTTCGGGTCATCAAAGCAAATATCTTGCTATTCATCTTCCAGAGTGTTCCATATTGGACAGCTGATACTATCTGCAGCGCATCTTTTCTATCTTGCTTGGCTGTCTTTCAAAATAATTCATTGAAATATTTCCAAAATATTTATTGTTCCTTCTTCATGATTATTTGCCTAGTTGTAAGCTTGAGAAGACACAGGGCTTACTGTTTCTTCTTTGTACAGATTACAGAATCCATCCATGTTCTGAGTGAAAGAAAGAGACTATTTTAAAGAATAACTTCTAGGCAAATGGTAAAATAGCCTTCATTGTTTAAAAACCTGCTGCTGGCATTTTCTTTCCCTGATAACAGTATTTCTAAGGACTCCGTGACTCTGGTTTGCTTCAGTGTGTCAAGCACGTCTCCAAATTAAGCCATTGAGAGTTTGGAGGGGATGCACTTACAACATGAATTACTTTAGGATATTTATTAAACAGCCACTGGTGACGGTGCCAAGGTTACAGAATTTAATAGCTATGCCTGCTTTTTACTTCATGATCTCCCCGTTCCTCTCCAAAGCATTTATTTCATCTGTGAAGGATCCTAGTAACATTTCAGACATTTTTGCAAAGAACATTACTTAAGAGCAATTTGCCATATGGAAATGCTCCTTACTTGTCTCCATAGGCTGTAAATTGAACTCTCTATTTCACAAATAGGGTTAAAGATGTATAAAAGGTGAGTTTCAGGGGCTAGTTGGCAGGTGCCCACTCTACATCAGCCCACGCGTATGTAGAAATGGTGTATTTCCATGATAACTTCATGGACAGCACAGCCCGCAGTGCCAGAAAAAAATTAGTAGGAATCAAATTATGATTTTCATATTTGTTGCAATTAAAGTTTCATAGTTTGATTTTTGTTTTATGATAGCTTTCAACAATCCCAAGGCCATATATATCCAGGAAAAACAAATCACAACTTCTCTTCTAATTGGCTTTTTTTTTGTTTTCCTCTCAGTTCTATGTCTTTTGAGCAATCTGGGCAACATGTCTCTTTTTTTTCTTCACAGAAATAAAGGGATTATAGTCCACCCAATTCACAGACTTCTGAGACTCAGACACGAGGAGAGATAGAGAACCGCCAATCTCTAAATCAACAAGCAAAGGAGGTGCCAAGCCTGTTTGTCTTCATTGTGACACTGGAGGTAGCTATTCCTTCTGTTCATTTGCTCGTGAGCTTAGTGGTGTACCTTCTGAAGGCACAGGAAGGTTTTATATAAGAGGTAGCTTACTACATAGTTCTGAGAAGCCATTATGAGGATATGAACACTGTTTTGATTAACTTTACTAAACAGTTATTATCCTATAGTTTTAAAGAAAATTTTAATCAATGATTTAGTTGAAAGAATACACATGCAAGAGTTTAAGAATGCAAAAATTTAAATGGATACAATTAATGAGAATACAATGAAAGTTAAGTCTCCCTTGCACTGGGTCTCAGTCCACTTCCTTTGCCTTTTTCACAGGTTTTGGATGCTCTTCCATAGATATCCTTCCATACATATGTATGTGTATATATCCTTCTTAACAAAGGGGAGCTTACTTTACACTGTTCTCCATTGTCCCACTTTCACTTGGAAATGCTTTTTATATCAGTGCATCAACAGTTGCCCGTATTTCTTTCTAAGGATGTACTATAATTTTACTGTCTTCCAATTGATGGACAGTTAGTTTACAGCCTTTTCTCTTATAAACAATTTGCAATTAATGTCTTTGTTCAAACATCTGTGCAAACCCATACAAGTATACAGTACCTGAAGGACACATTCTTACAATGTAGTTGCTGGAAAGATATTACCCAATTGTCCTCCCAAGAGAATATTCCAATTTGGATTCAAGCAGAGTATGTACAAGAGAACCTATTTCCCATATCTTGTCCAACATGGTAAAAATGGTGTCTTAGGCAACTGTGGCTGCCATAACAAAGTGCAATAGACCTAGTAGCTTATACACAATAGAAATATCTTTCTCACAGTCTAGATGCTGGGAAGTCCAAGATCAGGGTGCCGGCATGGTCAGTTCCTGGCGAAGCCTCTCTTCTAGGTTTCAGACTGCCCTCTTCTTTGTTGTGTCCTCGAATGGCAGAAAAAGGGTGAGAAAGCCCTTTGGGGTCTCTTTCATCTGGGCACTAATCTCATGATTAGTGAGGGCTCCACCCTCATGACCTAAAATTTCCTCCCAAAGGCCCCATCTTCTAATACCATCATCTTGGGAGTTAGGATTTCAACATATGAATGGAGGGGGGGCACAAATATTCCTTCTATAACAAATGGCCTGTTGCTGTAGTTTTAACCTGGTTTCCTTTCAATGTGAGCAAACAAGAAGCATCTTTTCATATGTTAAAGCCATAGGGTTATTCTTCTGTAAGCTCTAGGAAAACATGCACCCCTTGGGGCACGAGGATCTTTGTTCACAAAGTGTATGCCAGACCTCCATAGCTCTGCCCCCTCCCTGCACTGTCTCATTTATCAGACTGAATCTTCATGCCTGTGTTCTTTCTGTATTTATTCTGGTCCCTTCCCTCCCATCATACCCCACAGCCATCTTCCTGTGTCCCTCCCGCTTCACTGCTTCACTGCCCCTCTGAAATTTCTAGAGCATCCAGGTCCATCGGGGGTGGGGCGGTGTGGTGAGGATTCAATTCATGTGTCTGTAGGATGCAGCAGCTTCTTAACCAGCTGCCTTTAATGAAAATCTTCTAACTTCCAATACAGGGTGGCTGTTGGAGGAAGGGAGGAGAGTAAATGAAGAGAAAGAACTGGAATAACCCCTTGCAGAAAAAAAAAAAAAGGGTAAGATTGACCCAGAAACACCCTCTGCCCCACTTCTAGGAAGGAGAGCTGTGAGAAATGAACACAGAGACAGGGTCACACAGGGAGTAGGCACGAACACTCCAAGATGGTCAAATGTGCACCGGCTCAGGAGAGGCAGTATGCAACCTGGCTTCTGTCCCATGGTGGGTGCTGGGGCGATTGGAGAGCTGTAGGAGGAGACACAGACACGGGGTCAGCTTTTGGAGCTTGGGCTGTATATGAAGAAACACTTTCTTCCCACCTGCCTCTTCTGGTCTTGTGTGTCTCCTCAGGAAGCAAGCTTAGCTGTACACCCTGAGTCTTGCAAAAGCTGCAGCCCCACCCAGGAGCAGGGTGGTGGCTGGGGCGATGGTGGACGCCCTGAAGATGTCCCATGGCTACTGAAGGGGCTGCCCAGTTAGGGAACAGAGTGGCGGGCATGGTGTGTAGCCTATGGGTGCTGCTCCTGGTGTCTTCAGTTCTGGCTCTGGAAGGTAAGAGGGAGGGGAGACAGGAGAACCCAGACCTGCCATAGAGACCCAGTGAAAGGGGGAAGTGGGAAAGATTTAGAAAAGGTAGATAAGAGTGAAGACATCAATAAAGGGAAAGGCATGGTGAGGATAATGAAGACCCACATCAGATTTGTCAGAGAAAGGACCCTGATGGACAGCTGTGCTCCTGCTGGCAAAGACATGGGCCCGGGTGGGGCATTCTTTTGTTCGCGGTGGGAATAGAGTAGGGGCTGGCAGTGCTGGCTGGAGGCTTGGCCACTGTGTGCCCCTCTTATTTCTGGGCAGAGGTATTGCTGGACACCACCGGAGAGACATCTGAGATTGGCTGGCTCACCTACCCACCAGGGGGGGTGAGTGCCACTCTAATTCTGAACCTGAATCCCTTGGCCCTGCCCCTCCCTGTTCCCTGGAGAGTGGAATTCATGAAGGAAACCCTGGGTGAGGATTATGGGAAAAGGATCCCTCCCTCTAGAGCACCAAGATTTCAAGGTATCCTCTATCTGCTTTGCTTGTCATTAATTTTAAGTCTCAGTGGAAGAGATATGTCCCCTTCCCTATAACCTCTACCTCGCCGTGCTTAAGCCCGGAGCCCCTAAAGCTTCTCCTGGCCCTTCCTGCAGTGGGACGAGGTGAGTGTTCTGGACGACCAGCGACGCCTGACTCGGACCTTTGAGGCATGTCATGTGGCAGGGGCCCCTCCAGGCACCGGGCAGGACAATTGGTTGCAGACACACTTTGTGGAGCGGCGCGGGGCCCAGAGGGCGCACATTCGACTCCACTTCTCTGTGCGGGCATGCTCCAGCCTGGGTGTGAGCGGCGGCACCTGCCGGGAGACCTTCACCCTTTACTACCGTCAGGCTGAGGAGCCCGACAGCCCTGACAGCGTTTCCTCCTGGCACCTCAAACGCTGGACCAAGGTGGACACAATTGCAGCAGACGAGAGCTTTCCCTCCTCCTCCTCCTCCTCCTCCTCCTCTTCTTCCTCTGCAGCGTGGGCTGTGGGACCCCACGGGGCTGGGCAGCGGGCTGGACTGCAACTGAACGTCAAAGAGCGGAGCTTTGGGCCTCTCACCCAACGCGGCTTCTACGTGGCCTTCCAGGACACGGGGGCCTGCCTGGCCCTGGTCGCTGTCAGGCTCTTCTCCTACACCTGCCCTGCCGTGCTCCGATCCTTTGCTTCCTTTCCAGAGACGCAGGCCAGTGGGGCTGGGGGGGCCTCCCTGGTGGCAGCTGTGGGCACCTGTGTGGCTCATGCAGAGCCAGAGGAGGATGGAGTAGGGGGCCAGGCAGGAGGCAGCCCCCCCAGGCTGCACTGCAACGGGGAGGGCAAGTGGATGGTAGCTGTCGGGGGCTGCCGCTGCCAGCCTGGATACCAACCAGCACGAGGAGACAAGGCCTGCCAAGGTGAGAGCCCACTCGTCTTGCACTTGCCCGACACCTCCCACCCACCCCCAGCCTTTGGGCTCCTCTCTGAACACCCCAAAATTCATTTTATCTGCAAAAGGTCAGGAATAAGCCATCTTAGGAAAGGACCCTGATTTTCCCTAATTTTATTTCTTAAAGCACTCAAACTTACTATCACCCACTCATCTGAAATTTCTGGAATCTTCTGGAGCCTTTCACAGCAATTGCCTTCTCCTAAGTCTTCAGGCCTGAGAAGCGATGGAGACCAAAAGGAGTTTAGCTCCAGCTCCAGGGTTACTATGGAATAGAGTCCTTTGGTTCCCATTCGCCCTTCTGTTGGGAGGGTCCCTGCCTCGCTGGGCCAGGTGACAGGGACGCAGGTAGAGGAAGGCAGTGGATGGCAGCTAGGGAGAATGACTGCAGCAGCAGGCCTCCGCAGAGGGAGCTTATGCAATAAGCTGGGAACACCCACATCTGGCACTGGGCCTGTCTGTAACCCCCACTGCACCTCACTTTCTCCATCCATGGAAATGCAATTCTGTCCCAGCAATTGGCAGAAGAAATCTCTGCCTGAGGGAAGAGAGGGTGGGGTTCAGTCTTGGAAGAAAAGGAGAACCAGCTCTGGGGAAGAGAAGGCTGCGAGGATACCTGCCTGCTGTGTGTTGGGAGCTCAGGGTGGGTGGACAGAGCGAGTGTGACGCCCCCACTCTCCTCTGCCTCCTCAGCCTGCCCACGGGGGCTCTATAAGGCTTCTGCTGGGAATGCTCCCTGCTCACCATGCCCTGCCCGCAGTCACGCTCCCAACCCAGCAGCCCCCGTTTGCCCCTGCCTGGAGGGCTTCTACCGGGCCAGTTCCGACCCACCAGAGGCCCCCTGCACTGGTGAGTTCCTCACCCAGCCCTGCAATGGGAAAGAGACTTGGAGAGGGGCCAGAAGTGGGGGTAGCAGGCAACACTGGGGGCTCTTTGCATTTGGAGTGACTTGTTTTTCCCCTATTTTCTTGGCTTCCTCCCCTCCCTGTCCCCACCCCCTTCTCTCCCTGACCCATCCTTCCCTGGGCCCACATCCTGCCTCTCTGGGCTACCCCCACCCCACGCTCTTCTGTCTCCTTCCCTCTCGGCCACCCACCCTCCCCTGGCTCCTTCCTTCCTCAATCACCCCCACTGCTGCCCTCTTGGCCCTTGGACTGCCATATCCTCCGGCCCCCCAGGTCCTCCATCGGCTCCCCAGGAGCTTTGGTTTGAGGTGCAAGGCTCAGCACTCATGCTACACTGGCGCCTGCCTCGGGAGCTGGGGGGTCGAGGGGACCTGCTCTTCAATGTCGTGTGCAAGGAGTGTGAAGGCCGCCAGGAACCTGCCAGCGGTGGTGGGGGCACTTGTCACCGCTGCAGGGATGAGGTCCACTTCGACCCTCGCCAGAGAGGCCTGACTGAGAGCCGAGTGTTAGTGGGGGGACTCCGGGCACACGTACCCTACATCTTAGAGGTGCAGGCTGTTAATGGGGTGTCTGAGCTCAGCCCTGACCCTCCTCAGGCTGCAGCCATCAATGTCAGCACCAGCCATGAAGGTGAGCTCTTTTCCTTGGCCTTCAGGATCCCCTGCCTCCGCTCCTTTGAGCCCCCTTCCCTACTCCTGATCTCCAGCCTGGTCCACCCCTGCCGCCCTCCCCTCAAGGCTGATCCTGCTCCCAGGGACTCCTATCCCCATAATAATTTTCCTTTTGCACTCTAGTGCCCTCTGCTGTCCCTGTGGTGCACCAGGTGAGCCGGGCATCCAACAGCATCACGGTGTCCTGGCCGCAGCCCGACCAGACCAATGGGAACATCCTGGACTATCAGCTCCGCTACTATGACCAGGTGCGCAGGAGGAGTGGGGGTTCCGCAGTAGGGCTGGTAGGAGCTCATAGGCCTCACAGTGGGGCCCAGAGGTGACCAGGTGCACAGGAGGAATGAGGGGTCCGCAACAGGGCTGGCAGGAGCTCACAGTCCCCACAGTAGGGGCCAGAGGCTGAATGGGCAAGGAGAGGTGCCCAGAAGTGTGCAGCACTGGGCATGTGTCTGAGAGCCCTGTCAACCAGGGAGGGTGGCTGGGGGCCTTAGGGGCAGAAGCAGGGGCAAGAGGGGGCCAGGCAGGGAGTGAGTGGCTGTTACCCCCAGGCAGAAGACGAATCCCACTCCTTCACCCTGACCAGCGAGACCAACACTGCCACCGTGACACAGCTGAGCCCTGGCCACATCTATGGTTTCCAGGTGCGGGCCCGGACTGCTGCCGGCCACGGCCCCTACGGGGGCAAAGTCTATTTCCAGACACTTCCTCAAGGTGAGCGGGGGTCAAGGGCCAGATGGGCAGGTGAAGGCCCAAGTGGGTAGTGAGGAGAGGCCCAGGGACTGTCCGGCCTTGAACCCTGGCCCCGTGCTTCCCAACCAGAAGTTCTGTGGGAAAGGAGAGTGCCTTTTGCTCAGCAGCTGACCTAGGGGCTACTCGGGGAGGTGGGGAATTGTAGGGGTATGTATGCATGTTGAGTGTGGATATAGGAGGGCTGTGGGGATGTGTGTGTGTGTTGTGTGTCCCTGGGTGTGGATGTGGGAGGGCTGTGGGCGTGTGTGTGTGTTGTGTGTCCCTGTGTGTGGATGTGGAGGGCTGTGGGGATGTGTGTGTGTGTTGTGTGTCCCTGTGTGTGGATGTGGGAGGGCTGTGGGCGTGTGTGTGTGTTGTGTGTCCCTGTGCATGGATGTGGGAGGTTTGGGGCATGCGCGTGCATGTTGTGTGTGCCTGTGGTGTGTGTGGGTGCCTGGGCACATGAACAAGCACCTGTGAGAGACCTGGCCCACCTGTGACCCTGTCGGCTGGTCCCCCAGGGGAGCTGTCTTCCCAGCTTCCAGAAAGACTCTCCTTGGTGATCGGCTCCATCCTGGGGGCTTTGGCCTTCCTCCTGCTGGCAGCCATCACCGTGCTGGCGGTCGTCTTCCAGCGGTGAGTCCCCACCCCTGCCCAACTCTGCCCAGCACCATTAACTCCACAGCCAAACCTCAAGTCCTGCCAAGTCTGGAGCCCCCTGCAGAAACCTCACACTGGTGCTCCTCCCGTCAGCCAGCCCCTGCCCTGGGCCCCACGTGGAGATGGGCAGGAGGGCCAGGCTGTCGTCCCCCCTCCACAGACCGACTAAAGAGCAGTCTGGAGGGTGACAAGGGGGCAGCAAGGGGGTGGAAATGGGAGCGTCATCCCCAGTCACCGTTTTGTTCCTCAGGAAGCGGCGTGGGACTGGCTACACAGAGCAGCTGCAGCAATACAGCAGCCCAGGTGGGGATGAGGAGAGGAAATGGGTGGGGCTGGGGAACACATGGGTGGGGCACATGGCAGGCAAGGCTGGATCCCCCCAAGATTGGGGGAGCTCCTTGGCACAACCTTCTGGAGGTAAGTGGGCATGTCTGGGGTGCGCGGGCAGCCCTGCCTTTCACAACACGCTCATAACATACTCCACACCCCTCCAGGACTCGGGGTGAAGTATTACATCGACCCCTCCACCTACGAGGACCCCTGTCAGGCCATCCGAGAACTTGCCCGGGAAGTCGATCCTGCTTATATCAAGATTGAGGAGGTCATTGGGACAGGTACAGCAGGGCCAAAGCAGGGATCAGAGCGACGGGGCTCCCTTGTGGCCTCCGCTGGCCAGAGTCCCATCCAAACACAGCAGGACGCTGTGAGCCTTGATCCCCACCCCAACCTACACCTATTTTCCCAGGCTCTTTTGGAGAAGTGCGCCAGGGCCGCCTGCAGCCACGGGGACGGAGGGAGCAGACTGTGGCCATCCAGGCCCTGTGGGCCGGGGGCGCCGAAAGCCTGCAGATGACCTTCCTGGGCCGGGCCGCAGTGCTGGGTCAGTTCCAGCACCCCAACATCCTGCGGCTGGAGGGCGTGGTCACCAAGAGCCGACCCCTCATGGTGCTGACGGAGTTCATGGAGCTTGGCCCCCTGGACAGCTTCCTCAGGGTCAGTCCAGCCTGGGTGAAGGAGGAGGGTCCTTGGGTCCAGGAAAGCTTCCAGGAGACGAGGTCCTGTATCTTTGCTTCTTACCACCCCACCTTCCATGGTCTCCGTCCTTCCTTCCCAGCCATTTTCTGATTCGACACCCTCCCGCTCTCATGCTGTTGTCTGCTATGCAGTATGTTGAGGTCTCCCCCTGTCTCCGATCACTGACCTCTGCCCCCTGCCCCTTCCCCTCAGCAGCGGGAGGGCCAGTTCAGCAGCCTGCAGCTGGTGGCCATGCAGCGGGGAGTGGCTGCTGCCATGCAGTACCTGTCCAGCTTTGCCTTCGTCCATCGCTCGCTGTCTGCCCACAGCGTGCTGGTGAATAGCCACTTGGTGTGCAAGGTGGCCCGTCTTGGCCACAGTCCTCAGGTGAGAGCACAGCCTTGGGGACACAGCCTGGGGCCTTGTGGCATGCCCCAGCAGGTGCTGGGGTCGGGGGTGAGCTGGAATCTGGGGTAGGTACCTCAGCCGGGGTGTCATAGTCCCTGAAAGGAGGGAGGCTCTCCTGTGTGATGGGGAGATGAAAGCCTAGGCGACGGGGTTTGAGGGATTTCAGGGACCGAGACAAAGGGGATGAGGGAGGGGAGGAGACCTGCAACAATCTAGAACTACCTCCTGCCCTTCCCCCATTGTGGAGATTACACAGACTCCAGAGTCAGCACAGCTGGGTACAAATTCTTAACACTCTGCTCTCCAGCTCTGTGACCTTGGACAAGTTCACTTTCTCTAAGCTTCACCTTCTGCTTCTGTGAAATGGAGATAATATCATCCACCTTGGAGGGTTGTTATGAGGATTAAATGAGATGCTTGATGTAAAACCCTTAACATATCTGAGCACATAGTAGTTGCTCCATAAACGTGACTATTGCTTCTGCTTCTGTGAAATGGAGATGATATCATCCACCTTAGAGGGTTGTTATGAGGATTAAATGAGATGCTTGATGTAAAACCCTTGGCATATCTGAGCACATAGTAGTTGCTCAATAAACGTGACTATTACTATGATTATTACTATTTGCTTTTGACTTTACCCCTCAGGGCCCAAGTTGTTTGCTTCGCTGGGCAGCCCCAGAGGTCATTGCACATGGAAAGCATACAACATCCAGTGATGTCTGGAGCTTTGGGATACTCATGTGGGAAGTGATGAGTTATGGAGAACGGCCTTACTGGGACATGAGTGAGCAGGAGGTGAGCACTGACCTAGACACTGCTGATTTCCCACCCCGATCCCTCCCAGGTTGGAACATTCTAGGACCTCCATTCTCTACTCCGTTTGTATTCTAAGATCTCATGGCTGTTGGATTGCCATATCTTTGAGTTCCTTCTCCACTCCAACCTCATGCTCCACCAGATTCCAGCCCACCCTCTTACCCAACAAAGTACTCCCCTCTACTAACAAAACTTCCCATCGTCATAGTCTTCCTCTGACCCCCAGGTACTAAATGCAATAGAGCAGGAGTTCCGGCTGCCCCCGCCTCCAGGCTGTCCTCCTGGATTACATCTACTTATGTTGGACACTTGGCAGAAGGACCGTGCCCGGCGGCCTCATTTTGACCAGCTGGTGGCTGCATTTGACAAGATGATCCGCAAGCCAGATACCCTGCAGGCTGGCGGGGACCCAGGGGAAAGGTCTGGAGCTTGGGGCTAGAGCCTGGGAAAGCCAGGGAGGGTAGATGCAAACCTAAAGAAAACTGAGGAGAGGGGCTAAGATGAAGAGGAGACCTTGACCCTGCTTGCCCCTCCCCTCTTAGGCCTTCCCAGGCCCTTCTGACCCCTGTGGCCCTGGACTTTCCTTGTCTGGACTCACCCCAGGCCTGGCTTTCAGCCATTGGACTGGAGTGCTACCAGGACAACTTCTCCAAGTTTGGCCTCTGTACCTTCAGTGATGTGGCTCAGCTCAGCCTAGAGTAAGCAGGGAGTGGTGGGGTGGGGGCGAATGCTCCAGGCCCCTGGCTGGGGGTCGTATTGGGGATCTCGGAGAAGCTGGCCCAGATTTGATCCCTTCCCTCCCCACCAGAGACCTGCCTGCCCTGGGCATCACCCTGGCTGGCCACCAGAAGAAGCTGCTGCACCACATCCAGCTCCTTCAGCAACACCTGAGGCAGCAGGGCTCAGTGGAGGTCTGAGAATGACGATACCCGTGACTCAGCCCTGGACACTGGTCCGAGAAGGGACATGTGGGACGTGAGCCGGGCTCCAACAGCCTCTGTGAGAGATGCCCCACACCAAACCCAACCCTCCCGATGGCTGCATTCCCTGGTCCTCCGCCTCTCCACCAGCCCCCTCCTCATTAAAGGGAAAGAAGGGAATTTGCAGGTTTGGTGTGGTGAGGCCTCAGTCTGCAACAAAGGGTGAGGGAGGCCTCAACGTAGGAGCAGAGGGGTGGGGCCGGCAGATGGCACTGCAGAGATGCAGAAGGGCAGCTGGGCAGGGATCCGAAAACGACTTTATTGAAGATGGAGTTGGCAAGACCTAGCCCCACTTCCCACCCCCAGAGCCGTTCCTGTCTCCCTCACTCACACGCTTTCCACAAGCTCTGCACTTCCCTGCACCTGCCTGGGTGCCCTGGGAAGGGCTCTCTCCCCACTTATGACCCTGGGGTGGAGACCGAGCGCCCAAGCAGGCTGGCCTGTTTTTAAAGTGCTCTGACATGCAGTGCTCCTGTCGGAAGGGTGATGAGCAGGCCACAGGAGAGTTCCTCACGCCCTGCCAGCCCCGTGCTTGGGCTGGGCTTCCTCTGCCCCAGAGCTGAAGGAGTAATGCAGGCCTGGAGCAGTGATTCTCAACGTACATTCCTTGGCGTTCATGCTACTCCTCTTTCTCCCCTGGGGCCTGGGAGATGAGACCTCTGGGTGTTTGGTTTTTGTTTTGTTTGATGCACCCAGGAAAATGAGAGCAAGTTCCAGGAAGCGAAGTGAGAACACGCAGTCAGATCTGATATTCCCAGCTCTCCCCGTCCTCCAGACCCCTGTTGATTATCCCACGCAGGTCTCTCCTCAGGGTCCCTTGCCGAAGCCTTTCCCAATTGGCACTGCTGCGGGAGGTACTTCGAGACACTGAGGGCATAGGAAGGGACAGGTGGGGGCTGAAGGGACAGCCCAGCTCTAGTTTTTCCACTGAGTCTTTGTCCAAATCCTCAGAGCCCCGGGTGTGGAAGGCCTGTGCGTAGCGTTGGATCCGCTGCCGGTTGAGATCTTGCCTGTCTTCCACCCTGTGGAATGCGGGAGGACTTGAGACACAGCCAGGACTTGAAGAACAGATCCAAGAAGGATGCTTGTCTGTTATCCCCTGGTCCTCCCATCCCCGCCATTGCTGGCCTTTTCCCTTTTCTGCAGCCATGGTGGATGCCTGGGTCACTGGCCCCTTGGCAGCTAGGCCTCAGAAAGCAGCAGGCTCTGCCACAGACTCCCTGGATGCTTTGGGAAGTCTGAGCTCCAAACGGGACCCCTTCCTCACCAGCTCAATCAACAAGCATAGAGCCTAGGGAGCACACAGGCCTCCACAGGGAACCCAGGAGCCGGAAGCTGTCTGAGCAGGGGGATACCCTGCCGATGAGGCTTCTCAGGGGACACCTACCCCCGCATATCACTCACCGCAGGAACCAGCGGTCTCCCAGGCCATACTCCCGTCCGCAGATCCCGGAGCGAGGCCACAGGCAGCGAGGCAGCTTCCGCTCCAGCATCACTGTGGTGGCCACAATCTGCGTATGGGAACAAAAGGAGAAGTCAGAGATGAGGCTGGGCGCAGACAGAGGTAGGGGTAGGGCAGCCTTTGTTGACCTTCTTCAGTGGGAGAGAGTTGATAGAGCTTGAGACCAACAATTCTTTACCCAATGACCCAACATCCATGACGCAGCCAGGCCAGAGGCAGGAGAAAGACAGGAAGCAGAAGCCCCATTCCCAGGAGCACAGGCACCAGAGAAAGCAAATAGAAAGGGCTTTTAAGGGCTCCCAGATATTTTGACCCTACAGACATAAAGGCCACTTATAAATATAAACATCCCACTTAGAATATCAATATATATTCCTGGAGAAAATATTTTTCTGAGTGAACCTTATTTCCCAGCTTAGTTTTTCCACTCCGTTTTCTACACAGCATAGTTAAATGCCTTCCAGTTTGGGAAATTTCCATTATTTTGCTGAAATGATTTTTTTAGATAAATTATTTTCTAGGTGTTTTTTAAATGAGGATTTGATTCATCTCATGGTCTTCTCTCCCTATCTTGAAGATCTGGCTGAAGATAGCTTCTGCTACTATAGGAAGTTTTGGTGGCATTACTTTTTTAACACATCCTGCTTTCCATATCAAATTTTGCAGACTTAAATATTATCAAGAAGACTTGATACTCCAGTTTTTATTTGGGAACAAAATGTACTGAGTGCAATTTTAGCCAACGTTAATTTTCTTTTGATTTATTTCTTGTTGATTCCTCTAGAAAACACTGAGCTTTTAACTGTTGAGAAAACTGTGAGGCATTCTTCTCAGCGATTCCAGTATTGCCTGGTTGAATTGCTAATCAGTGCTTCTGTACATTTTGCATGATTTTGCTAGCTTTGCCACAACTGTCCAAACATAAGTGGGGTGGAGATATCCTGTCTCTCAGCTTGGCAGGTTCCTTGGTAGGAAGGGGATGACTTGCCCTAACCCTCCCTGCCACCAGGGGGCTCACCTGGGCCCTCCACAGCTCATCCCGCTCATGGGCCACTCGCCAGTGAGTGTCGCCCATCATGGCAATGAGGAGGTTGAGCATGAGCAGTGTGGCGATGATGGCAAAGGCAGCATAGGTGATGCTGTACATGAAGGGCAGGTCCACGTTGTAGTTGGCTGGGCCATCGATGATGGTAAGGAACAGCTCGAAGGTGCTGAACAGGGCCATGGGGTAGTCGTAGAAGTGGCCTAGCTCCTCGGGGTCCTCTGTCTGGAAGATGATATAGAAGGCTGCTCCACCCAAGGGGGTGAGGGTTACCATGGCAACCATGCAGACGACCAGCCCACCCCGGGCTCTGCGTGCATGTCCATCCTGGTCCCTTCATCTCAATATCACCAGCTCTGCAGTGCTCCAAACTTTGGGTTTTTACGGTCCCTAGTTTTGTATGAGCCTCATCTTGATCCTAAGAGCCACCTCTCCCTAACACTCCCGATTTTTCTCACCTCTGGAGGACGTCCCATCCTCTGATACCATAGGTCTCCTCTGATCTCTGCATTACTCCTCCTCCCCAAGTTTAGCCAGAGCCAGTGCCCCCTAGACTTCCTCATCTCTTCCCTGCCATGGCCCCTGGTCCTGGACAGATGATTACCTGAAGCAAAGCCCAGGATGACCACAGCCATCAGCCAGCAGAATCGCATCAGGTCGCCAAAAATCATCTAGAAGGAGCAGGAGGCAGAGAACATCTGCACACATTCCCCAAGCAATTGCCCCATCCAGCCTCTAACAGGTCTCACCCCGACAAGTCTCACAGCTCCACCCTCTGGGACAGGGATTGGCTATCTATGGCCTGTGGACCAGATCTACCTGACCTGCTTTGGTGTGGCCTTTGAACTGAAAAGGGTTTCTACATTTTTTAAAAGGATTGTTAAAAAAGAAGAAAAACATGCAGTGAGGCCATGTGTGGCTTGCAGAACCTGCAATGTCTACTGTTCTGCCCTTTATGGGACCGTCTGCTGACTGTGGCTCTGGGGCCTTTCTCTAGGGAGCTTGGGGGGAGGACTGACCTTCTGAATCATGATGGTGAAGGGGCCTAGCATCTGGAATCCTCGGGCGAAGTACATGACGTTGCACCAGCCCAGCACGAGTGCAAAGGACATGGGTACCACCTCCCCGCTGGCACTGATGAGCCGCATCACCATGGTCACCAGCACCATGAAGGCATAGGTGATGCTGGGGGAGCAGGGAGGAGGGTGATGAGGGGAGGGCTGGGATGATCCTGGGGACCTGACAGCAAGAATGTAGCTGGGAAAGTACCCACACATGCAGATTCAGCCTCCCCACACTCAATGCCCAGGGTCATACACACAGCACTAGAGAGGGGGCTCTGGAGCTAAGGTTCTTGAGAGGTCAGGAATCCAAGGAGTGGAACTGGAGCCCTGTTGAGGGAAGGGATGGGAGTGAGAGGAAGGAAACTCACATGAGGACATGGAATGGGCCCCCAAGGATGGTCTGTCCAAAGAAGCGAGTGACCCCCATTCTGAAGATGTCTGGAACCTGAAGAGGTCAGGGAGACACAAAGGCACTCAGATACCGGAACTTGGGCTGGATTCCTCGGGCAGACAGCCTCACCCAGAGTCCATCCACACCTCACCTCTACCAGCAGGATGATGATAGCCCCAATGACAGTCACCAGCTCCCCGACCAGCCGGATATCGTCCTTAGGGGTCATGTAGGCTTCCTAATGGGGGAGAAGAACAGTCAAAATG
This sequence comes from Homo sapiens, assembly GCF_000001405.40. Classification (NCBI taxonomy): domain Eukaryota; kingdom Metazoa; phylum Chordata; class Mammalia; order Primates; family Hominidae; genus Homo; species Homo sapiens. The sequence goes on from NC_000007.14 coordinate 142,875,193, forward strand.
CTCAGGGCTTTCAGGCCTCTGCCCTGCATTTCCATGGTGCCCAGGGTCACCAGTCTTAGCAGATTCTTTTTAATCTGTTAGGTTTGGGTCTTCTCAAACTCTGCTCTCAGAGTAAGAGCGTATGTGTGTTTTTGTGGGCGTGCATTTGGAGTTTGTACCCATATATTTGAGATTAGAGCAAGGGGAGAAATGGTGTGAGGGAGGAAAGGGACACCAGTCTCTGAGGACAGAGAGCCAAGTCCTGCCCTGCTGATCTGCTCCTACAAGGGTGTCACCTGAAGTAGCTTCTGCTGTAAGAGGGTGTTGTCCCGGGGGCTCGTGCGGTTATTGGTCCTGGGCTTGAGGGGGCGGTAGATGCAGCACATGGTGAAGCAGATGATGTACAGCAGATATATGGCACCCAGCATGCAGAAGTACGGCCGCCCGTACCGCTTCCACTTGAGGCTCACCAGCTCCTTCACCGGCGTCTGGTCCAGGATCTGGCGAGCCTGCAACAGAAAGAGAACAGGTGGCTCAGAGACCCTGACACCCCTCCCCAGCCACAGCCTGCTGTCATGAGCCATACCTCCCGCTTCTTGGTGGTGATGATAAGTTCCAGCAGGGACTGCTCATCCCCTGAGGAGTCGATCTCTGTGAGGTCATAGAGAGTCGAGGTCAGTGGTCCATACGTCCACTGGGTGTGCTTCCGCTTCTGCATCAGGTGCTGAAACATCTAAGGGAAAGTGAAGATGACTCAGGAGCAGTAAGCAAAGGGGACGGTCACAGAGTGTGGATAGGATGCATGTGCAGGAGGACGGCACCCCTGGAGAAGGTGGCTGCCCTTTCATTTTGATGACAGCCTTTAGAGGGCAGAAGAACCCACATTCACAGTGACATTCATAGGTTCCTCATCCTCTCCCATGACTCCCTCCAGAGTTTGGAAAGGAGAGACGAGAGGCTGGAGGGCCCTGCTCTGGGGGCTGAAAGGGAAGGTGGGCTGGGGCATTACAGACAATCCTAGCATGGGATCTAGACTCTGTAACCCCCAATGCCTCAGGGGAAAAGGAGTGGGCAAGAAAGGGAACAGGTAACCACAGTGGGAGGGGTTGAAAAATTTCTGAGTTGAGAATGGGATCTAAGCATCAGGGATCGCGTTCACCTCTGTTTCTCCCAGGGCCAGCGGGATAGGTTGAGGGTCATTAGAAAGACACCTCAGGGATGGGGACCGTCTCTCACCACAGTGTTACCCTCCACTCCAGCCAGCTTGAAAGGGGTGAGACCCTGGTGATTGGGCACGAGGTCCAGGGGCTGCAGGTGGTCCCCATGTCTGTCGTAGGACAGCAACAGGTTGTACATCTGGCAGGCAAAGGTTTTGTTGGGCTGGAGGATGAGGATGTGTAACACTGTGTTTCCTGGGGAGGACACAGGGTATCATGTGGCCACTGGCCTAAAGTCCCTGATGTCCCCATCCCCACCCTGAGGTCTTCCTGAAGGTCCCAGCCCCTCTCCTCACCCTGTCCCTCACTCCCTGCAGCATCCCAGCTCCCCTCCCCATCTCAGCTCTTACCCAGGGAGTCCTGGGCCCGGATGTCAGCTCCATGCTCAATGAGCAGCCGCACGATCTCCTCACTGTTCACACAGGCAGCAAAGGACAAAGGGTGCTCCCCTGTGGACACAGAGAGATCTATGGTAGGAGAGTGCAGGATGGCAGGATGGGGTGGACAGTCTCCCCCAAGTGACAGCCTTATCTTCCCCCACATCTCAGCTCAGGGCTTGAGGACACTTTTCCTGCAGAACCAGAGGAAGGGTCGTGGGGTAAATTGGCCTCTAGTCTAATTAAGCCCTAGAAGGATTGCTCCTCCCAGCTGCCCAACAGATACGGCTGAAGACAGGATCCTCCTCTGCCTGGCCCTGCCCTGCCTTGCCCACCTTTCCAACTGCCCGTCCTCCAAGCCCAGCCCTGCTCTCACCAAAGTAGATGAGGTTGCAGGGACTACGGCGGAAGGCAGTGCCTGTGGCTCTGGCAGAGACACTGGCCCTGCGGGCAAGCAGGGCTCGCACCAGGTTCATGTTCTGGTTCACAACAGCGATGTGCAGTGCAGTCTGACCTGGCCCAGAGACAGCTGTCAGTCACGGGTCTGTCCCCAGGATCCTGCAGGGGGTCCCTCCCATATGCACCCCAGTCTCTTTCCCTCAGGGGTAGCCTGGGATGGAGAACAGGGAGCTCTCGGGTGTTCAGGATTCCCAGGGGATCCAGCTGCTGCCCATCTCTTCCTCTTCTCTAGGCCCCTGGCATTTCAGGGGGCAGGCGTTCTAGTGATGGGCAGTCAGGACTGACACGGAAGGGAGACAGAGAAGAGAAAAAAAGAGTAGGAGGCTCAGATCCCCTGTGTCTTTCCCAAATTATCCATCACAGAGACTGACTTGAAATACCCAACCAGTCACTCCTGCTCTTCACCCCAGACCCGTGGGCCCTCACCCTCATAGAGCTCAGATGTCATGGGCTCAAAGACCAGCTCCGGGGCAGCCTCCATCAGCACCATGGCGGCCTCCAGGTTGTCATAGAGGGCTGCTATGTGTAGCGCTGTTTCCCCCATGGCTCCTGGCATTTACAGAGAGGTGGGTTATATGGCTTCTGTGGGACAGCGGATTGGAGACGATAGATTCAGAGGCCAACAGCACGAGGTCCTGGGCACTCCTGGGAGGCCCCATGTGTGGGGCTCACCTAGGAGATCATGCTGCATTTGTGCTTCTTACCTCTCTGGTGCACCTTGCAATCCTCATACTTGAGCAACTTGTTCAGGGCCTGGACATCATTATCTTTGGCAGCTAGAAGGAGAGGAGACTCCCAGATCCTATGAAGGGATGGAATAGGAAAGCTGGAAACAGTGAGCATACCTAGTTGTGGAGGGAGAGGCCCTGGCTTGACTCCATTATTATACACAGATGTGTGTGCCTCAGCAGCAGGAACCTCAGGGTCTTCAATCAAGGCAGGTGGGGCCATTGATGTCTTTTCTCTTTACAGTCAGTAAATACAATCAACTTTTTGCCCATTTAGCATGCGTTTTGAGATTGTCCGTGACTGGTTTCCTTCCCCCCTACCGGGTCCTGGGACCAGAATGTATCATGTGTGAATGTATTATCAGTGCATTTCAGGTACGGAGGGGAGGAGTTCTATGTAGACATGTGCTTACCTGCTAACCAGTTTACCCCTGGAGTGGTCCTGTTTGACCCTCACCAGGTGCCCTGAGATTGCCCTCCAGGATAAGCCTTGTTTTGCATGGACCGAGGGGTGCAAGGAATTCCTGTCTCATATTTGTGGAGGGAGTCATATGCACAGGCTAGCAGGATTTCTCCTGTTGCACCATCCTCTGCCTACTCAACCTTCTCAGCAGAACCCTTTGATCCTGGCGCTTCCCTCCCAACAATAGCATCTTCAGGGCTTAACACAAAAGAACAGTGGACCATAAGAACAAGCCTGGCTCCAGGCCTTCCTTCCTCATAGGTGTTCATTCATTCATTCATTCATTCATTCATTCATTATCTCTGTCTCTTCCTTTCTGCCTCTCGTCTTTCTTCTCACATCATCTCAACAGCCTTCCTTCTTAAAGTGGACCCCTGGATCAGCAGCAGCACATGAGCCCTTATAAGAAATGGAAATGCTCTGGCGGACCCTTCCACCTAGTGAATCCAAATCTGCAGTTTAAGAAGATTTCCAGCTGATTCCTGGGCATATGAAAGTTGGAGAAGCATTGCTTAAGTGGTCCTTGCATGCAAAAACCGGTGGCGATAAATCAGAGACAAGCTCAGGGGTCTCAGTTTCCAAACAGCTCACATTAAAGTTTGCGAAACAGTGTTCTCCATCATTTTCAGACCAGCTGTCTAGAGGGCTTTAGATACTACTTTGTTTCGGCTATTGGCCCCTAAGACACAAACTATGGCCAACAATGACAGATGCAGAGAAAAAAGAGAATCCAATCTAGAGGATTCATTCATCGAATTTCATGTGCATCTGAATGTTCCCATTCTGTCTTCGGACCCTTCCTGGATTTACCCAATTTGGGATTCATGGATCCGTTTATTTTGCTGAGTCAGATTAGTCTCTCCTTATTATCCACTTCTCGCTTGTTTTAGGCAAAATTATCTTCTCTGAATCCCCAGATCATCTCTTTATTCTTATACCTACTGTGTGCTAAAAATCTCTTTTAAAATTAGAACTTACCCCAACTAAGACACATGGGTCCCTTTGATTCAATTTTCTCTTGGCCTGGAGCCATTTGGTCTTTCTATGGGAGTAAATGAAATAACTCTATTTATCCATAGTTTGACAATTATGTGACATACAAAAAGACATAGACAGGAGCTCACATTCTAAAGCGCTGGCAGTGGCAAGAAATTGACTCCAGAGCTGGAGGTGGGAGGGCAATCAGAGAGGAGACATCAGCTCACTCATCTCCTCTGCCTTGCCCCCATGCACAGCAGCTGCCACCAGGTCCTGTCAGTTCAGCATGGAAAGCTCTCTCTTCATTCAGTCCCTACCTCCTTGCTCCTGCTAACCCTCATTAATTCAAGTCTTCATTCTCTAGCCCAGATTAGCAAAATGCTAAGGATAAGGAACACAGAAGCTCTTTAAGGTCTTTGTGCAACTACTTTTCCACCCTCTGCACGTCCCACCCACTCCTTAGACCTGGCATTTTGGTCTCATCCTGTCTCAGCACTGCAGAGCACACCATTCTCCCTATGTCTGTGCCCATGAAGCTCTTTCCTTCTAGAATCCAACTCCCCCAGCCCGCCAATTGTTCATTGTGTCTTCTGCACTGCCTATGCCTAGAAATACACCTAGGATGGTGTAGATGCTCACTGACACCATCTGTAGAGTGAATGAATCAGCAGCAATGCCAAAAGGTGGTTTGAATTAACTGTTATTATTATTTTCATCAGCTGCCCGCTAAGCCAACTTTCAGCAAGCATATAAGTGAAAAATAGTACACTTGGTATGCAAACACAGCTTCAAAACAAGTTTTCCACATTCCCTCCATCACCACCACCACATCAACCATTTGCACAAAGCCCTCCTCTCTAGATACCCTAGACTGAGGGGAAAACAATCGCTAGCACCACATACACACACACAGACACTCAGAAGTTCTTCACTCTCTCCTGTGGCCTTACTTTTATTTCAGCATCTTTCACTGGGTGCTGTAATTGCTATGTATCTGTGTCCCTTCCTCTATGCTAAGGGTACTCGAGGGAAGAGACCAGCCACTAACTCTTCCCTGCCCTCCTCCAATATGCTTCCACGTTTGTGTCCCATTTTGACCAAATGTGTGAAAGATTGATGGCAAATCTAGAAATGGGTCCGAGAGAGCACCTTTTCCAAGTCCAGAGTTCTACTCGCTGTATCCTAGATGTTAGTGGTGGTATAGTCAGTGGCAGGCTCAAAGATTCCCCTTTGGTCCCTACACGTCTCTGAAGCTGAAAGTGTCCCCCATAAACCTCCATTCCCTATGAATTCTGACACTCTAGTGGCCTGGGGAAAACAAAAAGCTACTGTCAGACCCAGAGTTGCTAGAGTTACCAAATAAAAATACAGGATGCTCAGTTAGATTTGAATGTCAGATGCACAATTTTTTTTTAGTATAAGTATGTCACGTGCAATATTGGGGATACACTTATACTAGCAGCCTATTCGTTATCTCAAATTTAAATTGAACTGAGTGTCCTGCATTTTATCTGGCAACCTAGCCAGACCACACCCTGCGTGAAGAGCCAGCTTATGACCCAACCCAGCAAGGTTTGTAGAGAACTAGCCTCCTCCGACTGTGAACTCCAGACTCCAGCAAAAAGGGGGGCCCAGCCTGTGGACGGGTTTTGAAGGTATCCGGCCCAGCCATTACTTGCAATAACCTCATATGCCCACAAGGGGACAGCACAGAAAGCCCTAGCTCACCTGCTTGGGAGTAAGGCTGACCCCAAAACACCTGACTCTCCTTGGGTCCCTGAAGGAGGTGCACAGAGCTGACCTACTCAAAGATTCCTGTGCTTGGGGGACAAATAGATTTTTCAATAGCAACTTATCACAGGAGTTTAGATCACAACACGGGGGTCAAAGGCAGGGACACGGCTAAGCACCCTGCACATGACAGCCCTCACTGCAAAGAATTATCCTGTCCAAAATGTCAATAGTCCAAGGTGGAGAACCCCTGATTCAGAGGTACAATGATTCATAATCCGTTTTAGAATGAGGATTCTTCACTCGAAAAGGAATCAGAAATATCCTATACATAAAAATGTTTTCTTATGGATCACTAAATACTCAACTAAGGGAGAAACAAAAAAAAGTCAGATGAAGCCTTTTAAGCTCCCACTGATGAAGTAGTCAAAAGAGATTATAGAGCAAATCTGAAACTGTAACAATATGAAAGGTATTTTCAGGTTCTAGAATGTTTTCTTTTACTAGGCAATTAATTATAATAAAATTGAACGGTCTAGTTCAACATTAGCCTGGTGAAAACCCAACTAAGGGGTTCCTGGCACAAAATCTAGCACATTATTTCTTGAGCAAACAGATCAATGACCTCCTTCTCAGGGCTGCCTCTGGGCCACCAGGGAAGGATTCCTGACTTCCTCTCTCCGTCTCCTCCGCCCCACACCCTCATCTGCTCCTCCATCCTTGTAGATGTGTGCACTGTGTGCATGGGTCCAATTTGGTTTTTAGGTGCTGAGAAACAAGGCAGGATCACAAGACTCTTGAGAAAAGTTCAAATAAGATTTTTAGAGCTAGAAAGCCCCTCAGAAACTGAGTCAAATCTGCTCATGAAACAGATGGAGGAAGCAAGTCAGAGACAGAGCCACGACGCATGCCCCACTGGTCATTTCTTGGTCACGATTCTCAGTTTTAATCAGGGCTGGAAGAGGAGTTAGAGAAGACAGGCATGGGTCCCACTGGTCTCTCCACAAATACCTTTCCCACCAGTGAGTGTACCCTCTGGGCAGGGCTGGGGCTGGTACATAACAGGGTTGCTCGGAGTGCGTGGCTTCTTGCATTCCTGGGTGGATACAGTGCTGTGCAGGGGAAGTTCATGGCCCCTCTCATTCCCGCAGCATCTCACTCATTATCACTTTTGCTCTTTACAACCTTCTAACACCAGCTGAATAGTTCTCCCATGCTTCAGAAAAGGAAACTGAAGCGGCATAACCAAATCATTGCCAGAAGATCACACGGAGTTAAAGGCAGGATGCTTGGCCAAGAATCCAGCCCCAGGCTCTGACCACTAAATTATGTGGTTCTTCTAGTTTTATGGCTCCTCCTGATTTTTCTTGGAGGTTGGGGGGCAAGCCTGAGCAGTGACCACAGATGAAGGAAAGAGCGGTAATGTGTGGGGCGGAGGCATACATTGGGCACTTGTGGGCCACCTCCCTCCAGCTCATGTTCCTGGCAATGGGGATGAGAAAGCCAAAGTGGTTGTTTAGAGATTTGGAATCGGCTGCCATCCTAAGTGCCACAGCTCCTTTTGTGCACATGTCTATTTGCGCATTTACAAGTAGGCATGTGTGTAAGTATTTACCAAGGCAAGCGTGCACAATATACCAGAGAAACCCAGGGATGACTTTTCAGACACTCAATTCACACATTTCATACAGGTATTTAACCCTAAAAAAAGCTCCAACAAGCATCACCTTCCCTCCAAATTGCTCCTTAGATGACAAAGTGCCAGCACATGGGCTGGAGTGGGGTTCAGGTTAAGCAGCCTCTATGAAGCTGCCCAGGACACCCCACAGCAGCCGAAATCAGATCTCACACTTCCCCCTCTATGCTTCCAGAACACTCATTTACACCCTTCTAGTGATGTCTACTAAGCCCATCTTTAGCCCCGTATGTGCCTTCAGTAAACTTTGGTCATAGGAATGAGAACTCCCTGAGAGCAGGAACAGTGTCATATTCATTTTCTGCAGAAAGGTGGAGTGCCTTATGTTCAATAAATGTGTAATGCATTAAATATCAGGAAGTGAGAAAACCCAAGCCCAAGGGGGAGATGACCTGGAGGACACGGGAGAAAGTTGAGAGCTCGACTTGGATCCCAGCAATGTAGATTTAAGCAGAGCGGGCTGCGTGCTAAGCACCAAGAAACGTCCACTGTAAAAAGAGGAGTTTGGGTTCCCGATCATCCTGGAGAGACTCAAAGCCTTCCTTTCTCACTAGACCATCCTGTACCGCATGGAATCCCACGCAATCCCACCCCACAGTTCTCCCTGTGAGTCCCCTTTGGAACAAATTCAACTTCACCATTTACTTGCTCTAGGGTTCTGGGCCTGCCCCATTCATAGGGGGATAACAGGACCCACCTTCCATTATTGTTACCGGGATGACGGAGATAAGGCAGGTGGTAGTACCTAGTACAGCACTGGGTTCTCAATCATTGTGTGCTCCTTTCTTCCATTAGCTCACCCCTCACTTGTCCATATTGTTCCTATTTACTTAGTCATCCCATGTTTATCTCAATGCCCCCATGCCTTCTCTTTGGTTGACGGCACAGATTAGGAAACTCCCCTTGCAGGCAATTTCAGCATCCTTCTGGGAAGTGCCCACCCAAAGAAGAGTCATTGCTCTGGACACCTGATATCCAGCAAGAAGAAGGCCAAGAAAGTGCGGAGGCCAGTAAGGAGATCAGGGCAGGGAGGGGGGATCCCTCCCAAGGGTGACATCAAGCCTTTCTAGCCAAAGTCTGCAGAGGCAGCCCCCATATGATCTGAGGAAAAGTGAGGGCAGACAGGACATGCGGAAGCAGCCTATTCTCAGCCACTCAGCGCAGGGCCTCCCCTCTGCTCTCCCCTGATATCGCACACAGGGAATCTCCACCACCCCTTCCAATCCCCCAGGCCTTTTTGCACTCTGTGCCTGGATCCCCTGGCCCTGGGGTCCTAAGAGTGGGAAGAGGATGAGTGAAGCCAGTGAGGACGACCTACTCTCTAACAACAATGCCATTCTGTTGCCCCAAGATGTCATCAGCCAAACATGTGCTCCAGTCCCCACTCTCCCAGGCCTTGGGGGAGAGGTGGGCGGCTGGAGAGATGGGAAGCCATAATTCACAGAAAGAGACCATCCCCAACCCAGAATCCTTCAGCAAAAGAAAACACAGGGGCCTCCAGGCAGCCTCCCCGGTCAGGCTAAAGCAGGCTCCTACTCTTGGGGTCAGAGAAAAACCCTAAGGCACAAAGACTTCAGGCTTTCCTCTATGACCAGACATCTGCCTCCTTCGTGACCCAGGGAAAGCCCCAACAGGCAGGACTTCCTTCTAGCATGCCACCAACTGGGTAGAGAACTCTATTAGAGACCTTGAAGAAGAGACCACATGCAGGGATAGCCCTGAGTTCCGATTCCCTGCTCCTCTCCTGCTCTGTACTCCAAGCTGTCATGGTGAAGAAAGCAGGACACGGGTTTAGGAAGTTTTCAGGGGCTGGAAGCCACCAGTGAATGTCCTTAGGGCTTAAACGCTAGAGTCTCGATTTCCACCACCTGAATGCGGAAGAGCACAGGTCCTCGGAACATCTGTTATTTTGACCCGCTTCCCCTCAGTCCCCACCCGCACTGAGAGAGAAATACACCTCAAGGTTGGGTTTGAGCGTTGTAGGTCTTCATATCCCCCCAGTGCTGGGCAAATAGTAAGGCCTTGGTCAGTGTCTGATGAGACAGATACATAGGAATGGTCACTTTTTTCACATTTTGTCTTATTTTCTGGTTCCTGGTGTCCGCGGTTCTCTCTGCTTCATTCATTCAATCGTTCACTCATTCCTCCATGCGAACATATGTATACTATGTGTTCCTGCCAGAGAGACTGTTCTAGAGGCAAGCAGTGGAGATACAGAAGGCATTGTCCTCACCTGCCGTCCCCTCTTGGGTGGAGGGGCTGTGATGCTCTATCCTTACAAGCCCCAGCAAGACGCCTGGCCCTTAGAGAAGTACTCACAAGAGGCTTGCAGAATCGAATTAGATCTTAAGATAGTGAACACCTGTGCCCATCTCAACCCCATCCTCTTTCACCAGCCCTACAGGCTGAGGCTCTTAAGACAGAATGCTCCCAAGGAGCCAGTCCGGGCCTGGGAGCACCATCTGTCCAGCCAAAGGTGCCAAACAAAGACGGGAGGTGAGGGAGGGGTGAGGGGTAGAGGTGCAGGCCTGGGGAGGTGGGGAAGGGAGCAGACCAAGGGGGCCTTACCTCTTCTGCTGCAGCAGGTTCTGCTCATCTCGGCTCTGGGCCCAGGACTCCCGTCTCTGGAACCATCTGCAGAACTTGCTCCATAGGCAGAGAATTAGCCCTTTCTCCTTGGGCAGTGACAAACCCATGGGGTGTAGGGCCGGCTCCTTGGGGGCCTGAGGCCGAGGCCAGACCCTGACGGGACTCAGCCTTGGGGCCACATCAGCCCCCCCAAGGGCCGGCCCACCGTCTCCCTGTAGAGGTCCCGTCTCCTGTCTCCTGCCTTCCTGACGAGTTCCTTGGGAGTCTCCCAGCAGCCCCAGCCAGTTTGGAGAGGGCTGTGAGTTTGTTACACTTGGCAGAGCCAGCCAGGACTCTGCAGGGCTGGCCTGTCTGGAGCTCCTGCTGGGAGTGAGCAGGAGGAGCCAAAGCTGCACGGACACGCCCTCCCTCCTCCCAAATTACCTGAGATTTAAAGACACAGGCCAGCCACAGACCTGCCTACCAAGGGGGACTTGTGCCAACTCCAATTCTTTCTCCACCCAGGGCTCTCTCCCTGCCCCCAGGCCAGTCACAACCAGGGAGGCCTTCAGAAAGACTGGCGAGGCCTCCCTTGGACGTCAGAACACCCAGTGACCTACCCTGAGAGACTCTAGGCAGTGAGAAAGGAGGGGAGGAGTCAGGGCAGGCCCATTCCCAATGTTGAGGACTCCCAGGAGGGAGCGCCCCACTTTCCCACAGTGCCTCTTCTGCCGACCACCTGCCTCACTCTCTGCCTCCCCCTGCTTATGTCCTGGAGAATTCCATTTTCTGGACTCTTCCAGTTTCATTCTTGCCAGGCCTGAAATAGGTATATAAATTGCGAAGATACTCAGTTCTCCCAGACTTTCCTCTCAGTCCCCATCACCTTTGGGTCAGCAAACTTTTTCTGGAAGGGCTGATAGGAAATGTAAAGATGTTAGGTTTTGCAAGCCATGTACACTCTCTAATGTACGTTATTCTTTGGTTTTGTTTTGGTGGTTGTTTTCTAACCACCCCCAAAGATGTAAAATGCATTCTTCGCTCACCAGCCAGGGCACAAAATCTAGCTCTGGGCAGACCCCCTGCTCAGGAGCTCCACAGACTGTCCACAATGCCCCGTGCATGGGGTGGGTGCCCGATAAAATACAGGACACGTGGTCAAATTTGAATTTTAGATAAACAACAAAGAATTTTTTAGTATAAATATACCCCACGTTTTGCAAGTATTCTATCTGCCAGCCTTCCCGTGGAGGTGACATTCAGCTGCTACTGTGTGCTGGGCCTTTTAACTGAGCGTTCCCAGGTAAACTCGTAACAAACCTGCAAGGCAGGTATTATTATCTACATTGTATTGATGGGAGAAACCAAAGCTCACCATGGTAAAGGAACTCTCCCAAGGCCATAGAGGTGGCAGAGGCAAGATTCACACCCATCCCTCATTCCAAGCCCACTTCTTTCTCCCTAGCACACCTCCTCATTCTAACTGGCCAACAGAGCTTCAGAGAGGTTAAGTGACTCGCACAGTCATACAGAAGAATGATGGCATTAAGCATGGCCCATCGTCTTCCCACAACAAAGAGCTCCATCATGAGCTTGCTGGAAGCTGTCGGAAAGGTCATTTAGTTCAACTTTTCCACTGGAAAGGGGCAGAAGCCCGGGCTTATCCAACCTCCTGGTGCCAGCCAGGTGCCAATAGCCTAGGGGCAGGTGTCTGGGTGTTCAGAGTCACAGGTGTGTGGATCACTTCCTAGCTTCAGAGTCTGTTTTGTCCTAACTTTCTCTGACTCAGAGTTGGAAGACCCAGCCAGGGGAGTGTGTGTGTGGCGTGTGTATGGCGTGTGTGCCCATGTGCATTTGTGTGTGGTGTTTATGCGTGTGTTCATGATGTGCATCGGTGGGGTGTTTTGTGTGTGGTATGCTGTATGTATATGATGTGCCTGTGGTGTGTTTGGTATGTGTCTACGTGTGTATGATATATGTGATATGTGTAGGTATGGCCTGTAGAGCGTGTGGATGTGGTGTCTGTGATGGTATGTGTGACATGTGTGTTGTGTATATACGTATTGTGGAAAGATTGTTGCATGTGTGTTGTGTGTATGGTGTGTAGTGGGTGATGTATATGGTACCTTTAAGGTATGTGTGCGTGTACATGATGTGTGTGTGTGTGTGTGGTGTATACATGATTTGTGTAGTGTATGGTGGGTTTACTATGTGTGTATGTATGGTGTGTGTTGTGTGTGTATGTATGTCATGGGGTGTGTGTCATATGTGCTGTGTGTGGGGGGAGTCGGTGTGTGGAGGGAGGTGGATGCTGAGGTAGGGCAGGGGAGAGAAGGACCCCTTCAAGTGGAAAGCTATTTGTGTTCCTGCCGCTGGGCAGAGGCCAGGCCACGCAGTCCTGAGCAAACAGTTCAATTGGATTAGCTTCGTCCCCACCCACCTGGGTCAGTGGGTTCGGGCTGGGTTGGGGGAAGGTGCTAGAACCCAAACCTTGAACCCCAAGACCTTTGTGCCCATTAAGCCAGTGGTTTGTCGCTTCAAAGACCTATTTAGCTTCAAAGACCCCAGTTTAGTGTCTGGTGGGGAAGGAGAGAAAGCAATGAGGCCTTCGTTACGCTGGGGAGAGAGGCTGGGGGAGGGAGGCTTTGGGAGGGAGACTTAGGGAGGGAGGAGGATAGGAGGAGGACAAAGTTGTTTTCCAATGCTCTTCCTCTTCCTCAGCCTCCTCCACCTGGTGTTGTGCATGGATCAGCCAACAGACTCAAAATTGGGGTGTCCAGATGGGAGGGGAGGACAAGTTTGCAGGATATAAGCTTCTGGCTGCAATGTTCTCTTGGTCTTTGGACCTAACATCGTATCAGTAAGGGAAGGTGGCCCTAGGGTAGGTGGCACTACCCCCAGAAGCTCCTGAAAGCACCCCCACCAATCACTTTCAGTCTCGCATTTTTTTTTTTTTTTGAGATGGAGTCTTGCTCTGTCATCCGGGCTAGAGTGCAGTGGCGTGATCTCGGCTCACTGCAAGCTCTGCCTCCTGGGTTCACGCCATTCTCCTGCCTCAGCCTCCCGGGTAGCTGGGACTACAGGCGCCTGCCACCATGCCCAGCTAATTTTTTGTATTTTTAGTAGAGACGGGGTTTCACCATGTTAGCCAGGATGGTCTCGATCTCCTGACCTTGTGGTCCGCCTGCCTCGGCCTCCCAAAGTGCTGGGATTACAGGTGTGAGCCACCGCGTCCAGCCTCAGTCTCACATCTTAAACCTGCATCCCATATTGCTTGTTTCCAGGGGACAGGAAGGATGCCGTGGACCTCCTTCTCCCTTGAGACTAGCACAGCCCCCTCTGTGCCACTCCACCCCAGGGCAGCACCTCCTGACATGGGAGGAATCGGTTCTGTAACCCACAGTCAAGGAGTGGGCATGCCCAGGAGGCTGTGAGTTTTGGGGTGAAGGTGGTGAGGGGGAGACTGGAGATCCTGGGAGAGCACTCACGGGGCTGGCCTCTCCCGGTTCCCTTTCCCAGGCTCCAAAAATAATAAGACTTGTGTGACTTCTGAGTGAGTCGCTCTTCCTCTCAATGATTTTATCCATAATGATGAGTGCATGGCCTGACCTCTTTTCTGCCCTCGTGGTGGCCTCTGACCAAGCCCTGAAGAGAACCGAAGGGGTCAGGAGCCAAGAGGGAGGGAGGACAGGACTGGAGCAGGCAACCTGGGGACCAGGTGGTTAAACCAGTCCTCCCTGCCTGGGGCTGAGCCTCAAATGCTAAGTGAAAGTGAGGTCCTCAGGCTTCCCTGGGGGCCCCAGGGCAGAGTGTCAGAGCCTCCTCTGACGGCCCCTGAGAGGGGCAGAGAGGTCACAGTTACACAGTCCTGAGCTGGAGGCACAGGAGCTCCAAAGAGCTCCTGTGCCCCCGATGTTTCCGCATTTGGGGCACAATTTCTCGACCCCGGCACTATTGATATTTCGGAACAAATAATTCTTTTCTGCAAGGGCTGTCCTAGGCATTGTAGGAAGTTTAGCAGCATCCGAGCCTCCACTCACTGGGTGACAGTAGCATGTCCCTCCCCTCCATTGTGACCACCAAGGAATGTCTTTACACGCTGCTCATGAATGTCTTTACACGCTGACATTGGCAAAATCATTCTCCATTGAGAACCACTGATTTAGAGCCAGAAAAGTATATGTATAGTTTTTTTCTGGCTTTGTCACTTTTTATTTGTCCTATGTCTTTCTATGTTTCGCTCAGTTTTTCCTGTCTTACTGCCTCTGTCACTGTGCAATAGTATCTCTGCTCCCTTGCTCTTAGTCTCTGTGGTGAGGGGTGTGTGTGTGTGTGTGTGTAGTGTGTGTGTACATGCATTGCATGTGTGTGGTATTTTGGGGGTGTACTGGTGTATTTCTATAGTGTGTGTGGTATTTTGGGGGTGTATTGGTGTATTTCTATAGTGTGTGTGGTATTTTGGGGGTGTATTGGTGTATTTGTATAGTGTGTGTGGTATATGTGTTGTGGTATGTCAAGTGTCAGTGTGTGGCCTGTGGCAGTGTCCCCTGGCCTCTTGGAGGGCGTGTCCTTGCTCTCTGCTCATGAGGGATGGAACCAGCAAGGGGTAGTGAGGTCAAAAGCATTGCTTACTCACTCAGCTTGGAGTTTGTTCCAGTCACTGGGTTCACCAGCCGTGCGCCAACTCATAAAGCCTGCAAAGGAGCCCATGACAGTTAGTGCATGCACACACACACACCTGCAGACACACACACACCTGCAGACACACACATGCACACACACACCTGCAGACACACACACACCTACAGACACACACACAACCTGCACACACACACACCTACATACACACACCTGCAGACACACACACACCTGCAGACACACACACCTGCAGACACACACACACCTGCAGACACACACATGCAGACACACACACACCTACAGACACACACACACCTGCAGACACACACATGCACACACACACCTGCAGACACACACACCTACAGACACACACACCTACACACACACACCTGCAGACACACACACACCTGCAGACACACACACACCTGAAGACACACACAGACACACACCTGCAGACACACATGCCTGCACACACACCTGCAGACGCACACACACCTGCAGACACACACACACCTGCAGACACACACACGCACACACACCTGCAGACACACACA
The DNA here is from genome assembly GCF_000001405.40 of Homo sapiens. NCBI lineage: Eukaryota > Metazoa > Chordata > Mammalia > Primates > Hominidae > Homo > Homo sapiens. Next base: position 142,890,581 of record NC_000007.14, read on the forward strand.
TGCACACACACACCTGCAGACACACACACCTACAGACACACACACACCTGCAGACACACACACCTACAGACACACACACACCTGCGCGCACACACACACCTGCAGACACACACACCTGCACACGCACACACCTGCAGACACACACATGCACAGGCACACACACCCCTGCAGACACACACACATCTGCAGACACATACACATGCACACGCACACACACACCTGCAGACACACACACATGCAGACACACACACATGCAGACACACACACATGCACATGTACACACCACATATACACACATCAACATACACACATACACCCCATACCACACACACACACACAACCACCACACACACATGCACACCACATACTACACAGCCCACACACACCACACCCACATGCAGCACACACACAGGCAGCACACACCACCCATACCACACATACACACCACTTACATACCACACACACACAACCACCACACACACATGCACAGCAGACACCATGCAACCCCCACACAAAGCACACACATGCAGCACACACCTACCACACACACACCACATACCGCACATACTACATACCACACACACACCACACACACATGCGTCACACACCACACACATTGCACACACACCATATACCACACACATCATGCACACACACTACAGACACCGCACACACACACACACACACACACACACCCTACCCCCTACACCTCCCACCCCAGGGATGGGGGCGCGGTACGCTGCTGCGGTGCCTGACTGGAGGTATCTGACTGTCGCGCTGGCTCTGCAGTTCCCTGGGAAGCACTTTGTTCTGAAACTCTCCAATGTCCTTTTGTACTCAAACATCCAGCGCATCTGAAGAAATATGCTTCACCCACGGTCCCAATGCACACGAAGTCACTTCAACTTTCATAGGTCAAGAGGTCTAATTTATTGCAGAACTGCCATGCACCTTTCCCTAGAAAGTGACTTTAGTCCCGGATCCCTTTTCTCATCCCAATCACTCGTTGTAGCTCCATCCCTGGGGCTTCAAGCCCTCATTTCCTACCTCCCAGTCCTTGGCCCCACGGAGCCTCCGCGCCCAAGGAGCTTCACACTCCACACGCTTCCTTAGCAAGATCTGGGGGCAAGATCCAAGAGCAGGGTGGTTGAAGGGCTGAGTTGGAGATGAAAATAGGGCACAGGGAGGCAGAGGTGATGAGCAGCCACACCATGCAGCCAGTTTTACCATCTAGATATGCATGTGCACGTTATTTGACATAAATGTATGCATGGTGTATTTTGTGTCAAAATGAATCAATACATGACAGTGATGTTCCAGAGCAATTGTGTGTGTGTGCACGCAGGTGCCTGTTTTCCAGCATCTTCCCAGCAGTCTATAGATTTCAAGACCCACAGGCATTCAGTCCTCCTGGGCCCCTACCCCTGTGTAGAATGCACCCAAAGGGCATACGTGGGCATCTGTATGGCCACCGTCCCCTCTTCTCCATTTCTCCCCACTGTCTGCCAGTTCTCACCCCTCTCCTCTCCCACTCCCCTCCTCAGTGGAAGGTGGGTCCAACCTTGGGAGTGCTCATGTAGTTTACAGCCCCTCCATCACCCTCTCAATGAGTTTGAGTTCCCCAGCCAGAAGATGTCAGGGGAAGGGCTGAGTGCTGATCTGGGGAGAATGGGTACTGACCCTCTTGGGTTTGTGAGAGGAGGCCTGAAGCTTTGGAGGAAGCCCATATGCCCCACCTGCTCTGCCCAGCTGCAGCTAGAATCCCCCTGCCCCCTGCATGGGTCCCCTGACATCTGGTACCCGCAGGAGGATGCCAAGCTCTTCAGTCTTGCCCTGGGCCCAGCCTCTGGTCCTTCTGGCCAAGTTTCCCCCAAGCCTCTTTTTTCTGCCCCTCATCTTTTTCTCTCTTCCTCATGAGACCCCAAGTTCTCCTCCCTGTGAGAACTGGACCCCAATCCTCTTCACTCTACCATACCTGGCCCCATCTCTTCTCTTGCAGGCACAAAAGACAAACAAGAAGAGAGGCTGCAGCCCTTTGGGAAGCTTTACAAGTAGGCTAAGTGTGCCTTGCAGCGGATCGGCTTTCTGGGAGAAGTAAAATGGAAAGAGCAATTGATCTGTAATAAAGACAGCTGCATTCTAACCCCAGCTGACCAGAAATCACTTGGTGTCCTTGGCCAAGTCACTTACATTTTCATTTCCTGATCTACAAAAATAAGGACTCCAGATATTGAGTGCCCCTGTTCCCTTTTCCATTCTCTGCTATCCCAGGTAGCCCCCCTCAGCTTCCAGCTATAGGCAGGATGGAGCTCAAAGCTTCATTGTGTCAGAAAGGGCTCATCTCTCAGGTTAAGCCTGACTGTCTTTGTCTCTGAGTTACACAGGAAGGAGAGAGCAGGCCGCAGGCAGAACATGAAGACACAAAGCCTCTGATTCTCCTCTGACCTTCCGAATGACAGGATTCTGTGGTCCAAGTAGCTCTGGCTGAAGAGAGGATGAAGCTCCTGAACCATGGTGATTCTTGGAGCTCTGGAAAGCCACAGATATGGAGGGGACAACGTGCGTGTTCCCTCTGACAAGGCGGGAGTGGGCTGGCTCCCCAATCCAGGGCAGTGTCCCCAGACTCTGGACTCTAGGTCACCAACAGTTTTCACTCCATGAGAACCTGGCTGTTGCCTCTTAGCCAGAGAGTGGGGAAAGGAGGGTATGTGGGGGCCACTAAGCCCAGAGTAAACAGCATTATTTGGGGCTCAGAAGACAGGAACAAGCCTTTATCCCAAAGCCCATCATGGCTGTTAAAAATTCAAACCCAAAGCAGAATTCTTTTCCAGAAGCATGCAGTCTGCTCACCATAGCCTTCTGGGCAGCAGGCCTGCAGGGGTGGCATTTGATTGCCAATCTTCCCCTGGTTGTCCCCACCTGCACTTCTTATTCTTCTCTCTTCAACCAACAAACTCAGTGAAAGGGCAGACAGTGAGAAGAACTCTATTGAATTCTATTTAAGGCAAGCAGTCACCCAAACACCCCACCACCTCCTTAAAAAAAAAAAAAAAGCAAAATGCCAGACTTGGTTAAGAGTGGAGGATGGTTTAACATGTACAGACGGCCGGGCGCGGTGGCTCACGCCTGTAATCCCAGCACTTTGGGAGGCCGAGGCGGGCGGATCACGAGGTCAGGAGATCGAGACCATCCCGGCTAAAACGGTGAAACCCCGTCTCTACTAAAAATACAAAAAAATTAGCCGGGCGTAGTGGCGGGCGCCTGTAGTCCCAGCTACTTGGGAGGCTGAGGCAGGAGAATGGCGTGAACCCGGGAGGCGGAGCTTGCAGTGAGCCGAGATCCCGCCACTGCACTCCAGCCTGGGCGACAGAGCGAGACTCCGTCTCAAAAAAAAAAAAAAAAAAAAAAACATGTACAGACATGCCCAAACCATGGGAGGGGGACACACTGGAAGCAAGCTGCCTCTTCTGAAAGGTCTGGGTCTGAGGGGTCCAGGACAGAGAGACCCAGAAGCAGGGAAGGAGCAGAACTGAGGGGGAGGAAGTCCCCTGGAGGTGGAGTAGGGACACACCCAAGAACCTAGGGGCTGGGAGGCACCAGCGAGTCAGGGTGCAAACCTTCCCCAACTTTTCTCACAACGGGAGCTTCGCCCCTGGATAGAACTGCAGTAGGGAGAAGGTGGTGGCTCAGCCTCCCCCTAGACCACAGGGTAGTGCTAAGCTGAGACACCAGGACTGGGCAGATTCTGTGGCAGATACCTGAGCTGGGAGGCTGAGAGGAAGGTGGAGTGGCAGCAGCTGAGGGGGCCAGGAGGTGGTGTCCCAGCTGGGTACAGGGAGGGATGGAAGCCCAATAGTGTGTTCTCCAGATGACTGTTGGGAAATCCTGGACCTAGCTGGGCACCAGGAGCGTGAGGTCGCTAGTCAGTCACTACACTAACAGGAACTAGAAAATTAAAAAAAAAAAGACTTTAGCTATTCTGCAACTCCCCACCTCCCCAGCCTCCATCACACGATTCTTGGAGCATGGGGCATGGTTCCCTCCTGTGTGTAGTGCCCTGTGCACGTGGGAGTGTGGATGCTGGAGTGTGCAACTTGGCTTTGTTTGAGCATGTGTGTGCTGGTACAAGCATGGGGCAAGGTGGGAATGGGCGACAGCTGGAGTATACAATGATCTCCCGATAGGAATCTGTTTACCCATCACCCCTGTCATCACAGAGCTATGTGCTGTGCCCTGGGAGCAGTTCTCCTGCCCGGGGCTCCCACTTGCCCTCCTTTATCTTCTCCTCCTCCTTCTCCTTGCCTTGCCGAGGTTTCTAACTATAAGAGCTGACTTTGGAGTGTCTGAGGGAACCCTGAGTCTTCAAGCTGCTGGGAAGTCCAGGAACTGTTTCGCAGGCAGTACTGGGCCTAAAATTCTTGCAGGCAGACCAAAGTGCAGAAGGAAACTATTGGCACAGGGCTGCCGATCCGAGTCAACACTGAAGGTGCTGGTGGATGATCCTCTGACTGAAGTTGTGTGCCCAACATTGAGGGTGGCTGCTGCAATGTACTAAACACACTGTCAGAAGTGTGCAAGTGCCTGTGAGCTGACAGACTCAGAGGTGTCTTTTAGTTCCATTATCTGTGTTCACCCTTGCTACAGACTTTATGAAGAGGGTTGTGCTCCATCCACCAGGATCTGGATTTGTCCATCTGTCCATACAACGAGGGAGCCCTTGTGGAGACAGATCTCTCCGGGAGCCCAGAAATCCTGGGTCATTGCCCTGCTCCATTCTGGTGAGATCTGTGACTTCAATCAGACAATCTCTCTGAGAATCAGCTTCCTTGTCTGTAAAACAGGAACGCTTAATACTGCTCTGTTTACTTTATGGGGTTGTTTTTAGGATTAAAGAAGATAACGACCATGAAAAGACTTTATACACCATAAAGTGTCATATGAATGCAAGTCACTTGTTTTATCATTTTGCTTTGGGGGGAGTATTTGAAATCCAACCCATCTAGGAAACAGCTTTCTGGTAGAGACTTTAGAACTGTCTTATCTCAGGGGCTCTGAATTGTGAGGTAGAAGTACAAGGTCTTGGAGCCAGATAAATTTGGGTTCAAAATCAGACTCTGCTAATTACTGGCTGAGTGATATTAGTCAAATTGGCACACCCCTCTCAGCCTCAGTTTCCTTGTCTACAAAAGGAGCACGGTAATAGTCACTTGACCTTAGGCAAGTAACTCACCCTCTCTGGGCCTTAGTTGCCTGTCTGTAAAATTAGGATGACAACAGCTAACTTGCAGGCTCCTGAGAATTAGATGAGAGAGAAGAGTGTGGGAGGCAGCTGGCCCATGGCAAATATACAGTAATAGCCTCTGTTCTTATTCCCTCATTCTTCTCTTCTATGGCTGTTATTCTGCCTTGGAGCCCTTTCAGTGATAGACCACATTACCCTCTGGTGAGAAAATCCGCTCTCTCCCTCCAGGAGACTAGAGTAGATCCTGCCTCAGGCTGTTACCACCTACACAGGGTGGGTTTCTGTATCATCCCTTCCATAGACCTCACCCCCTGCTCTCCCAAAGAGACTGTTTACATCTAAGTCTCTTGTTCACTGTTGACTTGAATAGTGAGGAAATACGGGTTATGGCATTTCCCCTACACCAGGCTCTCTAATCAGGCCAATCCTGCCCCAGTTCAGGAAGATGCCCCAGATGATCTGTTCATAAACTCCAGCTCATCCTCTGAAGCCCAACTTGAATGTCACACTCTCTCTTTTCTTCCCTAGGCACCCAACTCTACCCAGTCAGGGCCAGTCCCTGCCTCTCCTGTGCCCCCACCTCTCTTCCCTCCTGCCCTGCATGGAAAGGATCTTACTGCATTAACATTGTCCCTTTGCTTGCCTATTTTTCCCACCTAGAGAGTCTCAAAGGAAGAGGCTAAATCACATCACATTCTTCTTTTTCCGCACTGGAGTGCCTGGCGTAGAGTTTATGATGAACTACGTTTTATGAGGAATGAGCTGTGCCTGGGAAATTGCAAGCTATTTAATAGGTATATTTTCTTTCCTAGGCCCCAAGGGTAAAGGTGGCCCAGTGTACAAGAGAGGGGCTCAGAAGGTGGTGAAGAACAAGGAAAGGTGGCAGGGAGGTGTGTGTGTGCCCGGTGGGGTGGGGAGGGGGTTTTTCAATCCCCAGCCCACACACAGAGAAATGGCCATCTGCTCTTGAAAGATTAATTGGCCTGGATAAGGTGGGAAGGGAGCAGCAACTAGGATGGAGGAAAGGACGTGGTGTATGTAGCAGAGACACCTGTCTCCCCAGCCATTCCCACCCTCCCGCCCTGAGCTTCCCCATCAGGTCTGGCCTGGGACCCAGAGGGAAGGAGTGATCACTGACCTGAGACCTGGGGGGTTGGCACAGAGGCCATGGAACCTGGGATTGCCTCCTTCTTGCCCCTCAGGTTCACCAAGTTCACCTGTGGAGGGAGGGAGAGAGAGAAGGGAAAGAGACAGAGATTTCTGCCTGGGTAAAGAAAGAACAAGTTGCTTGGGCAACATGGCTAAACCCTGTCTCTGCCAAAAAACAAACAAAAAACTAGCCAGGCATGGTGGTGCACCTGTAGTCCCAGTTATTTGGGAGGCTGAGGGCTGAGTTGAGACTGCAGTGAGCCACCATCACACCACTGCACTCCAGCCTGAGTGACAGCGTAAGACCCTGTCCCCCAAAAAAAGAAAGAACAAGTTGTTGCAACCCTCCCTTTGCAGCTTCCCTCTCTGGATGTGGTTTATTTAGGGAGAAGAGAGAGACTACAGGATGAGGGGCTGGAGTCTGAGAGTTCCTGAAGAAGTAAAGAGCCATCATTGGGGGGTTACCCTCTCTGACCTATGGGCATGACAGAGGCTCTAAGGACCTGGCCAGTGTCACCTTCATGGAGCCATGGCCTTTTATTTCTACATCTCTTTCCCTTATATCCTTATTTCTGAATTGGAAGACAGTGTCCAGAGGGGGCTCAGAAAAAGCAGAGGGAGCAAGAGCACAAGAGAAGGGAACCAGGGCAGCCCAAGGTATTGCAATCACTCCTTACAGCAGTAAAATTTTAGGAACGTGTGTGCTTTCACATGCTTGGTGCTATTTTCTTGTCATAATCATGTCAGGTACACAAGTCAGAAATTATCATCATCACTGACTGATGTACAGGTTTCCTCACTAATACCATGGCAGAGCTGGGGAGTAAAACTGGGTTTTCACATGCACACGTCATCCGGCAGGGGCCCCCGTTCTCGAGGGAGCTCTGCTCATGGGGATGAGAAAAGAGGCAGCGGCTGAGGTGGCCTTGGGTTAACCGAGCACCTAAGACAGTACCGACCAAAGAGGGCCCTGGTGGTGGTTGGGGCAGGGTGGTAGTGATGATGTGTCTTGGAGGCAGGTTGTAACCCTCAGTGGGCACCACAGTTTGGTCAGGAAGAAGAAAAAAAGCAGCTCAAGTAAAAGGGCCAAAGAAAGAAAGCTTTGTTGAAAAGAGAATGACCTTTAAGAATCATGAAGGAGGCTGGGCGAGGTGGCTCATGCCTGTAATCCCAGCACTTTGAGAGGCTGAGGCAGGCGGATCACTAGGTCAGGAGATCGAGACCATCCTGGCCAACACGGTGAAATCCCATCTCTACTAAAAAAAATACAAAAATTAGCTGGGCATGGTGGCACGTGCCTGTAGTCCTAGCTACTCAGCAGGCTGAGGCAGGTGTATCGCTTGAACCCAGGAGGTGGAGGTTGCAGTGAGCTGAGATTGCGCCACTGCACTCCAGCCTGGCAACAGAGCAAGACTCTGTCTCAAAAAAAAAAAAAAAAAAGGAATCACGAAGGAGAAGCTCTTCCTCACAGGTAAGTGCAGGAAGCACTGCACAGGTAAGTGTGGAGGCACACACTCAGGCTTGCCATGCTGCAGCTGGCTTGCACAAGCCCCTACCCCCTCAGGCTCAATTGATCCTAATTGCCGCCTCCTCAAACCCAGGGATAACAAAGAGGTGCAAGCAAAATGAAGAAGGTGTGTCCAGTCCTTCCCCAGGTGGCTCCAACCTGGCTGCCATCCCAGGGCAGAGAGAGGGGGGCCACACTTCACCAACTTCTCCCTGTCTGCATGACATCACTCAGCATTACCTGGTTAAAGTATTTCTCACCATGCCCATTTCTCATCTTTTCCTCATTAACCTTTAAGAAACAAGTGAGCTTGACTCAAGGAGGTAAATGATCCTTGACCTCATGTCAAGGCATTCTCTCAGTTTTTCCTGGAGTGATCTCAGGTGTGCCAAGCAGCCTTCTGGATGCCATTGTTGGCCCCTCTCTCTCTCTCCAATGTCTCTTCTCTGCCCTGCCATGCAATGCCATCCTGCTCTAAGGACCTGCTAAGACAGCCCTACCTTGGCTTACTCTCTCCCTCCTCCTTTTTTTCCCCTCCCTCAGCTCTGCCCAGACCTTATCTTGCATTTCTTCAGATGCAACACAGGGGGAGGAATGCTGACCTCTGGCCCCCATTCCTGAGGCTTCCGGCACAGCCATTCCTCAGGTGCAACTCAGCTGTTCTTACCAGAACCCAGCACCTTGTCAATAACATACTTTGCAAACGTCTGAGGGAGGGAGGCATTTTAAAAGTCCAGTGATGCCTCTGAGAACAACATTTTCTTTTTCTTTTCTTTTCTTTTTTTTTTTTTTTTTGAGATGGGGTTTCGCTCTTGTTGTGCAGGCTGGAGTGAAATGGCACGATCTCGGCTCACTGCAACCTCCACTTCCAGGGTTCAAGCAATTCTTCTGCCTCAGCCTCCCGAGTAGCTGGGATTGCAGGCATGTGCCACCATGTCTGGTTAGTTTTTGTATTTTTAGTAGAGATGGGGTTTCTCCATGTTGGTCAGGCTGGGCTTGAACTCCCGACCTCAGGTGATCTGCCCACCTTGGCCTCCCAAAGTGCTGGGATTATAGGCATAAGCCACTGCACCCGGCTGAGAACAACATTTTCTCATTGCTTTCCAGCCTCTGGCCTATGAGACATACAGAAGCATGAATATTTTTTTGCATTCTATATTCTGAAATAATCAGGGATGGGGGAGACAGAGGGGGAAGAATAGTAACCATTTGTGGGTACCTGAAGAATTCCTGAGGCAGAACGAGCAGTGGATATTTCTTCTACTCCCTGTCCCTGTCTCTGAAGTCCTGTATAGAAGCCTTGCAGCTGCCAGGCAGGAAGAGACATTTGCCATCTCGTTTAGCACACGGGTCACTTCCCACATCTGCCCTGCAGTGAGCTGATGTCTGTGTGTATGTGTTCTCTTCCCTTCTCACTTGGGCTCCTGAGGGCAGATGTGGAATCTCACAGATTATCTTAATGCCTCTTACAGAGGGTACCACATACCAGACAGTAAGTGCTGTCCCAGAGCTTTGCTGAAGGACTTCTTGCCCCCTTTTCCTCCTCCTCCTCTTATTCTTCATCTTTTTTCCCCTTCTTCCTTCTTCTCTTCTCTGTCAGTCCCCCTCCTGCCCCTTCTCCTCCACCACCTTTTTCCTCTTCCTCCTCCTTCTTCTCACTCTCTCTCTCTGTGTCTCATATATACACACACAGACACACACACAAATACATATTCACACACACGTATATTTAGGCTAAAAACATGTTCTAGCAATCACATTTGCATTGGTTTTTATTCTTTCCAAAGTGTTTCCACTCATATTATGTGGTCATCTTTAATTACTACAACCTCACTCAAAAGGCAGCTATTTTTTTTACCACCTTTGACAGGTAGAAAAAAAGTGGAAATATGTGTGGCCAGTAAGAAAAGTCAGAATAAAAATAGGTCAATCATTCATAGATTCAGTTAATAAATATTCATTTCACAATACATTGTACTAGGAATTATGCCAGGTACTGGGAATACAAGGGTGAATAAGATGGACATCATCTTTACGTTTGTGGAGCTCATAGTCATTTAAACAAACAAGTGCAATAAAGTCCAGTGTGTGTAATAAAAAGAAAATATAGGTGGTCTAGCAACATAAAGCAGGTAGTCTCTAACCTAGTCTAGGAGTGAGTCAGGGAGCCCCCTCTCTTACCACACATGTGCACATTCACCCACCCTAAATGTATAATCTTTAAGCTGAGACCAATAGGATGAATAAAAGTTACAGCGATGGGCCGGGCGAGGTGGCTCACACCTGTAATCCCAGCACTTTGGGAGGCTGAGGCGGGTGGATCACGAGGTCAGGAGATCGAGACCATCCTGGCTAACACGGTGAAACCCCATCTCTACGAAAAATACAAAAAATTAGCCGGGCGTGGTGGCGGGCGCCTGTAGTCCCAGCTGCTGGGGAGGCTGAGGCAGGAGAATGGCATGAACCCAGGAGGTGGAGATTGCAGTGAGCAGAGATCATGCCACTGCACTCCAGCCCGGGCGACAGAGCAAGACTCCTTCTCAAAAAAAAAAAAAAAAAAAAAGGCACAGCAATGAAAGAGGAAATGGAGGCAGAGGGGTAGAAAGGTCCAGAAATTATGAAAGCCAGGGGGAAGGAGAATATAGCACTACCCAGGAATAAAAATAATACATCATGGTAAAATCATGTGCAGAATGAGACACTTTAAAATATCCTAAGTGACAAAAGCAACAACTCCTTTTCTAATCTACTAAGCTATTATATGTATTTTAAGATAAACATATACATACATATACTTGGAAATGTCTAGAGTATTTTTGGAAGGATAAATAATAAACTTTCATTAGTGAATGTCCCTGAGAATAACAAGCAAGAGGCTGAGACAGAGATAAGAGAGCTTACTTTCCTAGATATCTTGTGTGCTGTTTGGGTTTTGTACCTTGTGATGTGTTATCTAATCAAAATTAGTTATTTTTCAAAGGAGAAATTTAGGGACTAGACTATCCACAAGACGTGAGATCAACTGGATATGAGAGTTGAGATAGAGGTGTGGAGGATGGGACGCCTAGGATCCTGGCTTAGGCAACTTTGTTGTGCTACCACATACTTGGTTGGAAACACTGGTGGAGGAGCAGGTTTGGTGAGGAAGAAAAGCTGTTCAGTTTGGGACATGTTGAGTTTGAGGTGTTTGTAAAACATCCAGGTAGAGCGGTCCAATCAATAGGCGTCCAAGCCGTTCATGCCTGGAGCTCCGGAGACAGATCTAAGGTGACGATAAGGAGCTAGGGATTCTGAGCTTGTGCATGGTAATCTATTGAATTAGGCAGGACTACCCAGGTGGTAAGGAAAACAGCCTGTGGACTGAAAATCTTTAAGGGGTCAGTGGAGGAGAAGCAGCCAGGACAGCTGCGATATGTGGCACAAGACGTGTTGAGAAGTGGCGCACAATTAACCGTAATCTGAATGCTACCGAGTGTTCAAGCAAAACTAAGACTGTTCAGTGGATTTAACTACAGGTATCAGTATCACGGAGAAGGCAGGGTCAAATCACAATGGGTTGAGGTGTCAGTGGGAGGCCAGTAGACAATGGGATTTACTCTTAAGAAGTTTGGCCCTGAACAGGGAGTAGCTGAAAGAAGAGGTGGGGTTGAGGGAGGGAGTTTGCAGTTTCTTCGAAAATGCAAAAGAATAGAGCATGCTTATTTGCTGACAGAGCTACCAGAGAAGGAGAAGTTGAAGATACACACGTGAGAGGGGTCAGAGGAGACAGTGATGGACACAGGGTGTGAAAAGACAGAGTGAGGAATGGATCTAGAACACAGATGGGAGTTTAGCTTTGCACAGGAGTGGAAGTTGTAAACTGAGAAAAAGATGTCTGAGACAAGTCTCGATCAATTTACAGGTTTATTTTGCAAGGTTGAGGACACAGGAAAAAGAGACACAGGCCACAGTAAGATCTGAGGCCTGCACTTTTTCCAAAGTGGGTTTTGAAGGCTTCAATATTTAAAGGGGTTAAGTGGCCAGGAGGGGAAGGAGAAAAGTTAAAGAAAAGTGGCGGAGAGTAGACAAGTGGTTACATTCTTTTGAGGCTTTGATTAGTGCTCACTGAATCCACATGTTGCATGTGAGAAGCAGGGGACAGAGGAACAGTCATTTATGTATTTGTGTCATGCTCAGTAAATCTGCACTTTACATAAGACAAAGTAAATTAGAGGAAGAAGTCAAATATGCCTTCATCCCAGGGTAGGAGGAGGGACGATTTCTATTCTTCTCTTCTCCTGTACCCGTGAAGATAAACTGTTAATTTATAATGTCAGGGTGAAGGAGGCCATCTGGGGAGCTAATGTGGCCTTCTGTCTTGAGGCTATCTGTTTAGGAACAAAAAGACAGGCAGTTTCCAAACTTTTTGGAAGAAAGGCAACTTCCAAAAGTTTGACTCAGTTTCCAAACTTAACTTTTCCCTTTCACATAGTGAGTTTGAGGTCCCAAGATGTTATTTTCCTTTCACATCCTCCCACCCTGTTCTTCCAAATCTTTCAGGGAAAGCATTGTAGAAGAAAGTGAGTGTCTGATCTCAGGTTTGGTCTGATCCCTTGTCACTAGGACAGTTTATTTCTAGAGGGTTAGGTCCCTCATTTTAGAAAGGATCATTCTTAGCAGGTTGTGAAGTTTCATGTTCCACAGAGAAAAATAGGGGAAAGAAGAGAGAAAGAAAACCAGTAGAAAAGGAGGAAAGATCATGACAACAAAAGGGGAAAGTAATCCTGGAAAACTGATTTAGGCTATATTGCTCTGAAGTCCATGAATGAGTAGGCAGGCACAAAAGTGGTTTATATATATAAATAATTTGCTGTTACTTTTCCCAAAGTTTAAGTTTCAAGTTTCACTTGGCAGAACTTTAAGAAAAGCACAGTTTTAATTTTAATTTAATTTTAAATTAAAATTTCTAGTTTTAATTTCTAGATTCCAAATGAGAAAAAAAAGGGAAAAAATGAAAGAAAAAGGAAAAAAAAAATGAACAGTAGTTTGGAGACTTGTAGCCAGGAAAGGACTTAGGATTCAGTCCAAATGCATTTTAACAAAGAATGAAACTGAGAAACAATTGATAAGGTGGGGTCTAAGAAGAGGTGTTTTATATGTTTTTTTAAAAAAAAAAAAAAACATAATTTTTATCTCAGTCCTCCATTTTTATCAAAGACAAATCATAGTAGGACTAATTTATTTGTAGAAAAGCTTTAGTTGTATTATACTTCACCTGATTCTTTGTATAAAGTGCAGCAAGAATAATTATTTTCTATTTAGGCTTTTTTAAAATTGACTTTGCTGGAAACTTTTTTATTTAAGGAATCTTAGTTTAGACTTTTTAAAGGCCCCAAGCCCAGTCAAGAATTTATTTGTGCCTGCAGATATCTGTATGAACTGGGCGAATGCCTCTCTTCTTAATCCCAAGATAACTTGGGGTTCCCGGGCCTGCCAGAAAGTAACGTTCTTTACTTATCACAGGTTGGGAACCCTGTAAAAGAATTGTGTAGGCAAGGTACAAGGCCAGTTTTTTTAAGGATCTTTTATTGGCTCTATAAGTCAATGGCAATTCCTTAAAACAGTTTGTTGTTTTGTTTATAGCTTAAAATATTTCATTCTAGTCAAAGCTTTAGTAAAATAATAGTCTCCAATTGTGTCCTGTTACAAAAGAAAGCAGATTCTTATTGAGCTCATACAAATAACTATATTGTTATAAATTAAGAATACTCAAAAATAGTTTTCAAATTCTGGAGAAATCAGGTAGAGAGAAAGAAATATGCTTTAAATTTTGCTCACAAGAGCATATTTTACTCAATTGTTAAAAGCTGTAAACAACCCAAAAAATGAAAAGAATCACCAATGTTTCAGACAAAAAGATCACACAAAAAATTATTTTAGTCTTCTATTAGCTCAGTTCATGCAATTAACCTCTGTTCTATTTGATATTGGGTCAACAATCCTCATGAATACATCAGATCTCCAGGAGTGTCCTGGAAGATTTTTTTCCTCTATTTTAATGGCACAATCTCCAAAGCTGTCAGAAACCTGCATTTAAAAGTATCCATCTGATACAGTTTGGCTTTGTGTCCCCACCCAAATCTCATCTTGAATTGTAATCCCATAATCCCCACATGTGGTGGGAGGGACCCAGTGAAAGGTAATTGAATCATGGGGGGCAGTTCCCCCCATGTTGTTCTCATGCTAGTGAGTTCTAATGAGAACTCACTCATTCAGTGAGTTGCCCACTGTACTCTAGCATGGGCAACAGATGGTTTTATATGGGGCTACCCACTTTGCTTGGCACTTATTCTCTCTCCTGGCACCCTGTGAAGAGGTGATTCTCCAGTGATTCTAAGTTTCCTGAGGCTTCCCCAGTCATGCAGAACTGTGAATCAATTAAACTTTTCTTTATAATTTACCCAGTCTCAAGTATCTCTTCATAGCAGCATGGGAATGAACTAATACACCATCAGAGTCCTATAACTGATTATAAGCAACTTTTTGAAAAGGAACAAAGTAAAATAATAATTGTGAATGACAAAAGATATCCACAGTCAAAGATATAATTGACAAGGAAATCTGGTTATTTCTGTGGCACACAATAATTTACCATAATTATAATTATTACTGATCACATATACCAAGACATATTAAAATTATAAGAATATTATACAATTTTGGAACACATAACAATAGCACATTTATATAAATATATTTCAAAGAAAGTTACACACCATTTTATACTTGGCAATGCCTCCTGTATGATTTTAACATATCAAATAAGCCAAATATGCCTCTGTTGGACATTTAAAAGTCAGTTTGAGGTTAAAAGACTGCATTTAGAATTTAATCTTGGAAAGTTAGTCCAACATTAAAAGTTTAAAGCACTTGATATCGCAAAATGAGATTACAGGTCATTATAATCATTTAGCTAAAGTGATAACTCACCAATTTTAAAAAAAAGCAGAAATCTTTACTCCTTGATAAAGAAGACCTCAGTTTTCTAAAAAATAGGACCTAATAGAGACAGTGTGAAGCCAACTGAATCTGTCTCTCCTCTCCTTCTTCTTTAATTTTTTTGGCAGTTTATTCAAAGGGCAAATGAAAATCTTTTACTATCTCTTAATATTATACAAAAATCTTATTTAAAAGAGAAAACCAAATTTTATTTTTGTATTACTGTATTGTTAATTCTAAAGCTTTAATAGAATCTTATAAGCAAATCTACCAAATTTTAATTAGTTTGATTGTAAGGTAAGATTTCCATGAGGCTTTTATAAACTTTACAAATTTGTGTTAAAGAACACATCAATATTCCAAGAAAATCCTGCCTCACACAGGTGCTCAGATTCTGACCCTGCATCAATGTGCTATTTATATGAATGTTCAATTTGTATAATATCTAAATAATCCCCTTAAAATTTTAGCCAAACTTGATCACACACAAAATTCCTTTTACAAGATCAATCTTCCACAAACCTTCTACGACTTGCTTAAACCTTCAGTTTTGTCGTTTCTGTTAACTTGAAACAGTCCTTAAAATCCTCTAAACTAGAAAAAAACACTTTCTCTTAAAAAAGAACCACACTCCCATGACTTATTTTAACATTTGTTCTCCAAAAAAAAACACAGCCTACCTGTTTAATACACATTGTATGTACCTAGTAGTTTTAATTACATTCATTAATTTATAATGTTAACTCTTAGTAATTCTTATTTTAGTGAAAAACCTAGGCAGTAAGCAATTTTAATTACATACCAGGTGCACAAGCCAGGACAAAGGACAATACCTGGGGGCAGGCCAAGGGCTCAAATCAAAAGACATATAAGTTTATAGACAAGTTAAGCAAGTATTAAAAAGATTACAGGGCTAGTGCAGTGGCTCATGCTGTAATCCCAGCACTGTGGGAGGTCGAGGCAGGTGGATTGCTTGAGACCAGGAGTTCAAGACTAGCCATGGGCAACATGGCAAAACCCCATCTCTAAAAAAAATACAAAAATTAGCTGGGTGTGGTGGTGCACACCTGTAGTGCCACCTACTTGGGAGGCTGATGGGGGAAGATTACTTGAGCCCAGGAGGTCGAAGCTGCAGTAAGCAGTGATCACACCACTGTACTTCAGCATGGGCAACAGAGCAAGACCCTGTCTCAAGAAAAAAAAAAAAGGACTACAGAAGCAGAATTTTAAAGTGCTTCTACTATGAAGAGAATAAAGAAGAATGATGGTGACTGAGCAGTTTTACATACCCTGCCACCACTGTGTCCCAGTGTGTGCGGGCGTGTGTATACACATTGTGCAATCCCTCACTGCTGGGCACTCAGCCCTGGGCTGGTGTATCTGAATTAACTGTCTGTGGTTTCACAAATACCACTTACTTCTTTGTTATCCCAGACCACAGTCCTTTGAAAAGCTGACATGGCTTTTTGCTAAGGGTGATGATGGGGCTGGGATTAGAAGTATAGTGCTGGAGACACAAGAGAGGCTGACCATGAGCACCTATAATGGGTGCCCTGGACACATGATTCCTAATTTCCCTCCTGGAGAGGGATGACCCTTCCTCTATTGTTGCTGTTCCTTTCACAACTCAGTGTGGGGCAAAGGGAGATGGGAATGGAGGATGGCTATGTCAGGAGAACAAGCAGGAGCCTGTTGCCTCCAGGCACAAGGATGATTAGCTGCTAGGGACAGAGCAGGAGGGTCCTGGAAAAGAAATGATTAGGCCATTCAAATATAGGCCTAATTTACCATACATTCTTAAAAACACACCAGGATGCAAACACTTCAGACTGTGAGCCTCAAAAAGCAAAGATAAGGCAATTCAACAACAACAAAAACCTAATTCGAAAATGGACAAATAAACTGAAAAGACATTTCTCCAAAGAAGGTATATAAACATCCAATAAATAGGTGTATAAAAACGTGCTCAGTATCATTAGTCATTAGGGAAAGGCAAATCAAAACTACAATGTGAAGCCACTTCACACCCATTAGAAGGGAATGTAAAATGGTGAAAGCTATTGTGAAAACCAGTATGGCAGTTCCTCATAAAACTAAACATAAGAATTGTCTAGCAATTCCATTTTTAGGTGTATGCCCAAAGTATCTGAAAATAGAAACTAGAACAGATATTTGTATACCATATTGATAGCAGCATTATTCACAACGGCCAAAAGGTAGAAAAAACTCAAATGTCCATTGGTAGATGAATAAATAAACAAACTGTGTCAAATTTTGGACTAAGATTGCAGAATCCCACTTACATAAGATACCTAGAATAGTTAAATTCATAGACAGAAAGCAGAATATTGGTTATCAGGGACCAGGGCAGAGAGATAGCTGGAGAGTTATTGTTCAATGGGGATTAGAGTTTCAGTTCCGAATGATGAAAAAGTTCCATAAATGAATAATGGTGATGGTTACACAACAATGTGAATGTACTTAATGCCACTGAATGGCACATCTGAAAATGGATAATATGGTAAATTTTATGTGACATGTATTGTGCCACAGTAAAAAATTAAAGAAGGCAAGAATAAGGAGACTTTTTTATTGCAGTTGGTGTTTGCTTGCTAAGTGGAGAGAGAGACCTACAGGAGGCTGGGAAAAAAAGAAGGGCCACAACCTCTATGCCATGCCTGGCTCTTCCCACGTAAGCCCTGGGGAGCCAGAAAAGCCTCACAGCTTACTACTTTCTAGGGGCTGCGTGGGGCAGAAGAGAAATGGTCCTGACATTAATCTAGCATCCCTGCCTCATGTCTTTAGTTGCCAACCTCCTTTTTCCTGAGATGGGTGACTTGCAAGAGCCCAGAAAATACGTGAGACAATCGATGACCATTGCCCATTGCCAGAAATTCTGATGTGAAGTGTGAGGCATGACCCTTTAGGGATTGTTCTGTCTCACCCTCCCATGATTAACAGGCACAGAAGTTAGACACTTGCATAGGCAGAGGTCTCCGTCTCTGTCCCCGCCCCCAGGCCAACCGGGAGTAAGGTCAAGAGTGATAGCGATGTTAATCAAAAATGGTAGACCTCCTCTCCATCCCCCTCACTAAGGTTCAGTCCAAGATTCAAGTGCCCCAGGGTGTTTTGACGAAGGATCTCCCAGCCTCGGTGACTGCTGCTCTGGGACGCGGTCCGGGACAGGGAGGAAGTTGGAAGAGCCAAAGAGGCTCTGGCTAGAGTCCCACTCTCAGCCCCAGAGGGCTGTTTCTCAGATGGATGCTCCTGGTCATCCTCCTTGTCTGAGTTCTTGAACACTTCCACATAGCGAAGCACTCGCAGAGGATTCTGATCATTGTGGTTCTCAACCCTGATAAGGGGAAAGGGGAAAGGACTCAATCCAGGTGGGGAGACATGGGCAGGGGAGAAGTAGAGGTGACCATTTAGAAAGCAGGGTCAAGAGGGAAGCAGAAATAAGGCAGCAGAGTTGAAACAGGAAGAGTATCTGGGATCAAGTGAAGGGAGGTGATGGAGGGCAGGCTAACCTGGGATAGAGATAATGGAGGCTGAGCAATCAGGGCTTGCAGGGTGGTAGGACGCACACAGGTGTGTGTGTGTTTGTGTGTTACTAATACGTAGGAATGTGAAAGAGAAAACAGAGCCAACTAATAGATAAGCGTGTCACAAGGATGACGAGATGCAATTCAGGAAGTAAATTTGAGGAGAGAGGAGAGTCACGCCGGGAGATGAGGGCAGAATATGAAGGAGGAAGTTAGATCCAAGCCAAAAGTACACTGGAGATGAAGGTCAGCTCAGAACAAGGTTACAGCAAGTCTGGTAACCCATGCTGACGTCTGAGCATGGACACATGCACACAACCTTTTACACGTGGCTGCCCTGAGGTACACACAGCATTCTTCGTACCCCTCCACTTCAGCTCCAGCCCCCTCCCCTAGACAGGCTAATGTAGGCTCCAGGACGCCTGTCGGTCACCCTTGCTTCCGTGGCCTTATACACATCTGCAGTTTTGCATGTGCACACCATCACTCACCGCAGGAACCAGCGGTCCCCCAGCCCGAATTCGCACCCACAGATCCCGGAGCGAGGCCACAGGCAGCGAGGCAGCTTCCGCTCCAGCATCACTGTGGTGGCCACGACCTGGAAGGAGGCAGGAGATACAGGAAGAACTCTGAAAGAGCCATGAGGTTCAAAGAGGCACTGAGGCCACTGATAAAGGGAACCAAAGGCAATCTGTGAGATAGGACACTAGAGGTCAGTGGTGAGAACAGCCACCTATTCACCCCACAGCCTGTGCCAGGCACCATGCAACCAGCTTCACTCATCAAGAAATGAGAGAGGATTTTTTGTGAGTGTTTTGAATAAAATAGTTGCCCTTACATTACTATTCACTCATGGAGAATGAGTCACTCCAAACTAATCTCAACTTCTTTTTCATATAAAAGCCACAGACCAATTATCTCGATTTAAATAAAATGATTAAAGAGAATCTCTACGATCTTGGGGATGAATTGATACTGTTACTGTTCAGGGAATTTTCAGCAAATTAAATATCCACATCTTAGGAAGGAAAAGGGTTGATTAATGACTGCAAGTTGGCAGGGAAATTTCTGGTAGCAAGTCCACCACACGTTCTGTCCTTTGCTCAGCCCTCATTAATTACTTAGATGAAACATGGGAAACAAGCTTATCAAATATGCCTGTGACACAAAACTGGGAGGGATATGTAATATGTGGGGCAACAGAAGCAATATAAAATTATCTCGCTAGATTGGAATGCTGGTGTAAAATCATTAACAAGAAATTTAAGTAAACCAAATCTAAGGTCCTATATTTACATTTAGGAAGCTTAGATAAGTGAGTCATAGAACAAAGGTGTGGGAGTGCTAGCTGATCACAAGCTTAATAAGGGCCATTTGTATATTTGCTAAAAGACCTGACTCAGCTTTAGGTACCCTTAGCATTATGTCCAAGTAAGGAAAGGCATAGTCCCGCTTTGTACCGCATTGCCCTAATCATACTGGGGACTATTCTAGTTTCAAAGAAACCATGATCTATTAGAGCATGGACAAAAGGGTGCAATCAGAATAGATCAGAACCAGGAAGGCTTCCTAATTGAAGGAGTGCAATCTTCAAAATAGCAAATTCTTCACCTCATGTTTTTCTACTCCCTATCTTCCTCATTACTCCACACTTCTTTCAGTTTCTTAATTGCACCAAGTTCCCTCCTAGCTCAGGACTTCCAGTCATTCTGTGCTCTTACCCTGGATAGCTGTTCTTCTTTGCCTTGAAAGAAATGTTTATTGTTCCTCCTGAGCCATCATGCAGCCCCGTCCTTCCTCGGGTAACAGCACCCATTTTTCATTTAGGGAATTGCTCCCTCATCACTTTTAGTGCATTGGTTTGAGTGGACTGGGCTTCACACAGTTGTGCTTAATTAATCTATTTTCCCCCAAACCTCCCCTCCACCACCATCACCAACACCTCCACTATCTAGTCCTTGGTCTTTCCTTAGATTCAACGATGTGCCTATGACCCGAATGTGTTCCCATGAGATGGAACATGGAAGGAATTGGCAGGGGGAAAGATGTTCTTTTAAAGCCTGCAGTTTTGCCTGGCACCAGGAGCCTCACAGAATACAACGTGAGTGGGGCCCTCGGAGCTGCGTGTTGCATTGCACATCCTCATTCTTTTTGGAGTTTGGAGCTTCTAGAAATGATCTCACAAACACGATGGGAGAGCTTGCCTTAGAAGAGAGGTCAAAAGAGAGCCGAACAGAGGAATGGATGTAATGTATAAGATGTGGATCTGCATTCTGGCCAGATACCTCTAAAGTTAGTTTAATTCTCTAAACTTCCCATTTATGAGGACTAACACATCCTCTTCCCCCTGTTTAAAAATCTGCAAGTCTGTTTGAGTTTGGTTTTCTGTCCCTGTAGCCAAGAGTCCTAATTGCTACTAACCTTGACCTTCATCCTTTTCCCTCCTTCCTTTTAACTACCTAGTTCTTGCTCACCTTTGGGTTCTCATCTTAAATGTTGCTCCCTCAGGAAAGCATGTCTTCACTTCCCAGTCCGATTCCTCTGTTGTATCCTCCTCTTAGCACCTTACATTCTCTATAGCACTTTTGCTGCTGTAATTTTACAGCTTTTTGTGAAGTCATTCACTTCATGCCCGTCTTTCCAACTAAACCGTCAGCTCCATGAGGGCACATATGGTGTCTGTTGTGTTTATGCTCATGTCCCTAGCTCCTAGGCATTTGTCAACACATAGCAGGGTCTAAATGATCATCATTAAATGAATGAAAAGTCTAAGGGAAAAATGATGGCTATATTCAAATATTTGAATGGTGCTTATATGGAAGAATGTGTTCTGTGATATATGAGAGGGAAAGACTGGCGCCAAAGAATGAAATTTTAAGAAGATAGGTTTTAGCTCAATGCGACATAAATGTCTAATAACAAAATCTTTAAAAATATGGGAAAACTCCCTTCCTCCCAACCTCTACCTGAATTTGCAAGATAATAAGGTACTAATCAGCATTAGAGAAGATATTGAATGACATTCTGACCAATAAATGATTATTATGTTAAGTAGGAGGTCAACTTGAGGGCCATTGAGGGTCACTTCTAATTCTAATATTTATCAGTCTATGGTGATATAAAGAAAAGATCATAGAGAAACAGGGATTTACAGAAGCAAATAGAAGATAAGATCCAAATTGAAAACTGGAATATACCAGAACAAGGTCACTTCTAGTTCCCACTGGACTCAAGGATCAATCCTAGGTCTACTTTTCCCCTGTGAGCAACAACCCCACCTCTTGCCACTATCGTCCATTTAATCCTCCTTCTGTCCCTTCCATTTATCCACATGTACCTCAGGTTTACACAAACCTCTTCTGAGGTGACAGCCTCACTGGGTTTTTCTGTGACTCTTTTAAGAATGATCCACCATAACATTTTCCACTTTGATTTTTCTCTCCAACCCCTGCTTCTTAGCAAGACTAACACAAATAAACTCACCTGGGCCCTCCAGAGCTCATCCCTCTCCTGGGCCACCCTCCAGTGGGTGTCGCCCATCATGGCGATGAACAAGTTGAGCATGAGCAGTGTGGCAATGATGGTGAAGGCGAAGTTGACAATGCTGAACATGAAGGGCAAGTCCACGTCGTAGTTGGCAGGTGCATCAATAACAGTGAGAAAAAGCTCAAAGGTGGTGAACAGTGCCATGGGGTAGTCATAGAATTGCCCCAGACTGGTTGGGTCCTCTGTCTGGAAAATGATATAGAACGCTGCTCCGCCCAGGAAGAGGACATGGAGATGGGATAATGGAGTTATCACAATAAGCATGGACATGGTTAGCACTTATTCTATCTCTGATCTATCTATCTATCTATCTATCTATCTATCTATCTATCTATCTAAATACACTTGCACACATGCACAGATAATTACATACTAATAAATGTAGTTTCCTGTGGAACTGTCTAACCCTAAGATGTCCTATGATTAAGTTCACCACTCTGGGTAATGGTCATGGTAATAGTCATTTAACAACAACAAAATTGTGTGTGCAGCGTGTGTGTTTGTATGGATAATGGATAATAGGTCACCTAACTGGTTTTTGCATTTTAGAAAACCAAATACTTAAAAGGCAAGTTATTACAAGAATGTATGGAATCCTCAACAATTTTTAAAGAACAGAACACATGAACAGGCTAAAAGAAGAGCCCCTTTTTTAATCTTGATGGCCTCTAGATAACCCTCCATCACTCTGACCTTCCCTGAGTGAACCTGAACCAACATAGGAAACGGATTCCTGCTTAGGGTGGAGCCTACTGGATAGCAGTGAGCGTAAGGGAACTTCAGGACAGCGCTGGACTGCTTGAAAGCCTCCTCACTGCATAGGGAGCTGAAGCACATTCTGAGAGCAGAAACAGGGTCTATGACAAAGCATTGCCTCCTTATTTATTTAAGAGAAAAGCAAGTGCAATGGCCAAGAAGTGAACATTTAGAGAGTTCTGGATAGAGGACATCTACAGAAAGCCACTCTGGGACCATCACCTCATTTTGTAATCTGTGTTATGTATAGATGTAGATGGCCAGGGAGTGGGAGGAAAGGGTACATAAGGGCTTGGGGTGGAAAACTCCAAACAGGCAGAACGCCATGGTTTTACTCTTTCACATTTCAGATTTTGGTGGGGGTTTTGTTGTTGTTGTTTTGTTTTGTTTGTTTTTTGTTTTGGTCTGTTGTTTTGTGGGAATCCCCATTGAACGGGAAATCCCTGAGGACAGTAATAGAGTCCTCTGCACTGAGTCATTGCTTTTTAGAGATGGGGGGATCCTTCTAGTGCCTCTTCTTGTCTAATAGATGGTCAGTTGCAGACACTGAGGACTGAATTTGAGCTACTGGCCTTTTGCTTTTCAGACCTGGGCCTTCCTCTTTCTGCCCCTCCCTAAGGACTTTCTTCTGCTCCTCCACCCACCCTCTCCTTCCCTCTGGCTGTTTCCACCTGCCTGTGTTTTCCTGCTGTGCCGTTCCTTTCTTTTGCTCCCTGGCACTTTCACTGGCTGTGCCTTGACTGGGTGCCTGTGTGTTCCTGTTCTCCCAGTCTCTCTTCACAACTCTTCTTTTTTGTTTTCTCTGTCATCTTCAAACTGTCCAAGCTGTTTTTCTGCACCTCCTTTTTCTAATTCTTTCATATTTTTCTCAGCTTTAAATGACCACATATAGAAAAAAAGCAAGTTATATGTTGTTGAGTGCTTTAGGTTTCCTCTTCTGAATTGTAAACATAGGAGAGTTAAGCATGGCACTATCTCTGTTTGTCCACATGGTTTTCTGAGATCCATGACTGGCCAGTCTTTCCTGTTTAATGCCCTGTTCTCACCAAAAGTCTTTTCCTGTCTCTCCTTTAAAGATCTTGCAAGGCAGTTAGTGAACATAAATCTTATTGGCCCTGAACACATGGCTTTACGTTCCAGGCCAACCTGAGTGGCCCCTGGTCCTATAAATATGGGTGTGCTTTTAGACTTACCTTCCAACAGGAAAAAACAAAACAAAAAACAAACAAAAAAAAAGAAAGCAAAATGAAGTGCAAATGAGAACTGAGAGCAAGAATGAGAGTGAACTTTCTGGAGAACTAGATCTGCTGATCTAGTAGAGGAGTGTATGGTGCCTTACCGGAGGCAAATCCCAAGATGACCACAGCCATCAGCCAGCAGAAACGCATTAGGTCTCCAAAAATCATCTGCAGGAAACAGAAGGAAGAAAGGGTGGGATGATTCCTTTTCCACTGCTTTTGAGCAGCTAACGCTAACAGATCAAGAGGCCCCCATAGTTCTACCAGCTCCATTCTACCTCCATCCCTCTGTCTGTGAAGGTCTTGTGCCTGAGGCGGAGGAAGCTTCGGGAAAGCACTGACCTTCTGGATCATGATGGTGAAGGGACCCAGCATCTGGAATCCTCGAGTGAAATACATGACACTGCACCAGCCCAGCACCAGGGCAAAGGACATGGGCACCACCTCCCCATTGGTGTTGGTGAGCCGCATCACCATGGTCACCAGCACCAGGGAGGCATAGGTGATGCTGGGGGAGCAGAAAGCAGAGAGTGAGAGACAAGCTGGAACTATTTTAGGTCCCTACAGCATAGTGGTGACCGGGGTGGTATCCACACACTCAGGCTTAGTCTTTACACCTAAAACGCACATACAGTTACACCTACAAGTCCACTGGAGAGAAGTCCTTGGAGTGAGAGTGACCTGAGGCCTAGAACTCAGAGAGTGAGCTGGAGACAGGAAAAGATTCTGGTAAGGAAAGGCAGGGGGCTGGAATGAGGGGATACTCACATGATGACATGGAATGGCCCCCCAAGAATCGTCTTTCCAAAATAGCGAGAGGCACCAACCCTGAAGATGTCTGGAATCTGGGGAGAGGACGGCAAAGCAAAAATACAATGTGGACTGCGGTACAGTCTGGGCCTTAGATGGGATGGGATTAGCCTGGACCCCGCCTGCCCCTCACCTCTAGGAGCAGGATGATCACAGCCCCAACGATGCTCACCAGCTCCCCCACCAGCCTGATGATATCTTCACGTGTCTCATAGGCCTCCTATGTGGGGAAATTCAGAAGAAGTGCTTTCTGATGGGCAGAGTCAAATCCTTTTGTGCAAATGATCGAAAGCTGCTAAAGCCCATCCAAAATAAAGGAAACTCCCCTTCCCACCAGCATCACCCCACCCCCATTGTACTTGCCATTGTGGGTAACTCTGTGACCAGGACAGGAGTCTATGTATCCAAGGTTTAATAGACGTCACATATGCTAATGTCTTGAGCTACCATCTAGCAAAATCGCCTTTTCTATAGATGCTGTAAGCAGAAATTTATGATGTATATACTGAGCAGCTGAGAACACATTTCAGCGCATCAAGTGAGCTAACAGGAAGAGGTATTAGTGGCTTGGGATGGTTTCAGCTATGTGGAAAGTCCACCTTTTCCAACCTCATCATGGCTTCTAGTGGGAAGAATACACTGTAAACATATCACAGAATTCAGGTTCCCTCACGGATCCGGAATCTACTACCTCTAGTGAGACCTTGAACCATTCATGGAAAATCTCTGAACTTGAGTTTTCTCATCTGTAAAATGGAGGCTACAGTGCTTACCTCCCAGAGTCATTGTGAAGCTTACATTAATGATATATTTACATGAACTTTATAAATCATAAATCACTATAGATATATTCACTGTGGTTTTATGATGATTTGACATTACAGAAAAGAGCAGAGAAGGGGCTAGAGACACTATGAGGAAGGGTCCCTGCCTATCCTGAGCAGTAGTTGTAGAAGGTATAGTCCAAGGGTCAAGGTGGAATGAAGACCACCCTACTTCAATGCATGTTACTTCACGGTGAAACTTATGCAATATCACAGATGTAGTGCTAGAATCCTACATTAATTATCCTTATGTTTTTGAAGTTATGAGCTCACTTGAAAACATAATAAAAACTGTATATCTTCTTTCTACAAAACTGTGTTCCCATGTAGACAATTCCCACATGATATTGCACAAATAATTTCAACACATGCAAGCAGCCTTTTGACTTTTGGGAGCTCTGTTGTCCAAGGTCACATCTCCAAATAGTGCACCCAAGAAAGGAGTTGAGAGTCCCCTGGGGCCAGCAGGAAAGCTGATGATTTGAGCCAGGGAGAATGTGGTCCCTAGTTAGCATAAGGAACGGCAATTATCCCTGCTCTGCTAATCAGCTGGAACCTGTAAGCATCTCTCCAGACTCTACTGCAGCAGCACACTCACCTGCCCGGTGAGAGGCAGTGCTTTTAACACAGGGAACCAAGAGAGACTAGGAGAGAAGCTTCTGTCTGTGTGTCTGGAGAACTCTGTGGTCTAACAACCTGTGACCAGACATCAGTCAACACTTTTTTTTTTCTTTTTTGGCTTAAAAAATGGTATGCTCTGTAAACTTTTCTGACATTTATCTCTTGAGAAACTGGTAAATTTTATTTTATCATATAATAGCAAATTTCTTTTTTTACTTGCTTCCAAAGAATTTCAGAGTTTTTGTTTTGTTTTGTTCTATTTTTTTGTGTGTCTGGTTTTTTTTTGTGCGTTTTTTTTGTTTTGTTTTGTTTTGTTTTTTTGTCCTCAGCTCTAGCAGCTATCTTTGAATTCCTTCTCTTCTCTCCTGAAATTCAGTTCACGGACTGTGTTCTTTTTCTTTATCTTAATGTTTCTATAGCATCTGTCTTTTATTGTAAAACATGCCAACTCCTTCACAGAGTCAGGTAGTGAGTAGGAGGATAAATAACAAATACATTACTTCAGAAACAAAATAACATTAAATATAGAAATAACTGCATCTATGCCATATATGTGTCTATAAAAATATTTTTATTTTAAAAATGTCGTGTCTTGATTTAATATGTCTGAAAAGATGCTACCAATCTTTTCTTGGCTCAAGAAGAAAAGGACTACACATAAGTTGGCGAGGATGGCTGTGAAGATCAGGGTGCCCCTAGAATCCAGCCAGGGAGTCACAGCAGCCATTCCTTCAGGAGATGAAAATGTGAAACCCCTCTAATGCTGGGGACAGTTTTGGTCACCAAATTCTCCTGCTGGGGCTTCCTCTCACCAGTTCAACAGATTTCTTTACAAGTACGCATTACTCTGCACAAATTCACTAATGAGTAATGGAGGTGTTCAGAAACCCCAATTTTTTGCCTCTGCACTGCCTGGGATCTGACTGACCTAGAGTAGCTGCCTCCAGCACTCTGTCCCCGGGGTCCTTACCCTTAAACCAGGCTGCAAAGTGCCACAGACTCCTGAGAGCCCCCTTCCTTGCTGCTCTACAAGACCAGAATACAAACCCTTCTGTAGGGTTTTGTTTGCTTTGTTTTATAAACTAATCTCTCTGGAAAACAAAAACAATATATGTATGTAAAAGTTGCAATAGAAGTAATGATAATATTGGGCTTTTAAAGCACTTTGATTTTCTTTAGACTTTCTGGGGAACTCCAGTGTTTCACACTGATATAAAATGTTAGCTCTTGCTTTAGAATAGATACTCTTTGCAAAGGTAAGGAAGATTTCAGTATTTCAGAAATGGAAAGGGGCATTAAATTGAAGTGCTAATAGGCTTCCCTTTTAATTAACCACCCTTGCACCCCTAGAATTAAACCCTAAGCCCAAACTGTAATGGATGTTTCTTTTAATTTTAAAAATTTTATTCTTTGGGAATTGCATTCAAGATTTTTTTTTCTAGATTGAGATGCTGATTCACAACTCTCTAGATTTAGGGTCCTTATGAAAATATTGTTGCCTGGTTATGTTTGGCAAAGTAAATTATCAGGGCACCCATTCTCCAGCCTTACTCATTCAGTTCCCAATTCTCTCTGACATGTTTTCCTTTCCCTTGGTTAACAGAACTTATGCCTTAGGGCAAACCCATGCCATCTACCATCTAGTTTACCCTACATCTATTTCCGCTCATTCAACCCACCCCGCACAATGCTTCTGAATTGACCTTTCTAAAACACAGATATCATCCTGAGACTTATCTGTTTAACATCATTCCTAGCTCCCCAATGCCTTCAGAATAGAAATGCAGGAGAGGTGGCAGTGGAGAGTGTTCTTTAATCTTTATCGTCACAGAAATTCACTAGATAATGTCTAAATTTGATTAGCAAGTAGAGATAGAAGGATTTGATTCCAGGGATGTGGAGGTGATGACAGGAAGGAAGAGCTAAAAGAAAGAAAAACTGGTTGTCCCCTGTGAGTAAGACATGGGTGAGAAAGAGGGGCTGTCCAGGACGCAGTTGCTCTCTATCAGATCTGCCACTTGATTTGTAAGTCATGAGCACGATGTACGTCATTTTCTTTTAATTAGGAAAGCTCACTGTGAGATAAGAATTTAAAAAATAAAACCAGAGTACCAAACGGGATGTACAAAACCCTCCCTGCTATGGCCCCTGCCTTGTGTCCTCATACCCTGTGTGAGCTCTGGCCACATTGAGCTATTGGGGTTCTGGGTTGCTAAGTTGGGTCTCTGCACAGGCTATGCCACTTTGTCAGAATGCCTTCCTCCACCATGTTGACCTGGCTCACCCTCACCGATGCCTCAAGACTCAGGTCAGGCCAACACTCCTCCTGGGCCTCCTTTCCTGCCCCTCCATGCCCAGGTCATGTGTCTCTCCTGGGACATGTGGGGCTGCTGTGTATTGACAGCCCTCTCCCAGCACACTGAAAGTGTCTGGGTACCCCATGTCTCACCAGTAGTCTTAGAGCTTCCTGAGGGCAGGGATGCCTCCCTCCTACTTTTTATCCACAAATGCACACAATGTGGTAGGCACTCAGTTGGTAAGAAAGGAAAGAAGGAAGGAGAAAAAGGAGAGAGGAGACAGCAGGTGCAAGTTAAGCATTGCCTAAGAGACGCAGAAGGGTGGTAAGGAGGACAGGAAGCGGGGATGGAGAGACCTATCTGGAGGCCTAAGAGGAAAAGAATGACAACTAATCGTGCTTTTCTGAAATTTTCAGATTCCTAGATCAAGGTCACCTAAGCAGGCCTGGCTAACAACGCACAGAGAAGGTACTCCAATACATCCCTTTAAAAATAAATATCATCTAACAATGACTGGAATTTTTTACTCCACAACATGGCTTGCAATTTAATGAGCTTTCAACAACCAAATCCCCTATGCAGGCTGGCATTTATACGTCACTGAGAATTGGCCTAATGAGATTTGCTCTCACTTCCCAGCCAGCTGAGTTCATTGCCTGGAAGGAAATGCCCAGAAGGAGTGGGCAAAGCAGTGCCTGGGGCACTACTGGGTCGTAAGGGCCAGGGATGTACTATGTGGAAAGGATGGGGAACATAGGCCACCACAGTGGGAAGTGGGTAGGCCCCAGAACCAGTTGTCCAGCCCAGCTCTAGACCTTTTTCCCCCCCATGATCCCAGACTTGCAAAGGAATGAAGTTTTCAGAGAAAGCTCTGCTAGCTCTTACAAAGAGCTTCTCCGATTCCCTAACTGGGCATGAGTTCCTAACCAAGACTGCCCATCAGAATCAAGTGTTAAGTCTTTGTCACAACACACATGTCCAGGCCAACCCTGGGTTAATTTGGATCAAGAACCTGGCATTTACTTGAAAAGTTCTGTAGGCGTTTTGGACGTGTATCCCAAGTTGAGAACCGCTGGGCCATAAAGAGAGAGAGAGAGATCTGGTTCCCATGTAAGTCAAGCTGCCTTCCAAAGGTTAATTTCATGTCCCAGTCTCTGCATTTTCTCAGGGGTATTGGCTTGGGAGATTACCCCTTTCTTCTGAAGAGTCTCCACCCATTCCCACAGAATTATGACTTGCCCTATATGCCAGTAGGTTAACCCCATCAAAAAACAGTGCCAATTATCAAAACTGGAGAGGAGTATCTGGGGGTATGAATCAGTATCTGGGGGTATGAATCTTTCTATATCTGATCCTCTCCCACAGCACTTCTCAAGCGCCTCTCCTCTTGACAGGGAAAGATGAGATGTGTAGATACACGTGAGTGTGGCAAGCCCTGGCTAGCCAATAGAGAAGACTGGGACCTAGCACATCACTCTGGAGGGAGAAATGGCCTTGTCTGGTGTTTAAAGGTGAGGATTCTGAAGGGAGGCAGACTTGCAGCCCAATCCTAGTGCTGTCCTTGCTAGCTCAGTGTCTTTGCCAAATTATTCAACCTCTCTTGACATCAGATTCACCATCTTTAAAGTGGTGATGATTGCATTTATTTGTTAGGATTTCTACAAAGATTAAATGAAAGAATAATGCTTTGTCACTCAAAACGCGGTGCACAGAATCACAACATTGGCCTCACCTGGCAGCTTGCTGGAAATGCCAAGTCTCAGGTCCCACCCAGCCTTACTGTCAGAATCCACAGTTTAATAAGGCCTCAAAAACACTGATGAATGCATGTGTTCATGATCAGTGCTCAGTGGATGTTATTTTTACCTACCGGGCTCCCTGGTTCTCCTCATCTCTTTCCCTGTCTATAATGTGCTGTGCTTGTTCCACCATGAGTTGGTTAGGACCCCTCAACAAAGTTGTATAGAGTTGGCAATCAGTTGCTTTTCAAATAGCAGTGGTGCTTTGGATTGTTCAGAACTTACGAGGGATGATGATGTGTGGACAAATAGATCCCACGGACTGTGATAGGTAGAAGATGATTTTTAAAAGATGGAAACACAGTAGGGATGATTTTGCCTTCAATAAGTCTCCTGATGCCAATCCCTTCCCTCTATCTCCCCACTACATTCCTAGGCCAATCCACCATTTTTTTAAATTTATTTATTTTGAGACGGAGTCTCATACTGTCGCCTGGCCTGGAGTGCAATGGCGTGATCTCGGCTCACTGCAACCTCTGACTCCCACGTTCAAGCGATTCTCCTCTCTCAGCCTCCCGAATAGCTGGGATTACAGGTGCTCACCACCATGCCTGGCTAATTTTTTGTATTTTTAGGAGAGATGGGGTTTCACTATGTTGGCCAGGCTGGTCTCAAACTCCTGACCTCGTGATCCGCCGCCTCAGCCTCCCAAAGTGCTGGGATTACAAGCCTGAGCCACCGTGCCCAGCCAACATTATCTTTTGCTTGCTAAACTGTAATAGCCTCCTGACTGGTCTCCCAATGTCCTTCCTACCACCCCCCACATCTGTTACTCACCATGCAAGCAGAGTAATTTTTCTAAAACAAAAATTACTCTGTACATCCCCCTGTTTAAAATCCTTCTGACTTCCCATCCCCCTGGGGATAAAGCGTAAAACCCTTTAAGACTATATAATTTGAGAAGGATCTGTCTGGACAACCTCACCTGGAGGTACCCAACCCAACTCTCTGTGCTCTAGTGAATCTTCTTTCAGTTCCTAGACTTTGGTGAGGTTATTCCTGCCTTGAGGCGTTTGAATATGCATTCTTTCTGTCTAGAACTCTCTTTTCACGTTGAATTCATACCTAGATCTCAGCTCAGTCATCTTTCTCAGAAGCAGGCTCTGGCCTCCCAGAGGGACCAGGCCCCTGTTATAAGTTTTTTCCCCACTCTGTGCTTTTCTCATCATAAGAAAAAAATAATATTGATGCCAACAGTCACAGATTATAATGAAGTATCTATTTGTATGATCGTTTGATTAATACAAACCAGTCTGTAGACTCCAAGAAAGCAGACATCATGTGTGTTTTGCTCAGACCATGGCTGTTGAATTTCCAACACCTGGAACAGCTGTTTAGCCTATATGAGGCTCTCAATAATAATTTATTTAATGAATGGATTAGCAAAATATTTCTGGGAAAGAGAAAATCAAAGGAGGGCTCAAGAGAATCTTTTTCAAAAGTCAAAAAGGAGATGTGACGAGAAATTTGAACTCCCTGCTGAACAGTAATCCGGGAATCTAAATGACCAGAGTGGTGGGCCTAAGACTGGAAAGGCAGAGCTGCACTTACCTCAAAGATGGAAGCCACGGGTTCTCAACCTTGGCAGAACATTTGGCTCACTCAAAGAGTTTCTTAAAAATACCAAGGCCAGAGCCTCAGCTTCAGACATTCCAACTTATTAGGTCTACTAAAGTGTAGCCTAGGAGCTAGTCATTTTACTAGCTTCCTAGGTTTCTAGTGTACAGTCTGGGTTAAAAATCACAGATCTGGCAGGAAGTAGGATTTTCCTAAGGTCAAACAAGTATTAAATTTCAGAGTTAGGGCTAAAACCCGAGCTGCTGGACTCCAGGACTTTGAGCTTTTTACTCACCTGGAAACCTAAGAGAACTAGTACTATAGTGCATGCTGCTCTGCCTAAACCAAGTAGAAATATATGGAGATAAGAAGTTAACTCAAATTAATAGAGTTCTGGGAAATCTCTAGTAAAGCAGAACTTTTATGGCTGAGCAATGAGGTGTCTTAGAGTCATTAAGATAGCCCCCAAATTGGATAGAAATAAACTAACTCCAGCTTTACAAACATCAGCTTTTGTGTAGTTTTTTGCTACCTTATACAGAGGAATTTGTTTTCTCTCATCTGTTCTGAGATGGTGCTGTTGCACTACTCTTATAAAATGCCAGATATTAAACTAGAAAGGATCTTAGGGGTGATGGAGCCCAGTGATTTCCACAGATCCCAAGAGATCTGCAGAGGAAGTCCTGAAGTGACTGAGATCCCTGTGATCCCAGAGTTATTAATATAATTGGACAGTAAAGTATTCATTCATCTAAGAAAAAGCTCCACCAGCTAACTAATATGTCAACAATTGCATGAGTCAAATCAAGACACTGTATTTGTGCGTTTTCATTTTTTCTAAGACTTTCAAGTAAGAAAACAGTAGGAAAAAAAAGGAATTTCCTATTATTTAAAAAATCTGGTGCACTGTGAAAACAGAATCTTTCAAATCATGATGATAAGTTTAGGAGCCCCTGATCTAATCCAAATGGGCTTACTACTGAATAAGAAGAACATAGTCATCCCATAAATCAGGGCCAGGGCTCAAAGCATAGGGACTTTTCATTAGCGTTCTTTGTTATCTAACCCCTTCCAGCAGCATTCTCAATCCTCTTACCCACCCACTTCTCCACCAAGAAAAGAAT
Organism: Homo sapiens; assembly: GCF_000001405.40. NCBI lineage: Eukaryota > Metazoa > Chordata > Mammalia > Primates > Hominidae > Homo > Homo sapiens. Next base: position 142,923,571 of record NC_000007.14, read on the forward strand.
ATCTGAAAGTCCAAAGTCTTCTCTTTGAGCTGAAGTGGCTTTCACTGAAGCAGAAGGCAGAAAGGGTAAAAATGCCAAGGAACAAGAAGGAAGGCAGAAGAGAGAAAGAAAGAAGGATGGGTCAGGTGTTCAGCTATAATTATGCTTCTGAGTCCTGAAGCAAAGGAGGCGGTCTTTTACATACAGACTATCTGGATCAAAGAAATGTGATTGTACATAACTAGCCCTGTCCCAAAGAGAAAGAGACACACAGGAAGGAGAGTTTTGGTTATCAGTGGCTCAGCATTGCCCACCTTTTAACCCAGAGTCCTGTCTACCTTCAAAATGCAGAAAATCTCCAAGTAAATTTGAGACAAAGGAAGGTTGGAGAAGACATATCTGAGGAAATAGGGCCAGGAGCATTGGAAAAGTCCAGTCATCCCCACCTTGTTTGTGTTTTCTCAATTTCTAATCACTCCTCCCTCCACTTGCCATCTCCTAACTGTCCTTATTTTCCTCATGTCTCCATGCCAGGGACAACTTTTGCGGCCAGACTGAGATGCATGCAGCACAACTGCTTCCAGTGTCTCTAACACATTCAGGCTTGTCCTCCCCAGGCAGCAAGACCTACTTGGTGAGAGGCAGTGTATCTGGACACATGACACACTGTATATATATACATATATATATATATACATATACATGTATATATATACATATATATATATATACATATACATGTATATATATACATATATATATACACACATATACATGTATATATATACATATATATATATATAGACATATACATGTATATATATACATATATATATATATATACATATACATGTATATATATAAAGGCAATTCTAAAAACAGGAGAGATGGAGTGTCTCTACCTAGCATAGGGTTCATTTGGGCTCTTTGCCCTGTTCTTTCTCTGTGCATATCGCTGTCTTTGGTCTAAACAAATTCAGGATTTTTGCTTCTTGGCTATAGAAAGTTTATATTCTCTTTCCGACTGAAACTACCCTGCTTCCTAGTCCAGGCTGAGCTATACCTATGGCTGCTCTCTCCTGCATTGAGATAAATCTCCAATCACTCAGTTCTCACTTGCTTTGCAAAATTCTTTTTCCTGGTCTTTTGCTTTCTGCTACATACCTACATCACCTTCTGTGTATTTTCAGCTCACCAGGACAAAAATTTTAGTAATCCACAAAGAGTCAACCCCTCAAATATAGCTACAGTTGTTAAATATATATATTCAGAAGTGCTCATTAGAGTCTACCCTTTCTGTTGCACAAAAAGGAGGTTTACTTTCTTCAACAGCAGATTTCTATATTTACTGTGTACCTCGAATCAGTCCTCTTCCTAACCCTAGTTTTCCCTTGGCCACCACAACACAGAATGGCAGGCCCACAACACTAAATGGAGCCTCAGAGAGTATTTACTTCAGCCTGATACCCAATCCAGACATCCTTCTGCAGAGTGTCTGACAGGCAGTCAGACAGCTGACACATTATTCCCATGGGCCCATATAGACAGCACACAGAAGAGGGTGCAGGCCAGCAGGGCTGTCTGTGTTGCCCAAATACAACAAAAATGGACTCAGAAATGGACTTGGAGCACAATTTTCCTCCTTTTGAGCAATAGAGTTTACCTTGAACATCCCACTAAAAAACCCTGATACTTTTTGTAAATTACCAAAAAATTTCACAAAAGCACAGGCTTACTCATGCCAAGCACTCTTTCAAAGTTTGTGTGAGAAAATCCACAGCTCCCTGGACAAATGCTCTTGTGCTCATTAAACCCCATCTGTGGCCTCCTGGTCTCATGTCTAATTTCTACCTGGGTGTTTAGGAGCCTACACCTGCTGGAACCCAGAGCGTGGCATCGTCCCTGAGTAGCATGGCTTCGTTTCCAGCACCATCACCCCTTGATGCAATTCTCTCTCATCCCCTTCTGAGGAGAATCACCTGTAGTAGTTTTTGCTGGAGGATGGTGATGTCTCGAGAATGAGTGCGGTTGCCACCACGAAACTTAAGGGGGCGGTAGACGCAGCACGTAGTAAAGCAGATCATGTAGAGCAGGTACAAGGCAGCCAGGATGCAGAAGTACGGCCGGCCATACTTGTTCCACTTGAAGCTCACCAGCTCCTTCACTGGGGTCTGTTCCAGAATTTGGCGAGCCTGGCATGGAAGTAGAGTGAAACTTGGGGTGACCAACACAGAAGGATGTTGTTTATCCCACTGGGGGCCAGAAGAGGCAGGGCAGCAACCATCACTCACTCAGCTCATCAGTCACTTATTTGACGGACAAATAGTATATTTCCTGCATATGGCTGGGCCTTGTGCTAGTGATACAGGTAAATGACTATAGCAGTAAACACAAGGCACCATAGCACCAAAGAGGATTTAAAGGATGAGTAGTAGTTAGATGAGTAAAGGGAGAGTTAGGAAAGATCATACCATAAGCTAACAGCAGTTGCCAGGTCAGGAAGGTCTGAGAAGCCATTGCCCATTTGCAGTTGAGATGTGGTTGGGGAGAGGGGAGAATCTATTGGGAGTGGTAGTCAGAAATGATAATGACTGAGGAAGAACAGGGCCAGGTCATCATGCATCATAAATGCCAAGGTAGGAAGTTTGCATTTTTTGTTTTTTCTAAATATAACAGAAAGCAACTGGGGAGTTCAAGCAGGGAAGTGGTCAGATTTGCTCTAGAAGTATTATTGGGCTGGAAAGAAGCAATGGAGGTTACAGGCAGTAGGATGTGGCAGGGTGGGATGGTGCTCTGAAATAAGCAGCCAGTGAGACGTTAAAGATACACAGGAGAGGGGATGATGGACGGGAGGAGGCATCTGAGAAATTAGAAAGAGACAGATTCAAAGCACAGTAGAGTGATTAGCCATTAACAGCATGAATATCTTTTCTACTGAAGCTGGAGGGGAGGAGAGAGACAGTGGGCAGTTTCCAGACATGCTCGGCAGTGTAGGGCAGGAAGCTGAAGGATCCCCAGCCAGAAAGCCTCTATTTTTGTCCTAAATCAGGAGTCTAGGTCTTCTGAACTGCAGCTGAAGGTAGTGAAGGATGTGAAAGGGGGCTAGAAAGGAAGATTTATGGAGGAAAAAAGCAACTGACCCAAGACACTTATGAAACCTGCTGGAGAATATTGAGAATAGCTTAAATCAAAGACCAAGGATATGTGGTGGCGAAATCCACACAGTGGGATTGTGCTTTTAATACCTAAGAAATCCTGCTCAAAGTGTATCTGTTTCCAGGGATATTCTCTGAGGAAGATCTCACAAACTAGCCACTCAACTTTTCTTCTATTCGTTAGTATTAATAATCATTCATGTTTTCTGGATCTATAAGGATTCCTGGGAAATTGTCACTGTGGCAGATACAAAACAGAAACTACATCTTGGCACTCTCATGGAACGTTCTGAAACCTGGAAGTCTTTTCTCCTCTCTACTGCAGTCTTCAACAAATTTTCGTTTCCCTCACATCACTCAACCCAGCATTGTTGAATGGTCTATACGTTGCTCCCTCTCTAAAAAGCTCTTTTTTTTCTCTCATCTTCCTGTGACTCCCAATTCTTCCTTGAAGATCCAGCCCCAGCATTTCCTCTGTGACATCTTCTCTGGTCTATCCAAGCCAAGTTAACTCTACCTCAATGTGGCTGTCTGCATGCATGGTACACACAACTATTACGGCATATGTCATGCTCTGTTGCAATTATTCAGGACAGGGACTGAGAATTGAGGAAGTTGATGAACAGGAACTGTGTTGTATTTATTTCTGTACTGTTTGTTTCTTGTGCAGTGCCTGACATACAGCGGGTGTTCAATATGCTTGTATTAGTCCATTCTCATATTACTATAAAGAACTACCTGGCACAGGGTAATTTATAAATAAAAAGGTTTAATTGGCTCATGGTTCTGCAGGCTGTACAGGTTCTGGAGAGGCCTGAGGAAACGTACAATCATGGCAAAAGGCCAAGAAGAAAGCAGGCACATCCTACATGGCCGGAGCAGGAGGAAGAGAGAGCAGGAGGAAGAGAGAGCAGGGGGAGGTGCCACACACTTTTAAACAACCGGATCTTGTGAAAACTCACTATCACGAGAACATCAAGAGGGAAGTCTGTCCCCATGATCCAATCACCTCCCACCAGGCCCCTTCTCCAACACTGTGGATTACAATTTGACATGAAATTTTTGCATTTGGACACAAATGCAAACCATATCAATGCTGAACCAATGAATGAATATGAGGAAACAGCTCTTATTTGGAGTTTCTCATCTGAAATGATAGAAGGCGAAAGGTAGGCAGAAGGGACTGGAGCTAAGCAGAGAGACAGGGGATTCAGGAGAGGAGTGTGCATTGGACTTTCCCCCATGTCCCAGGAGACTATTCTCATCTCCACCTATTATAAGGCTGGGAAGTGTCTCAGGCCCAGGATCTTAGTAAGTGGACAGACTCTGCACAAACACTAAATTCCCTCACATGACAGGCCTGATCCTCCTTGGCATCCATACCTCTCGTTTATCAGAGGAGACCACAAGCTCCAGGAAGGACAGCTCCTCTCCCCAGGAGTCGATCTCCGTGAGGTCGTAGAGAATGGAGGTCAGGGGTCCATACGTCCACTGGATGTGCCTCCGCTTCTGCATCAGGTGCTGGAACATCTGAGAGACCACCAGGATGAGTCAGGGGGCCAACGTGTGAGAAGGTGGTCGAGGAGAACAACTCCATTGGATGGAGCCAGTTGCCCACCCCTTGAGACAGACAGACAGTGGGAACCAGCAAACCTCTGCATCTACAAGCTTTCCCTTTTTTGTCATCTTTCCTGCTCCAAAACCCCAGAAAGTGCAGAAAGAAGAAAATAGGCAAAGGAAGCTAGAGCTTTGGGTTATCACAGCACATGCATTAAGGTAAGGTTCTCAAATCCTCTTGAGTCAAGGACCATGAAGCTGAAGATTTCAGTGATGGAATAGGAAGCAAGGGACCACCATCCCTTTGGGGAGTTTGGGGAAAAGGGATTTTAGAGAAAGGTGGGCCCTTCACCTCTATTTCTCCCAGGGCCAGCAGGATAGGTTGAGGGTCATTAGAAAGACACCTCAGGGATGGGGAGCGTCTCTTACCACAGTGTTACCCTCCACTCCAGCCAGCTTGAAGGGGGTGAGACCCTGGTGATTGGGCACAAGGTCCAGGGGCTGCAGGTGGTCCCCATGTCCATCATAGGACAGCAGCAGGTTGTACATCTGGCAGGCAAAGGTTTTGTTGGGCTGGAGGATGAGGATGTGTAATACTGTGTTTCCTGGGGAGGACGCAGGGTATCATGTGGCCACTGGCCTAAAGTCCCTGATGTCCCCATCCCCACTCTGGGGTCTTCCTAAAGGTCCCAGCTCCACTCCTTACCCTGTCCCTCGCTCCCCACAGCATCCCAGCTCCCCTCCCCATCCCAGCTCTTACCCAGGGAGTCCTGGGCCCTGATGTCAGCTCCATGCTCAATGAGCAGCCGCACGATCTCCTCGCTGTTCACACAGGCAGCAAAGGACAAAGGGTGCTCCCCTGTGGACACAGAGAGATCCATGGCAGGAGAACGCAGGATGGCAGGATGGGGTGGGCAGTCTCCCCCAAATAAGGGCCTCCTCCTCATCCCCCATATCTCAGTTCTAGGCTGAGGGACACTCGTCCAGCAGAACCAGAGGAAGGAACCATCAGGGGAATGGGCCTCTGGCTTAATTAAGCCCTAGAAGGGCTGCCCCTCTCAACTGCCCAACAGATGGAGCTGAAGGCAGGACCCTCATGCCCTGGCCTCCCTCTGCCTTGCCCGCCTCTCCAGCCAACCATCCTTCAAGCCCAACCCTGCTCTCACCAAAGTAGATGAGGTTGCGGGGACTATGGCGGAAGGCAGTGCCTGTGGCTCTGGCAGAGACACTGGCCCTGCGGGTGAGCAGGGCACGCACCAGGTTCACATTCTGGTTCACAACAGCGATGTGCAGTGCAGTCTGACCTGGCCCAGAGACAGCCATCATCAGGGTCTCCCTCTGTCCCCAGTTCTCTCAGGGACACAGCATCCCCCACCATCCCTCTCAGGAGGTTCCTGATAGATCTTTGCTAGACTTCTGCCCTGGGCTTGGCAGGGTGGCCTGGGACTAAGAGCAATTCATCCCTCAGGCTGCCCTGCTCATTGACCTACCCTTCAGTTATTGGGAGCCAGCAGGGGATTGCTATGAATATAATCATTCTCATGTTGCTATGAGAGAAAGAAATTGAGATAGGTCCTACAGGGACTATGGGAGGTTTGAAAGGAAATGCTGAAGGAAGCCACAGATTGGTAAAAGCCAAGACCAGGACCTTTGCATTTCTCCCAACTCAACGGAGCCCATCCTCCTGACCCTCCATCACCCCACCCCAACCCATCCTTCAGAGGCCAATTTTAAGAGACAACAGCACACCCTCCATCTCAAAGTTTCCACCTTGAATTACCATGTAGGCTCCTTACCTGCAAAAGCCTCACATGTGGTGGGCTCAAAGACCAGCTCTGGGGCAGCCTCCATCAGCACCAAGGCCGCCTCCAAGTTGTCATAGAGGGCTGCTATGTGCAGCGCCGTCTCCCCCAGGGCTCCTGGATTGGAGTAAGACAGAGATGTTAGACACTTTTCAGATTCCCTTGAGGAAGGGGCCTCAGGCTCCAGAGACACCCTCCAAGGCCCTATTTCACAAACTCGAAGTCTTGGGGAGGAGGAGTAGGTTCTTCTGCCCCCACCTCCATCCCATTAAATCCAGATCCCACCTCTTTGTCGAACGTCACAGGTGCAGTCCAGTAGAAGTTGCCTAAGAACAGACAGGTCATTTTCCTTGGATGCTCGAAGCAGTGGAGACTCTAGAATCCTGGGGAAAGGTGAACGTGAGTTTGGAAGAGACAGTCATAGCAGAATGAGGCCAAGAGCAAAGGGGATCTAAGACATTCTTTAAGACCAACGTGACTCACACAGCGTGCAGTGACAAATTGGAAAGAAGTGCCTACTGGACTCGAATGACCGAGGGTGGACTTGGGCAAGGGTCAGCCCCAGGGCCTTCCTTGCAATTCACATCATGGTGATTCTCCTGTGAGGATGGCCCTTGAAGCTCTGCTGGAGGGGAAGAGTTAATAGGAAGAGAACCTGTAGTCTGGAAAGAGTGGTCTGAGAGTCTCTAAGAAGAGGACCCTAGGCTTGGCTGAATTCATCTAACCTGAGTAACTGTCTCAGATCCTGGATAGTTGGAGAGCGGGACAGAGGGCACTTCCATCTGCGGTCCCCCTGCTCCTGGGCCTGCTGAATCTACTGTCTTTAACCAAGGGGAGTTTGGGAGACCAAAACACAGAGGGAGGAGGAATGGATCGACTGCTAGATCTTTCCTAGGCATTTTGAAATTTGTGAAATTTGTGAGGCACTAAAGTTCTGACTACTCCCTCAGGCTATTTTTTTTTTTTTTTTTTTTTTTGAGACAGAGTCTTGCTCTGTTGCCTAGGCTGGAGTGCAGTGGTACAATCTCAGCTTACCGCAGCCTCTGCCTCCCAGGTTCAAGCAATTCTTGTGCCTCAGTCTCCCGAGTAGCTGGGATTACAGGCACGCACCACCACGCCCAGCTAATTTTTTGTATTTTTAGTAGAGATGGGGTTTTGCCATGTTGGCCAGGCTGATCTCGAACTCCTGAGCTCAGGCAATCCGCCTGCCTTGGCCTCCCAAAGTGCTGGGATTACATTGCGCCCAGCATCCTCAGGTTATTTAGATACAGGTCCCTGCAGGGGGTGGAGAGTTGTGGGGTGAGTTACAGGGTGCCTCTTTCTTCTGCATTATACCCTTAGATGCAAAGGTCTAAACAGCTTGTTTATGTGGGTGTCTCAAGGCAAAACAGGTTGAGATACTCATTCTACAGGACCTCTGTTAATCTTTGCTTCTACCATACCCAGATTTGAACCCAGAAAGAGATAAAGCTGGAGCCTCTCCAACTAGACATATGTGTATTGGCCCCAAAGGCAAGCACATGGTGTAGGGGGAAGAACAGAAAGGACAGGCCGATGAGTGGCTCCTCTGAGGTCCCCACCTCCAAATCCCTCTCTTCCAATAGCCCCAGGAGCCAGGGCGAAAAAGTGTTTTTATTTTATTTATTTATTTTTTTTGAGACGAAGTCTCACTCTATTGCCCAGACTGGAGTGCAGTGGTGCGATCTCGGCTCACTGCAACTTCCGCCTCCTGGGTTCAAGTGATTCTCCTGCCTCAGCCTCCCGAGTAGCTGGGACTACAGGTGCCCACCACCATGCCTGACTAGTTTTTTTATTTTTGGTAGAGACGGGGTTTCAGCATGTTGGCCAGGCTGCTCTCGAACTCCTGACCTCAGGTGATCCACCCATCTCGGCCTCCCAAAGTGCTGGGATTACAGGTGTGAGCCACCACGCCCAGCCAAAGTGTTTTCATTTAAAGAAGAAGCTTTTAATCTAAAGGTGGGGCCTGGTTTTACCTGTTAAGGCAGTGCTCCTAGGAGGGGCCTTTGTGAGGAGTCAGTTCCCTGCCCCGTCTCACCCAGGGAATCAGTCCCAGGGAGCCTGGTGTCCCTGACCAGCCTAGAGTGGTCAGGGCTGAGATTGCAAATTCACCCCCATCCTGAGGCCACTGCACAAACAAAGTCCTTGCCTCCCTGGCCCTCTATCCCCACTGCCCCTCTGCAGAGGGTCCAAGTTGGGGCTGGAAGCTCACTTTCTCAGAGACCCAGGGGTCCCACTCTAAAGCAGGAAGGTGAGATTCCACTGGAGGTATTGGGTGGGGAGATGAGGAAGCAGAGGGCTTGACAGTATGAGGGCTCAGAGGTACTTGGGACCAGGCCCAGTGTAAACTGCAAATGCAGGACCCCTTGTTCAAAATTATTAAGAACTTGAAGATGAGGACAGCAGGGCATTGAACAAAGCACAGGAATCTTCTGGAGTACAGGGGAGCCCTTTGTGACTGCTAATGTCTGCTCAACAACCTCACCCCTCAGGCAGCTGTTGGGTGGGAGGCAAGCCCCAAAACACTTGGAGGAAGAAGCAGCCCACAGGATTCGTCCCTGCCCCAGCTGCTCTTCCTGGGACTGGACCTCAGGGCTAAGCCATGAAATGATTTACCTGCAGGTGTGCTAGCCCTGCCCGAACTAAGAGCTCTCCAGGAGCAGGCACAAGTCTCATTCAATCTTTATGTCATTGGGATCTAACACCCCTCTGCACACAGTAGACTCAATAAAAGGCAGATGGACTGAACTCAGAGCCCTCCAGTGTCACCTGAGCTGCCCTCCTCCACTGGTCAGCACCCAGTGTTACACCAAACAAAGCGCTCCTCCCCTTTCCCACACAGTCCACTTTCATTCAAATGAATGGCGTTTCCTTATCGTGCTTCCACCACCCACAGGAGTGCATCCCTTCTTCAGCAGCCTGCTTCTGCCTTCCCTCCCCATCCCACACAACCTGGCTTCTTCCCTCTGGTCCTTTTTGGTCCTTTCACTCCCCCTTGGCTGTCATTCTGCCTCTGTCCTTAGGTCTACCCTCAAGATTTTCCTGTGTGGCCCAAAGCCACATCCTCCACCGCCACTAAAAGGGGCCAGCTGGGATTCTGTAATTAGGTGGGCTGGAAGGAAAGGGTATGTCTGAGTGACTGGCACTGACAATACACTTCTAGGGTGCTGTATTCGGAAAGCAGGCCCAGGTGGGTCAGAGGGTCTGAGGATCACGGCGGTAGGGCCACGGATCGTTCTAGGAAGCCTACCTCTTCTGCTGCAGCATATGAAGCTTGTCCAGGTGCTGGTCCCAGTCTTGTTCTCTGACCAGAAAGGAGGGCAGAAGTTTCTGGAGTTGGCTCCCGGGCCCTTCTGCCTTAGGTAGAAAACCCCCCATGTCTTCTCCTTGCAGACACTGGCAGATTATAGAAATGTGGCGAAAGAAACAGGTCTAGGATGACAGCAACTGAGCAAGAGATGGGGTCTATTTGGGGCTGGGACTCTGAGTTTATCTCCTGTATGACTTGTGTATGCAGCATGCAGCTTGTAGGTGTGTGTGTGTGCATGCAGTATGTGGGTTGTGGGGTGTGCGTGTATGCACAGTGTGTGGCTGTGGTGTATGTGTGTGCATGCAGTGTGTGGTTGTGAGGTGGTGTGTGTGCATGCAGGTGCGCTGAGGGGACTGACCGCCCTGCCTGGGGAGAAGTGCTTTTCCTGGAGGGGGAGGAGCTCTTTGCAGAGCTGAGCCCCACAGCCACAGAACCACCCTGGGGAAGAAAAGGAGGAGGGGAAGGAAGGTTCCTAACTGTGGGCTGGGATGGCTGAGACCCGAGAAGCTAAGAGGTGGGGCAGAGGAATTTGGAAAAAGAAAAGGGATGGAAGGTGGGTCCACAAACAAGGTGCACAGTTAGTTGCATGAGGGAGAGGAGGAAATAAAGACTTCCAGCTCAAGAGTCAGGCAGAGCCTGGTTCAAATCCTGACTCTTATCCCTTACAGTTAGGTGAGCTTTCTGAGCCTCAGTTCCTAACCTGTGAAATTGGGGTAACGGCTATGCCGTCTCACGGGAGCATCTGTAAAGCATGTGTCACAAGTACTCAATCACTGCCGATCCTCCTTCCACAAGAGGGCTCAAGAGACCCCCGGGCTGCTTCTCAGAGCTTCCCATTTATGTGTCTTGTGGTCATCTCTGTCCTCAACCCTGTACCTCAAAGGAGGGTTTCTGACCCCCACTTCCCAGGCCAATCCCTCTCTGTGAGAAGTCCTCATGACCGTGACCGGCCAGCTTCCTGGAGCGTCGCCGAGCAGGCTCTGGTACCTGGGGACGCAGGTCAGAGGAGCCCCCAGGGGCCTCGAGTTATTATGGAGGTTGAACAGCAGAAACTGAGCAAAGGTAGACGACAAATAAATCGTGATTCCATGTTTGGGACTCTTTCCAGGAATGAAACACCAGGAGGAATAAGTAATGTTGCACTATTTTATATATTTTATATTATATTTTATATATTAAGTAGTTTCCCTTATCCACAGTTTCACTCTCTGATGGTTCAGTTACCTAAGGTCAGCCACAGTTGGAAAATAGGTGAGTACAGTACTATAACATATTTTGAGAGACAGAGAGAAAGAGAACATTCACATAACTTTATATTATTATAATTTTCATTTTATTGTTGTTAAACTCTTTTTTTTTTTTTTTTGAGACAGAGTTTCACTTTCGTTGCCCAGGCTGGAGAGCAATGGTGTGATCTTGGCTCACTGCAACATCCACCTTCCAGGTTCAAGTTATTCTCCTGCCGCAGCCTCCCTAGTAGCTGGGATTACAGGTGCCCACCACCACGCCTGGCTAATTTTTGTATTTTTAGTAGAGACAGGGTTTTACCATGTTGGCCAGGCTAGTCTCGAACTCCTGACCTCAGGTGATCTGCTTGCCTCGGCCTCCTGAAGTGCTGGGATTACAGGCGTGAGTCACTATGCCCGGCCTAAACTCTTCACTGTGCCTAATGTATAAATTAAACTTCATCATATGTATGTATGTATGTATGTATGTATGTATGTATGTATGTATGTATGTACGTGTAGGAAAAAAGATAGTATATACAGGGTTTGGTGCTATCTAAGGTTCCTGGCATCCACTGGGGCGTCTTGGAATGTATCCCCTGAGGATAAAAGGTGACTACTGTATATGATAGCTTGTATTTATGTTCTCATTTTTTTTATTATTATACTTTAAGTTCTAGGGTACATGTGCACAATATGCAGGTTTGTTACATATGTATACATGTGCCATGTTGGTGTGCTGCACCCATTAACTGTCATTTACATTAGGTATATCTCCTAATGTATCCCTCCCCCCTCCCCCAACCCCACGACAGGTCCTGGTGTGTGATGTTCCCCTTCCTGTGTCCAAGTGTTCTCATTGTTCAATTCTGTTCTCATTGTTTTCAAAGAGGTACATCAATATTATTGAATTGCATTCACTCAATAGACCTATCAGGTAAATGAGAACAAGGAAGAATTCCGTCTGTGAGAATTCTTGGGTGTGCTGGCCCCAAGTCCCATGGCTAGTGGCGAGACTGTAACTGGCCATGAACTTGGGATCTCAGCTCCAAACCACTCTCCAGACCTTGTTGCTTCTTGGGAATCTTTTGGCTGTAAAGGTGTGAGAGACCAGCGTGAGGATACGCTGGGACTCTCCCTCTGGGGGTCTTGAGGAGTGGGGACTGCCCCCTTCTTTTGTTGTAAGAAAGAGAGATCTGCTCCCAAGATTGAGGGATGGACAAAATAACCTTTAGAGAAGGACAAGAATTGAAAGGAAAATAAATAAGGAAACTAAGAGGAGCTAGTGTTCATTGATGTTTCAAAAGGGGGAAAATTTGGATCTTTTTCTTATTAAAAGCCAAAAGGAAAAGTTAAGTAAAAAAAAAAAAAGATACAGTGGAATTATGTTCTCACTGGGAGTGGGGAGGGCTCAACTTGTGGGACATTTTTCTGCCTCGCTGGGGGTGACGCCCTTGTGGAGTGACTTCCAGTCTAAGGAGATGGAGGGAGCGATAAGGGTGAGGTGGGGGTTGTAGATGCCTTGATAAGCGAGGCAGGTCAGGAAAGGAGCACCTGCCAAGGAAACTACAACCCATAAAGCTGGTCCTGGGGCGGGGGGGTTGGGACATGGGGGGCCGGCAGGGGAGGAGGCTGGCCCAGTCTGAGCTGCACAGAGCAGGTGTGCAGGGACTTGCCGCCAAGGGCATGTCCAGGGGTCTGGGGAAGAGAAAGGGGAGGCCCAATGCTCAGGCCCCCCCACCCGCCATCCCTGGGCCTTCGCCCTCTCACTTGCCCTTCTCTGCCTACCTCGTCCTCTCCAGTGGGAAGGGCATGGACAAGTAACCTGGGTGAGGACCATGGTGTCCCCCGGCAGTCCCAGCTGGTAGACCAGAGATTTGGAGTCTCTCCTGTTCTCTCCTTGCCTTCTCTCCAGACTGTTTCTTCCTCTTGTGATATTCGACATCACCATTCTATTTTTCCTTTTCTCTCCTTTCTTTTCATGCCTCTCTCAGCTTTCTGCAAGTGAGGACATCTGCAAACTCTCGCCTTCAGAGAGCAGCTTCCCTGCCACTGATGAATGGTCAGTAATGCCTCCAGGCACTCGGGAGAACTGGGCTGGGGGCACCAAACTACACCGTCAAGTCCCAGAACCCTTCACGCCAAAGCAGCCTGACCTCTTATTCTAACATAATAAAGAGGAGGAGGAACCATAATACCTAGATTTCCATTTTTAAAAATTACACTCCCACCCTACGTGGCCACAGCCATCTACGAAAAGGATTCAGGGCCGGATGCGGTGGCTCATGCCTGTAATCCCAGCACTTTGGGAGGCCGAGGCGGGCGCCTCACGAGGTCAGGAGTTCGAGACCAGCCTGGCCAACATAGTGAAACTCCGTCTCTACAAAAAAAAATTAGCTGGGCCTGGTGGCAGGCACATGCAATCCCAGCTACTCAGAAGGCTGAGGCAGGAGAATCACTTGAACCCGGGAGGTGGAGGTTGCAGTGAGCTGAAATTGCGCCTTTGCACTCCAGCCCAGGCAACAGTATGAGAGACTCCATCTCAAAAAAAAAAAAATAGAAAGAAAGAAAAGGATTCAAATACCATACCTTAAAACTAACTGTGGCCAGGCGCAGTGGCTCACACCGGTAATCCCAGCACTTTGGGAGGCCGAGGCGGGCAGATCACCTGAGGTAGGGAGTTCGAGACCTTCCTGACCAACAGAAAGAAACCCTTTCTCTATTAAAAATACAAAATTAGCTGGGTGTGGTGGCACATGCCTGTAATTCCAGCTACTCGGGAGGCTGAGACAGGAGAATCACTTGAACCCAGGAGGTGGAGGTTGTAGGTGAGCTGAGATCGTGCCATTGCCCTCCCGTCTGGGCAACAAGAGTGAGACTCCATCTCAAAAAAAAAAAAGTGATTATCACTGGATGGTGGAATTATTAGCCTTTTTGGGGTTTTGTATTTTTCTATATTTTCTACTTTGTAATAAGAAAAAATATTTAAGGGATTCCCTGTTTTCTGCAAGAATTTATCTCTTTTAACACTGCGGAGGTCAGGCGGGTGGTGGTGGCAAGGAAATGGAAGTAATGGAAACAACTCAGTTATTTCCACTCAAGCCTGCCCGGGAGGCAATTCTCACCCCAGCCGCCCTCCCCATTCATTCCCACAGAGCTGGAGATGGCTTCTCTTTTTGCCAGGAAACCAAGAGGCTGCTCCCCCAAAATAGCCAGGAGGGAGGAGATTAGTGATGGTTTTTTCCATTCAAGCATCATTCTTTGGATCTCACGTCAATGGGTTCAAGGTGGGGTGAGCAGGGTCACCTGCCTACTTGAATCTTTCCTTACTCACCTTCAAGCGACCTCCGTACCACTCCCTAGTCCCTTGTCATCTGGCTTGGACCATCAGGAAGTGTGTAAGAGATGGTGTCTGCTGTATGTGAGACAGCATCCATGTGGGCATGTCTGCTAACACGAGTAAACTCTGTGGGAAAGCATCTCTTTGTGTGTTTCTGTCTGCAGTTCCCTCTTGCAGAAAGGGTGCCTGTCTCCGCAGTGTCCTTGGACCTGCATGTGGTATTTCATTCAGGTCTGGTATGCATGGATGAGCAGGAGCAGTGTGAACTGGTTATGAGAGTTCAGGAGTGACTAAAGTCTTCTCTTACCTGTCTTAGCAGCCATCCTGCATCTAATGGCCTATGTCTCTGTTGCTGGTTTTCGAAAAAAGGCCTTCATTCTGTCTCCCTAACTCACAACCCTCCAACCATCTCTGCCCAAGAAGCAGTTGGGGGTGATTACCCACAGCCGGTTACTGCCAACAGATCTGTGCTCACCAGGCTCATGGGCAGGAGGCGCATCCAAGTACTGAGGCAGGATTCTCCCAGATCTGTTATTTGGGATCCTAGACTCCCTGCCGCACTGCGGCTTCTCTGCAGACTCTAACTCCTTTTGCCAAGCAATGAGGTTGGAGATGAGCCTCTAACAACCTTTTCTTTCGTCTAAGAGTACAGAAAGGTGTAAAATGAAAGAAGAGGGTGTTTCAACCTGGTGGTACAAGAGGACAAAGGCTAGAAAAGTGGGAAAACCAGGGGAGGGTGAAGAGAGGGTGTGAATGGGCTCTACCAGCTGCAAGGCACCCTGCTCTTTGTCTCTCGCTCTCTCTCCGTTCACTCTCTCTTCATCTGTCTCTCTGTCTCTGCGTCTCTATCTCTCTGTCTCTACCCCTCAGTTTCTGCCTGTCTCGGTCTCTTTCTTTCTCTCTTTTTCTATGTCTCTGTCTGTCTCTGCCTGTCTATGCCTGTCTCTGTCTCTGTGTCTTTTATACACACACACAGCATGTGCTTTTACCCATCCTTACCCTATGCTCCTCCCCATCTTTATTTTCTGGCAGACCCATGCTTCATGTAGAGCAGCATGTTCATACCCACGACTTGAGAATCCTGTCCGGCTCATCTGTTCTGGGCCTCATCCTATGCAAACCACTCTTGTTACAGAAAGGCCACATAGAATAGTGGGAAGATATCATATTTAAAAGTAAAAGTTAATCAAGAGTCCTTTTCTGCCCCTTAGTATTTGGGCGATTTTGAGTGAGAGAGTCATTTTTTCTGTGAGCCTCAGTTTCCTCATGAATGTAATAGATATGAGAACACTATGATTTTGCAGTCCTGGTTTCTACGTGGATCTAATGGTGTAATGGATATGAATGTACATTGCAAGCTGTTAAGTCATTTCTGCTAAATACAGAATGACCCACTGTGGTCATCTTGGAAGCCTCGGCCATCCCTGCTGGCTGTGCTCCATTCTTGTGCCTCGCCATTGGAACGCTCTAGTGAGCCGGAATGAAGTTCAGGCCCATGGCTGTGATGTCACAGAACATGTGAAGTCAGAGGTCCTATGGAAGGTGAGGGGAGAAAATGCCCCTGGAAAGGGTTAAGGGCCAGGACAGGAATGGGGCAGGAGGTGCACGGATCCTGCTGGGCACTGGGAGCAGGGGGCGGCCAAAGGCAGTGGGTGGGCAGGTCCATGCCTCCCCTGGCCCCCCAGCTCTGCAGGGCAGTGTTCCTGGTTCCTATCTTGCTGCTGCTGCAGGTGAAGCCTCTGAACGGGAGCCCAGGCCCCAAAGATGGGAGCCAGACAGAGAAAACGCCCTCTGCAGGTAGGTGGAAAAAAAGACAGGAGCCATACAGAGAAAACACCCTCTTCAGGTAGGTAGAAAAAAAGACGGGAGAGTCTGGAGGCTCAGGGTGAGGTCTGTGTGAGGCCAGGCCCCAGGTCACTGATGAGGCTAGGGTGAGACCTGACATAGGTCTGGTTTATGGGGGGTAACTCCAGCCACTGATGGTTATCATGTGAAATAATAGTGTCGGCTCACCATGGGCCAGCTGAGCTTGCATGCAACTTCTGTGTGTGTAAGCATGGTGCATTTGGCTGGCTTTTGTCATGCTTCAAGGTGGCCCCTGACTCCCCCAGTGTTGAAACCCTAGAGGAGGCAGCTAACCTTAGGAATGGTGTGTGTGTGTGTGTGTGTGTGTGTGTGTGTGTGTGTGTGTGTGTGTGTGTTTGAGTTGGGGCTGTGATTGAACACAGACCAGAAAAAACCTCTAGAAAGAGCATCCCCTCTCTGGTGAAGGCTAAGGATATGGGCAATTGGGACTGCAGCCCTAGGCTTCAACGTGTTTTTCCTATTCTAACTTCTCCTTTCTGGTTCAGGCCAGGGTCAGGGCTCAGTCCTTGTCCTTTTCCCCTGTTCCAGACCAGAATCAAGAACAGTTCGAAGAGCACTTTGTGGCCTCCTCAGTGGGTGAGATGTGGCAGGTGGTGGACATGGCCCAGCAGGAAGAAGACCAGTCGTCCAAGACGGCAGCTGTTCACAAGCACTCTTTCCACCTCAGCTTCTGCTTTAGTCTGGCCAGTGTCATGGTTTTCTCAGGAGGGCCATTGAGGCGGACATTCCCAAATATCCAACTCTGCTTCATGCTCACTCACTGACCCTCCCTCCCTCCTGGGCTCCAGGTCACAACTCCCAAAGGAGATGCAGGCATGGCTCTCTGCCTCTGATCACCATCACTGTATCTCAAGGTTCAGCAGCAGAGATACCAGTTGCCATCAGTGCTAACTGACTGCCTCTCCAGGTTCGGAGTTTCATCTCCCAGGGCCAGAGACAGCAGACCCACATCCTTCTCTCCCACACCTCTCCTGGTTTTGTTCAGGACAGCAGATTAGAGGCAGGAGGCAATGACAATAAAATAACGATAAAATCCTGAGAACAATTGGGAGCAGCTTTCCGATACTTAATCCAAGCCCTTCTCGTCTCCAACTAGACTGCTTTATTGTCCAATCTTTGGTCCACTGGGTGGCCTTCAAACCCACCAGGTCACCAATTGTTGATTCTTTCCTTTTCTTGTGTCCATGAAACATTTTTGGCATTTCTCCCTCTTATCTTTTCTAACTTCAGGGTATTTTTCTCCCGTACAGTTAATGACTTCCAGGCATAGAACATAGCAGGAACAAGTCATTAAGAGACAAGCGGAAGCCAAGTGCCAGCTTTTATTTTTGGAACAGAAGCAGAAAGGAAATCTTGCTCTGATTCCATGGATGTGACCAGGGAGGTGTTGGTCGATATTTCTGTGCTGTGGCATCTTTGGTAACCAAGTTACCAGAGCTGGCAGCGGCTGGAGGGGTTCAAGAGAGCACCACGTGCACAGCGGAAATACCTGGCAAAGGCTGGGGTGCTGCTGAGGGGCCCGTGGACTCGGAGGTGTGGAGGGCTGTGAGTGTCGTGAGAGTCCTGGGGGCTGGGCTTCCTACACATCACCTGAGCAGGAAGAGAGGTCATTGAAGGGGGAGGGTCCACAGGACAAAGCTGACCCGGTGACAAGGGGTGATCAGGGACAGCAGACAAAGAGGGGAACCAGGGGATCAAGTGCCCCAAGGGCCACATGGAGCATTTGAAATGTATAGTTCATTTAATCTGGCAATAGGAGTCCAGGAGGAGGGCCTGGGCTGTGTAATGATACCATTTATCAATGACAGAGAGGCAGGGTCTAGCGCAGGAGCTCTGGGGTGAAGTCTAATCTAAGCGTGTTGAAGACCTGGCACCTGAGTCTGTTGAGGGAGTACAGGGTGCTTAAGGAGGTGATGTCAAGTGGGCGCCACACCTAAGGTCAGGTGTCTGAAGAGGAATGTGGCACACAGTCAGCCTGTCGCAGGCTTTTTTTTTTTTTTTGTGAGACTGAGTCTTGCTCTACCACCCAGCCTGGAGTGCAGTGGCATGATCTTGGCTCACTGCAACCTCCGCCTCCCAGGTTCAAGCGATTCTCGTGCCTCAGCCTCTCAAGTAGCTGGGATTACAGGCGCCCGCCACCAAGCCCAGCTAAGTTTTGTATTTTTAGTAGAGACGGGGTTTCACCATATTGGCCAGGCTGGTCTTAAACTCCTGATCTCAAGTGATCCGCCCACCTCGGCCTCCTAGAGTGCCAGGATTACAGGTGTGAGCCACTGTGCCCAACCACAGGCTCATTTTTAAGGCATCTGTATTTTGGGGGTATGAGAGGAAAAAAAAGTTGGTCTCCTCCTCTCCTGGAGGAACTTGGGAATAGAGTTTTTTCTACCTTTTGAGTTGTGGGGGTGCTGAACTAGGTAGAAGAACCTGTAGTCATCTGAGGGGTGATTCCAAGGGGTAGGGAGGGAAGAGAAAAGATAACAGTGAGGACATCTGCAGAAGAGGGTTTGGGGTATTTGACGGAGTGTCTGAAGAGGGGACTTCCATGAGCTTCAGTAATAAGGCGTTCAACTGACATAAAGCAAGCTGTGGCGGGAGGTGGCCGCTGCCTACCTGGGCATAGCTTCGAAAGAAGATCTGCTGGGGGCTGAGGTCCAGGCTGGGCAGGACAGTCTCCCCATGGTGCCGTAACAGCCTCTTGCTGTATGCCTGGGTAGGGGTGGGTAGAGAAGGGCCATCAGGCTCTAGACCTGTGGCCATTTGAAAGTCCCTCCACACAGTACCCAAAACCCATGGCCCTTGCTCACTGGTTCTGCACTGACTAGTTGATCTGAGCCAGAAGAAAGAGTACTTCCCAGAAGACCTATAGATGTCCTAAAATGGAGGATCTCTGGGGTAGGAGGGGGATCCCCAAGTTGCCGTCTATTCAGTGGGGATGCGAAGGGCAGAAAGCCATGCAACTGTACTTGTGTCAGGAATGGTGGAAGGAAAACTTGAGGACATGTTTTCTAGTCTGCCAGTACACATAAACTGTGGCCCTTGACACTTGCATACCTGCAGCGCGATGGCTAGCCCCCCAACGTCTGCAGCATTCTCTAAGAATGTGAGGGAGTCATTGAAGGAGGTTCTGCTAGGTAATGGAAAGGCAGCATAATGGCGCTTCAGGCACAGGTGAGCTTCCTGGAGGGCATGGTTGTCACAGGCGAGGCAGCCCCCAGGCAGTACTGTTGAAAATGGGACAAGAGAACATACAGCAAGAGAACATAGGGTTGGTGCTGCCTAGGTGAGGATGTGGGTGGTACCACAGACTGAATCAGCTCCCAGGAGCATGGCAAAGTTCCCAGGACTGCCCCACCTCAAACCCTCAAATAACCTCCCTTTCCCCTCCAGGCCTCCCTTGTGGTCTTCCCTTAGGTTCCCTATTATCCCACCTCCCAGTGGCCCCTGTTACCCACAGAGCTGGTAGAAGATGTGCAACAGCTCGTGGGCCATGATGCTGCCAGCAGCGCCAAAGTTCACGGCTCTAGGGAGACAAGGGCTTATTTGACCCCCAGAATCTCTCAGCATTTGTGACCCCAATTCTCCAACCGTAAGTCCCATCCATCATAACACCTGTCGGCCCCTCTTGGGAAACTCCCTACCTACCCTTACAGAGTGACCCATACCTGGGATAGCCAGGGTGGAAGAATGGGGGTTGGAGGAGTCCAGCTGGAAAGACTACCACATGGTCAGATACCGAATAGTAAGCATTGACGTCCCAAGGGGACACCTTCCACCTGTGGGAAGAGGACATGTGAACTCCAGCCCCCACCACGTATTGCCCTGCCACCCTGAGACCTACACAGTCCCTCCCAACTACCATTACTGTTCATGCTGCCTGCCCTGAGCCCTGGCTTCCTTTCCTGTGAATCATGGATGGGTCTCTCTGGGATGGAGTGCCTGTGTCTCCCCTGCTGTCATACCTGTGTTGGGGGTGAGGCTGCAAGAAGCTCTGGACAATTCTAGCTCGGAGGGACCGGACACAGCTCAGGACAGACTGCAGGAAGCTCGATCCAAGCTGTATCTGGGGAAGAGGCAGGAGGTGACTTGGGCACACAGAGACTTCTATAGATGCACGCTGACAAACACCAATGGGACCATTTGACCCCAAACAGGCAAGCCCTGACAGGCAGGCATCCAGGGATTAGGAGAGAGCAGCCCAATGGCATCACTACACAGCACACCCAGGCTTTACACATATCAGCACACAGATGAACACGCCCAGACAAGTCACAGGATGCATGCATGTGTGTTGGCACATGCGTTGGGACCTGAAAAGATTCTGTTCTTCTGCCAGCAAGACGTACAGTGTGGATATTTCCCCATCAACCCCAGCCAGCACCAGAGTAAGGACAGAGCTAAGTCACCCAGGGAAAACTGATTGTCCAACAAAGACTTAGGAGGGTCAGAGAAGTGACGAGAAGTCAAGGACTGAAAAGGAGCTGGAAAACACAGGGACCCACATCGTTGTATTCTTGTCGGGCCAGCTCTGGCTTCAGGGCCCATTCTGAAGCCCCCATCTCCACCTGCAGTTGAGCAACCTGGAGAGAGACACAGAAGAGGCTAGGAATACTCTCCGAGTCTACCAGAGGAAATTTCTCCCACTCGTTGCCCTGTCCCAGCCTCTCACATTGTTGCCAGTGTGAGTATACAGCCCAGTGGCTTCCCTACTTAGCATGTGCCTGGGGGGGCCTTTGGCATTTGCTTCCAATCCCCATCTCGCTTGTTCCAATACTCCATTCCCTGCACAGGCTCCCACACCAGCCAGGACGCCTGGCCTGACCTTGTCCTGGGCCATGTTCTGGGTCTCCTCATTCATCCAGGGAAGGTTTCTGAGGCGAGTGATGAGGGCATCCCGGATCGCAGTGAATAATTTCATGGCCTGTGGGAGTGAGGTCCAGGGACAGGGGGACAGGATCAGGAGAGGCCTCAGCCTGGCCCTGCCCACAGCTTCTGACCCTTGGAAAAGGGCTTGGCCCCAAGGAGCTGCCTGGGCTGGAGCTGCTGCTAGAGGAGCAGCTCAACTAAAGCAACTAAAGGATCTGTGGAGAAAGGAAGGCAGTGCCAAGCCCACAAAGGGAAGGTGGGGCCTGGCCATCCGTGAGGGCCATCAGGGAGATATAGTTCCTTTCCATGGGGAAATAGCCTGACACAGGAGAAAGACAGTGTCCTCACTCCTGGGGGCAGGAACACCTCTCAGAAATCAGAGGGAGGAGAGGGCTGTCATTTTCTCCTCTGGCTCAGGGCTCTTGTTCTCACACTGTCTTTTTTAAACCGTCCACTCCCTCTCCTCATCCTCCTGAGCTCTTCAGCTTCCCAGCAAGTCCCCCACAAGTCTCCCTGCCTTCACAACGTGAGTGTGTACTCACTGCTTCCCCAGCCACCTGCCATCTCATGTAAATCCTTTCCTGGAGGAAAATGAAAGGCAATATCGAGAGCCTGGGCTCTGGCATCAGAATGCCTGAGTTCAAACCCTGTCTCTGCTTTTTGGTAACTGTGTGACTTTGGGCAAGTCACTTAACCTCTCTTTGCTTCAGTTCCCTCTTGTATAAAATCAGGATCATAATAGGAACTAAATGACGTAGTTCATGCAAAGTTCTTGAAGGAGTCCCAGGCATGTGGTAGGTACTCAGAAAGTATTCAGTGGTGATTTATTTGATTTATTTGCCCTCTTCAAGATTATGTCATCTGTTCTGATGTCACGTCATGTGTTGTTAAAAAAATCTTAGCTACAACAGGGAGGAGACTTAGAGATGATAGTGTTCAATTTTCCTTTTTTTTTTTTGGAGATGGAGTTTCACTCTTGTCACCCAGGCTAGAGTACAATGGCGTGATCTCGGCTCACTGCAACCTCTGCCGCCCAGGTTCAAGCGATTCGCCTGCCTCGGCCTCCCGAGTAGCTGGGATTACAGGCATGCACCACCACGCCCAGCTAATTTTGTATTTTTAGTAGAGATGGGGTTTCTCCATGTTGGTCAGGCTGGTCTTGAACTCCTGACCTCAGGTGATCCGCCCACCTCAGCCTCCCAAAGTGCTGGGATTACAGGTGTGAGCCACCGAGCCTGGCTCGATTTTCTCATTTGATGGTTGAAGAAACACAAGACCAGGAAAGTTGGGTGACTTGTCCAAGTGAGAGCATGTCATGGAGAATTTGTGGCCTGAAGCTGAACTGTTTCCACACCAGGGATGGAGCAGGCCTTTGGGTTCCCTCTCTCAGTGGCCCTTCTCTGACTGCCCAATTCCCCAATCACACACACCACTGAGAAAGTCAAAGTTAATAGAAGAGGGAAGGCTGCTTTGGGTAGGAAGGGGTGGAGGGATGTGGGCTGGGAAGAGCTCTCACATACAGCACTTCGGGTGCTCGGGCCAAAGGCCTCACGAACAAACAAAGCCGCCAGCGTGGGCTCGAAGAACGTGCCTGTCTCCTCCACGCACTTCATCCATCGTGGGCGGGCAGGCTATGGAGACAAAGCTGGAATGAGTGGCTCCTGTTCAGGACTCTTTCCTCATCTGTCTCCCCAGTCTTCACTAGATCTTCATTCCCAGAGGGTGCTCTTTTGACTGGACTTTCTGGGTTTCATCTGTTTACTATCCCTTAGGGTGATGCACATCACCGATCAGTACAAGAAAAGCACAGCTTCCTCAGAGCTGGTCTCATGAGCCTGGCTGAGTAAATCCTTCATGTTATTGCCTATTGAATTTGACAGCAAGGCCTCTAGGAGGCATCATCCTGGGGTTTCAAAAGCCTCCTGGGAAGAAGATGAGAACCCAAACTCATACCTCGGCAGTCTGATGTTCCCCCTGTTCCCCCACCACCACTCTACTCCGGGGTCCCAGCAATGACTTCCATCCTCCATGCTTCTTTGCTCAAAACGGAGATTGCGGATGGAAATTCTGTCCTACCACCATCACCTTTATCCTCTCTCCAGGTGGGCATGGTGTATCATACTGTAGCATCTTGTAAAGAAAAAATTATCAGAGTAGAACTGGGTTTTAGATGCCATATTGTTTGCTAGGAAAAGAGGACACAAGACAAGACTCAGTGTATAAATTCATAGAGCTGGAAGACTTCCAGCCAAGTCAGAGAGGAGAGAATAGAACAGGAAGGTGGAGGGCTTTCACTGCAGAGGCAGGAGGCCATGGACAAACATCCAAGAGGGCAGTGCCAGCTGAGGACCTCAAGAATGAGAAACAGAAGAGACAGATGCTGAGAAGGTCTTGGCGGTGGGCTTGCATGGCTTTAAAAACTTGACCAAGGCATAAACCCAGAGATGACACGGTAAATGGAGACACACACTCAAGGAACCCAGGGACAGGAGGAGGTAGCTGGCCTGAGGGAAAGCTGAGCTGGAACTGATAAATACCAGCTAATATGCTAATTTGGGTTAGGCAGGATGAAGCCTCAAAACTTTATTCCTGTGATTTTTTTACTTCCCAAAGACCTGCCCACGGGGAAGGTAGGAAGGCTGCCACTAATACTCTCCCCGCAGGAGCTAGGCTGGTCCTGGGAATGGAGGGGGTTTATGTACATCCCACTACAGGAAACAGACCAAAGAGGCCAGTCTGGTAGTCACTGAAGAAAAAACTCCCGAACCCACCAGTTAAAGAGGTTATCATTTTGGAGGTTGCTGCAGGCCTGGCTGTCCACATCTGTGTTCTATTGAACCTTGAGGTCTGCTAACCTTGAGTCTTATTTTTATTTTTATTTTGTAACAGAGTCTCACTCTGTGACCCAGGCTGGAGTGCAGTGGTGCAATCTCGGCTCACTGCAACTTTCACCTCCCGGGTTCAAGTGAGTCTTCTGCTTCAGTCTCCCAAGTAGCTGGGATTACAGGTGGCTACCACCAGAGATGAAGTTTTGCCATGTTGGCCAGGCTGGTCTCAAACTCCTGGGCTCAAGTGGTCCATCTGCCTTGGCCTCCCAAAGTGCTGGGATTGCAGGCAAGAGCCACCGCACCTGGCCAACCTTGTCTCTGATAAAGAGAAGAGGCTCAGATTCTTCTCATGCTGCATGAGTTGGAGCTCTGAAACAACAGGAACTAAAAAGAAGTCCGGGTCTGAAAGCAATTATAGGCCAAGTTGAGAATCTGCCAGCCACATTCTGCTGGACAAGCTTGGCTCCAGGAATACCTCTTACCAGACAGTTGCTACATGTGGAGCAGCAACCAGCATCAGCAGGGAGACCACTTGAGCTTGGAAGTGTAGATCTGCCTATTCTTCTCACCCCTTCTCATTCTTGATTTGTTTCCTGATGCCCTTTGCTGGAGCCTGATCATTTCTCCAACATGCTTTGCCGTGGGACCTGACTACTGGATAATACAATCGCCACCTCAGACCACTACTACAGCTCTCTCTCAAGATGTGGAATGGTAGTGTATACCACATTGACTGCAAAGGGAGAGTCAGAGAGAGAAAGAGAGGGAGAGAAATAGAATTCGAGAAAAAAAAGTCTCCAAAATATAAACAATAGAAGAAATACTTCAAACCCAAGATAATGAAACTCAGTGGACTAATTTTAGGGCACCAGAAAAAAAAAGTTCCATATACAACCTCAGAACCACAGATAGTATTTGAGAAATGATAGAAATCAGGACAGATTCTAAGAGTCCGGAGGGAAGCAAAAATTTGACCAATCTTCTATAGGATGAAAGGAAATTTTAGGGATTACGAGCCAACCAGGAATCCTTAATGTTAATTTCTAAACAAAATTGTGGAACGAATCATTAAACAGTTTTTTAACACTTGGAAAATAATGTGTAACTACTAAGGGCTATGATAGGATCACTGAAGAAAAATAATGCCAAAATGATAAAAATTCTTCTGGCTAAAAGGCTTATGTAACTGAGGCATATGAAAGACCGGAAGCCGCAAACTCCAATAGGGGCCATGCAGAGGCATAACAGAGAACAGCAGTGCAACATCAGAGCTACAGGCTGTGGTGGGGCTTCAGAGAGCGCACCCAGCCCTGAGCTGCATCATGTAGCGACAGTCAGTTGTTGCCACAGGAGAAGGGTAGCCCAGTGTTTCCCAAGCTTCACAGACACACACACACACACACACACACACACACACTAGAAACCTGAATGCTGGCATGCCATATCCTAGTTTTTGAATGTTGGTGATTAATTCAAAGTTTGCAAAAGATTCTACAGGCTAACAAAACACATCTATAGACGAAATACATCCTCAAGCACCACTACCATCCTACCACTGAATAGAGTATTAGCACTTACTAAGTTTGAGTTATTAACTTAAACCCCTGTGGTTCAGTGACACCAGTTGTCGAAATGAAAACAATATCTAGTCTACCTTCCTCACAGGTTTGGGGATCAGGTGAAATAATACCTTTCAAGTACTCTAAGGCACTACCCCACTCTGTTGGCATTATCTTGATTTAGCCAGGCTTGAAAAACACAGATTGAGTCCTCGTGAATTAGATAGAGAAACTGATGTTGAATGATAGTGCAATTTGAGTGGAGTCTCATCTGGCTGAATCAAAAGTAAACATCAATGGTGAATGATTTCAAGTTAACTTGACCTCCAGTGACATTCCTACTAAGAATCCTAACTACCACTCACTTAGCATTTCCTTTCCTCATTTCCTGTTTTGCTTTTCTTCATAACACCTCCTAACATATTTTATTATTTTATTAGTTTGTTTATTGTCTTTCTTCTTTCACCAGGATATGTGGCTGAAGGCAGGATTATTTATTTGTCTTTTTTGTTCATTGCTGCATTCCAAGTGCCTGGAGAAGTACCTGAAGTACACTAGGTTCTCAATAAATGTTTGTTACATAAATGAATGCATAAATCCATATCTAGGTCTTCAATAACCTGACCCGATGCCCTTCTCCCTTCAGGATCTTAACAGTAGTCTGGACGAAGATACACTGAATAAAATTGCAAATGATCCAAAGCTGGAAGACCTGAATAAATTGAGATGTTGGGCTGAATATAAATCATTCACATTTAATCATCACAAATGTGAAGTTCTGCTTTTACTTCTCAAAACCCACCTTCCCAAGTTTCATAAAAGAAAACCTGACTTAACAGCCATTTTCATTGACTATAACTCTATTCAAAACTAATCATCCAAAGATGGGCCAATAATGAGATTTAGAAATCTTTCTGTATAAGGGCACTATAAATTATAATTCATTCAAAAGAATATGATCAGAAGTCGGTAATTAATGGCCACTGAATAAAACCAAACATTTTGATCATATCAAGGCCAAACTCTAGGTGATGTCTTTGATTCCATTCTCCTTCTCACATCACTCATCATCAGGACATCCCATTACTAACCTTAAAATATGTTCTTTTAAAACATAAATGAGATAAATCCCTCTGCATGTCTTTATTTCATACAGAGAGAAGCAAAAGTCCTTCAGCAACCTACCAGACCTTGTATGGTTCTCTCCTTCCTGCTCTGATTCCCTCCCCACTATTGTCCTAGTCACTCTGATCCAGGTGCCCTGGCTCCCTTGCTGATTCTCAAACACCTGGAGCATGCTCCAGGGGCATCAGTGGACACAGCAAGCCTAGTCTTCTCCTCTCAACCAGAGCCACCAGGAGGATCCCTCACCCTGCACCAAGTTTTAGCCAGCCTGCCTCCTGCCCTGTCCCCATGAGATGATACCCCTTTCTTCACCAGAAAACTCCTTCCTCTCTCTAGACATTTTGTCAGTTCTGCCTCCTGCACAGAGATGCCACTGATCCTTCAAATGCTCCCTGATCTCTCCCTCTTGGGAACTCCAAGAATATCTGCTGTCTCAACCAGGATCCCCTGGGAACACAGCATTTACTTAGTGTACAGTTGTTTTTGCACTACAGGGACAGAGTTGAGTAGTTTGTAACACCAACCATTTATGGATCACGAAGTCGATATTTACTATGTTGCCCTTTATAAAAAAGTTTTCTAACCTTTGTTTGTAGCACCTACTTGTTTCTCAATCCTGTATAGTGTGTGGTTAAAAACATGACTTTATGAGCCAAAACATCTGTTTTGGAGTCTGTTCACTTACTTGTGAGCTGTGTGGTCTTGAGAAAGTTTCTTGACCTTTCTGAGCCTATTTTTGCTTCTGCAAAATGGGGATTAAAAACCTCCAAGTGTTTCTGGAAGATTTAAATGAATAACCTGTCCCAAGTGCTGACAGACAGTGACTACTCCATGTATAGCAGCTATTATCATTATTATTAAGTGCCATCTTTTATACTATTGTTCCAGAAAGGTGAAGTGGCGTCCCCAAGGTCACACAACTATTTGTTGGCAGAGATTAGTTCAGCTTTTAAGCCCAAGGACAATTATGTGCCCTAGTGGAAAAGATAATGGCTTCAGGACATCTAAGCCTTCTGCATTCTTTAAGCCTAAGCCTCAACATTAGCACTCTTACAGCCTCCAAGAAGTGCCATGAGGCCATGGTGCTGGCATTTATAGGTAGCTGTTTGTTGCCAGGATTTTGTAGCAACCCCAATTAAGATAACTTGGGGCTCTGGTCTGCTTCATCTGAATCAAGAGAAAAGCTGGGCAGAAGCTTCTTGGCCACTCTCCAACCCAAGTGATGTTCCTCAGGAAGACTGCTTTTTTAGCACAATGAGTAAACAACACAGACCCTGGAGCCAGACTGCCAGGGTTCAAATCCTCACCCCACTAACTTACTGTCATACCTGAGCAACTTCCTTATCTTTCGTGCCTCTGTCTCCTCCTCTTTAAAATAGGAACCAAATGGCATCCATGGTACCTCATGGAATTGTAAAGATTAAATCTAAATCTAGATTTAGATCTAAAGGATTTCAGAGTGTCTAGCACACCATTAGCTCTTGATAAGCAATAACTACATTCCAGTCCCTGTGAATACATTTATCTTCTCTGAATTCCACAGCAATTTTAGGTTGCCAAAGCAGAGAGTTTCTCCAAGGCAGGGAAATGGACCACAAATTACTAAGAAAAAAAATCCAGTGATTTTTAAGACTAAACTGAGGCCTTCACTGAGGTTGGGATGTATCCAATGTACTAGACTCTTCTGCTTGCATTTGGATATATCCAACTTGGGATTTCAAGATTCTCAGCAAAGGAGCATCTCTGCATCTTATGTAATAAGTAGACTCTGGTTAGTGAAGTGCATTTTCTACCCAGGCCCCTCCTCAGATATATCCACATCTGTGCCACAAAGTCTACATGTGGCCCAGTGGATCCCACTGGATGTCAGAGATAAACTCTTTGTGAAGCACGTTTGAACATGGAATCAACTAGACATAAGGAAGGCCACTGCGTAACATATCTCTCTGTCATCCCAATAAATTGTAAGCTCTAAGTCCAAGTTATCCTGAGCAAATAGTGTAAGCATCATGACAAAGAAAGGGCAGTTTTGATAATATCAGAGTTTTATATTTGAGCTCAAACACCCAGCAAGAAGCCAGAGAGGTAGTCAGGCTGGGAGATGTGTGCCTGAAGGTCTGGCACGTGGCATCTTGGTTTTCAAGTTAAACTTTGTCTGTCCAACTTGCCTGCTTCTATGGAAAGCCAAGACATGGAGGGGCATCTACCATCACGGCCCCCTCCCTGAGAGAGAGATGCCGACATTTACCCCTCAAAAGAGTAGATACTCCTTTCGAGTATCTGGGCAAATACACCCGCTCCTCTCCTCACCATGGGTGGTTGCTCTGTCAGTTCCCGCAGTTTCTGGCTGAGCTTTCTGCGTGCCTCCTGGAATTGACTGTCCAGGGCTGGAGAAAGGGTCACCACCAGCCCTAAGATCATGTGGC
Source organism: Homo sapiens (assembly GCF_000001405.40). NCBI lineage: Eukaryota > Metazoa > Chordata > Mammalia > Primates > Hominidae > Homo > Homo sapiens. The sequence goes on from NC_000007.14 coordinate 142,952,625, forward strand.
TCTGCAGAAAGTCCCTATGGAGACAAAAGAGACCCACACATATACCCCAGGAATCTGGGGATGCTTCAAGAAGAGCCTCTCCTTGTGTAAGTCACCTTGATACTCGTGAAGGCAGCTCCTTCTCCTCTGTATTAATAAGTGTTTTAACATGCACCCAAGTCAAAAAGAGCTTTTCATGATGTAGGTTGGGGTGGGATCTAGCTCCTTAGTAAAAGAAACTAGATGAAGAGGCAGCCTTCAAAGTCACAGGGAAAGAAAGTTCTGGGCTAGATGGAGTCTGGACTCATGTCATGAAACAGATTCTGCTTCCACAGTCAAGATATCTCTGGTTATCCTCAGATGTATCTCATAAGCATAAGTAAGCTGGTCTCTGTGACTGCTCTCTCCTCCACCAGCAATGCTCCTGCCAGGGCTGCATTGCACCCTTATGTAAGCCTGCTCACTGCCATGTGAATGGGCAGCTACCTCCCTCAAAAAGGATTTCCAGATGCTGCTGCCACCATGAAGAAGGCCCTTAGGTCCAAGCCCCTGGAAGAAAGCCACTGCTTTCAGGTGGTAGCCACCCAGGTATCAGGGGAGGCAGAGAGCCCAACAAAGAGCCACTCTTTCATGTCCCCAACCCCAACACCCCCTTGATTTCCTGACACCAGCAGAAATGCTCTTAGACATTGTTTCCCATAAGAGCTCCAGCATCTTCACACCACACCTGAGGAATGGCCCCTCCTCTTCCTTTCTTCCCCTAAGCATCCCCAGCCTTCACCATGTTCATCTCCTCATCTCATGTGCCTCCTCCTCCTGCCCACAGTCCTCAGCTGCTAAAAAGACATACATACACTTAACTGTCTTCTGTGTCTGGGTCTTCCAGCATCTTCTACAGCTCAGAGGCTCTTGACTGGCTGGTGTTCTACTCTCAGGAAACCCCGTGTCTTGGCTGACCCTGCGTTCCTCATGTCGTGTGTATCCTCCCTTACTCGTGCTCCCAAGACACATCCTTCTTGATCCCTCCATCCTCTCTGTGCCACCCACCCCACGCTTCTCTGCCCGCACAGGTGGCAGGTTCCTCTTATCCTCCTGGGAGGCCCTTACCAGCCTGCCTTCCCCAAGGTTTCCTTTGCCCCCAAGATCTACGGTGCTCAGGCTCTCCTCCATTTCCATGATCTCCCCAATCCCACCTGCGGCGAACCTCTGCTTTAGCAGCATCTCCTCCACCAGTTGTGACATGTTTTTCAAATATTCCACGTCATGGACCACGAGGGACTGAGAAGGGCTCAGGGACATCGGTGTGAATGTCGCTTGCAAGCAGGACAACCAGTCGATGGCGGGGGCCATTTCCTTAGAGGAGGGACACAAAGCTGAGGGGGAAAAGGAAAAGAGAAGGAAGGGGAAAGGGCTTCCCCTTGGGTGTGAGAAAAAGAAGAGAACAGGCTAACTGGGGGAGGGGATGGAGTCAGAGACAGAATGAAAAGGTATTAAGGGCACTAGGAGGAAGAAGGAAAGGAGGTAATGTTTGAGAGGAAGATCCCCATGCCCACAGTCTTCTGGCCCCCAGTTCCAGGCACCTTGAGCTGGTCGATAGTGACCATCTGGAAGAGCTTGCCCTGTGCCCGCCGCTGCTCCAGGGGCCTCAGAAACTGGAACAGCCGTGAAGTGATGGAGATTGACAAGGAAGAGTGTTCTTGCACCTTGCTTGGGTCTCCTCCCAGCAAGGTTCCCAGCTGATTCAGGTAAGTCAGGTATTCCCGAAAGATCTGGAGGAAGGAAATGTCAGTCACAGGTGCCAGAGGTCCCTGCTTTTCTCCTGGCCTCAGAGGGCAGGGCCTTTGTCCATGTGCCATCTTACCTGGGCATAGATCTTCTGTTCTTGATCTTGCTTGAGGGGAACATCAAACTCTGGCTGGTCTATCTGGGCACAAGAGAGACTGGAGAGAAGCAGGGAGCATGGCGGATGGAGAGGGCAGGTGTGGGGAGGTGGGGAATATACCATGGGAGATGGCCTTGGGAGATGGACACAAAGATTGGACAGAAGAGAAGCAAGAGTACAAAGAAAGGGAGGGATTAAGGGTTGAGGGGCATGAGAAGAAGAGTCCAGATGTGAAAATGGGAAGAGATGGTGAGTATTACAACCAGTGTGGGTGTGCCCAGCAAGGCAGAAGCATGATAATCAGCATCTTAAAAGGAGCTATTCCTTGTCTCAGGAACAGGGCCAGGGTGAGTGAGGTGAGGAACCTGTCCCAGGTACAAAATCTAAGAGGTACCAAAAACTCAGTAATCAAACTGCAACCTAACTTAGGAGTATATTCTTGCAACAGGTAGCTCCATCTCAGCCAGCCATACCAGCTGATCTTCAGGCAACCACAGGCTGTCAAGTGATCAGACCATGCCCATTAAAGACAATTGCTAAGCTGTAACCAATCAAGCTGTTTCTGGGTGTCACTTCCTCTTTCTGTAAATACTGCCTGCCTGCATTGTTGGGTGGAGCTCTCTGAACCTCTACTGCTTCAGGATGCTGCCCAATTCATAAATCAGTCTTTGCTCAAATAAACTCTTTTTTAAAAAAACTCAGTAATCAAGATAAATAATTAACATTTTAAAAAATCAAAATTACTACCAAAAATGTATGATAAATAAAATCTCAAAACTTTGCTTATCATGGACTTTTTTTCCCCAAAAAAACATACTTTTAGTCAATTTTGAAAAGAATCATGATGTGTTCAAGAAAAGTCCTCAATGTATTTTTGATTCATTTTGAATAAAAAAATTAGTATTTTCAAAAAGATTCACACAGAATTTTGTCCCATTTTTTGGGAAAAAAAGCATAATCTTTTTTCAAAAAAATTCATAATGAAGAAAAGTTTGATATTTTGTTCCATCATGTATTGTTGCATTGATTTTGATTTTTTAGGAATATTTAATAAAATACTATTTATCATGATACTGAGTTTTGGGGACCTTCTTAAATTAGCACCCCAGGTAAGCACCATGTATATTTCACCTTAGTCTGGCCCTGATGAACCCTTGTTTCTATTCTGAAGATCTTTGCTTCTACTCTTTCCCTTTTCTTCTCCAATTTCAATATCCCACTCTTATCTTGAGCCATATACTTTTCCTTCTGTCTCGAAAAAAACTTTCACTTGACCCTTTTGCTACATTGTATGTCCACAGTTCAAAGAACAAAAAAGCATCTATGCCCATTGTTTCCACTTTCTTATCTTCCTCCTAAGCTCTGTGCAGTCTGTGTCCACTGCCATAACTGTTTGGAAAGTATCTCTAGGTATCCAAGGGTGTCTTCTCATTCCTTCTTCTCTGAGCTGACCCCTCCTTCCTGAAGCTCCTTTTCTTTCCTTTGTGGCCCACCATACTGGTCTAGCTCCCATCTCTCCAATAGTACTCTCTCTTCCCTGGCTCCCTTCTGCCCTCAGTCTTTGGACTTCTCTTTCTGTAGTCCATTCTTCCTACCTGCTTTTAACCCAAGAGACTATCCAGGCTCACACTGATGATAATCACCCTCCTCCCACTCACACTAAATCAAAACAATGGGATCACTGTGTAATCCCCCACTTTCTTTCTTTATATCCAATCAGTCACCAAATCCTCTAGAAACAGCATGAACTATCATCACTAGGGTGAAGTTGCCTAAATCCTTGTGCCTGGCTCTTCCTTTCCATTTCTACCTCTATCTCAGGGCCTCAAAAATGCTCATTTAGTTTCCTCAACACCCCCAGACTGACCTTCAAAACTGCTGACTCTACGCACAACCATCAAAATACTTGCTCTATGCACAATTGTCATAAGAGTTGGATGGCCTCAGTAGCTCTTTTTTTTTTTTCTATTATGTCAAATGTTTCACCTTCGCCTGGCTTCTTAGAAATAATCAGGCTCAACCTTATGTCTTCAGTCTCACTTTTACCTCCCACTGCACCCCACCTTGCCTCCCAAATCCTCAATTAAATAGATCAGCCTCCTCACTGACTCCACGAAGGAATCACACCATTCCAGGTCCTCCCCCTGGCTCAGCATTTCCAACGCCCCATAGCTTCACCTCCACTTGTGTGAATTAACCATGTTTCAAGGCTGGCTTAGCTCACCTTCTCTCATTCTCTCCTCTCTGAGCCTCTCCTTAACCAGATCTTAACCGGCCCCTAAAGGCCACATCAGTTAAACTCCTGAGCAGACTGTTTAAAACTAAATTTTAGAACACCTCATAATGATAATCAATTCTTCTTTTGTACTTATCCTTTGGTAATTTTGTGGCTCTTTTGACAGTAGGGCCCAAATATGCAGATAGCATTACATTGTTTAACCACAAGAGTGATAGCTCCAGTGTTTTTATTTAGTTACTCACTCACTACAAATACCTGGCAAAACTTCTAGCTGCCTGGCCCTGTGATAGGTCCTGAGAAACAAAGGTGAATAAAGCATGGTCCTGTTCTAAAGAGGCTCACAATCTTCAACACAGAGTGATAAATGCTGAGAGCATGAGGAAACGAAAGTAGGGAGAGCAGGGCTTCACCTAACTCATAACTAGGGTGTCGGTGAAGACTTCCTGGAAGAGATAATAAAGCCAACATTTGAAAAACATGTAAGTTTTCCAGGTTCAGTGTGGGGGATGGTTGCAGGCACAGGGAGCAGCATAGGCAAAGAACTGAGGAATATTCCTGGAAGCAGCAGTGAGTCAGCATGGCTTGGGGGTAAGGGAGAGAAGGAATGTACGGGAGATAAGGCTGGAGAAGTGTGTAGGGGTCAGATCACAAGGTGCTTGCAAAGCTTTACTAAAGATTAGGGACTAGATTCTGATGACCTGGCAAGCCACTGGGTCACTGACAAGCATTTAAATACAGACAGTAGCATAGTTAGTTAGCCCTTGGTTTAGAAAAGTTCCCTCTAGTAAAAATAAAGAGTAAATAAAATGAGGGCAATCCTAGAGATAGGAGGACTGGTTAAGGGGCTCTGAGACTAATCCAGATTAACAGTAAGAAAGACCAGGCCTACTTCTGTCTTCCCAGCACTGGCTCTGCTGCTCCATTTCCCACCCCCAGCTAATGTCCCTGACTTTCACATCAATAATTTTCCCTTAAGGTAGGGTTGTTTCCTATATCACACAGGTGTCCTCTCTTCCCAACCTGCAACCTTCCTCTAAGGGATGATTGGCTAGAGTTGGAGGCAGGCCAGGTCCAACTGTGTCTTCGCCAGTGCATCCCTCACCTGGATGACTGGTGTGTGTGGAGAGGCAGGATGAGGTCCTAGGTAGGCTCTGAAGAAAGGGAAATGGCCATACTGACTCATCAGAAGTCTCAGCGTTCGGTTAAAGTTTAAGGAAGTCCATTTACCAGAGATGCGCCAGCCTCCAAGCTTTAAAGGAGAGAGAGGGGGCTGAGCATAAGGATCCGTGGAGCCCATCCCCCATTGTCTGGATCGGCTCTTACACAGCTGCTACTGCCTGACCTCTGCCCTGCGCCCTTCGATTCCTCTAGGAAGCCACATCTATCCTTTTTTATCTGCCTTCTCCCAAGGTCCTGATACTTTCATAGGGCATAACCATTTCCATCTCCATCTCCCTCCTAGAAATTGGGGGGCCCTAGGAAGAAGACCCACCCTCTAGAAAAAAAAATGGCAGCCCTAAGCATGCATTGGTCCCATATGTTATGTATCCAGAAAAGTTAATATCCCAACTTTTCTCACCTCCTCAATAACTTGTCTGAGGGGACCAGTCCCTGCAGCTTCAATGGCAAGTGTATCCATGCAGGAGTTGTAGAACTGGAAGGCTTTCTCCTCCCCAGAGCCTGGGTGCCAGGAATTCTGGACCTCTAGAAAGGAAGCATGGGAGTGAGGACTAAACTCTGATTTTTTTTATCTTGCCCCAAATTCCTATCAAAGGGGTCTGGGGAGTCATGCCCTATATCATAAGTTCTCATCAGATGGGTTTTATTTAACCCATGTAACATGATTTACTTTCTAACCTGATTCTGGCATAACATTACGAGACAAAGAAGAAAACAAAAATATTTTACCCCAAAACATGTTTCTTTGCCACATTTTGAAATGGCCCTGCAAAGCTGTTCTTTGTGGAGGAAAATTTGCATCTGTAAAGCATCTCTATTAGCTATTAACATATCTCATTAACATAGCTAGATCTTTTGATTAACTAAGATCTGAATAGGAAACATTTGTCACCTATTGTCTCTAAGGGCAGCCACTATAAGACTTCAAAAGAACTTCGGTCTCCGCAATCTTTATCTTACCCTGAACATTCCCTTTCTATCTATCCCAGATCTTTAGACAAACTCAAGCAACTGTCAATCCGGAAATGTTTAAATTCACCTGTACCCTGGAAGCCACCCCCACCCCTTTGAGTTGTTCCACCTTTCTGGACCAAACCAATGTATTTCTTAAATGTATTTGATTGATGTCTCATGACTCTCTAAAATGTATAAAACCAAGCTGTGCCCCAGCCACCTTGGGCACATGTTCTCAGGATCTCCTGAGGACTGTATCATGGGCCATGGTCACTCATATTTGGCTCAAAATAAATCTTTTCAAATATTTTACAGAGTTTGACTCTTTTTGTCGGCAGGAGAATTAAAGGAGTGGCAACTGGTATAGAGGCAAAGAGGGAGGGTGGGAGACAGGGAGCTTACAGGAAAGAAAGACTCCCACAGAATATGGAAGGAGGGGGAGGAATAGAGATGAGGAAAATAAGAAAGATGAGAGGACTGCCCAATTTGGAATGGATCAACTTGATGAAATGATGAAAGCAGGGAAAGAGAATGAGGAGAAGAAGACAATATGGAAAATAAAAGAAATGTGGGGAAGAAACCAAGAAGGAAAAGACAGGGAAGAAAGGAGAAAGGTAGCAATAAGTGGGATATGGGCAAAGGAGAAAAGAGAGAAATGAAAGACAAAAGAAATGATTGAAGAAATTAGACAAATTCAGGGAACTAGAGAACTTTAAGGATTTGGAGAGAAGAAAACTCATAAGGAAAGGTTTAGCAAAGAGAAGAAACAGGGGAAGACTCTTCTAGTCCAGACTCCTCATCCATTGATCCCAGGAAACAAACACACTACAATAATCAAATGCAAGTCTCTCTGAATCATCCACCCTCTAATATCTAACACTCTTTTCACCCTCAGTCCCCCTGATATCTATTCATCCCATTGTAGGCAATATAATTTATCCTGAGCATATTTTTTCTTTTTATCTCTGTGCCTTCCCTGAAAGTATCCATTTACCCAAAGAGAGGCCCCCTCCCACTCTTTCCCCATCAAAAAAAGAGGGCAGAGGGGTGCATTTACTTTTCCCAGATTCTAATTGATAGTGTCAACACATTCTTTAGGTTCCCTTGCACTGGAAATGCATGTCTATCTTATATGTTCTTATTCCCAAATCCTCACCACCATCCACCAACTTCCTGGGACGCACTTCCAACCTCCTACTCAGTTTCAGCTCATCCTTCTGGTTTTCCTCTCAGTCCTGGCAGTTTTCCTCTCCAGCCTCCATCTGCAGGAACTTTACTTCCACTGCCAATTAACTCAGCTCTCCTCTTCTTCCAGCATATCCTTTGTACTTACCCACTTTTTCTCTTATGCACAGTGATGAAGCCCTCTCTCACTTCTCACCCCACCATCCTACCCCTTTCATTCCACCATCATCCATCATCTCCAATCATCCATCTCTAACATCCCACTTGTTCCAGGTCAACTTGCTTGCCATGGTTCAAGGTTTCAATGGAGAAGCAAGAAGCAAGAGATCATTGTGAGAGAGGGGAGCTCCGGCATGGTGAGAGGGAGAGGGTAATGTTGACAAGGAGTCATTGGGAGACTGAGGTTTTGGAGGTTAGAGAATGAGAGTGATGGACAAAAGAATTGAAATGCAGGAGATGCTGAAGAGATGCTTGTGGAGGAAAACACCATGCATAGGATAGAAACTGAACATTTGGAGGAAGCAACAAAGATGGAGCTTGCTAAAAGGGACAAGTTGGAGAGAATGGAGTAATTATGGATACATGGAGAAGCAAAGAAGATGGAAATTAGATAAAGAAAAAAATGCAGAAAGGGACCAAGAGAAACGGAAGAAGGGTACCCAAGGCAAGGCAACAGGAAACAGTGAGAGATGAGCAAACCCAGGCAGCTCCCGCCATCCTGCCTCTTTTACTCCCCCATCATCTCCAATCATCCACCCGTATAATCCCACCTGGGATGGTGCAAATCAGTTGTTCCACAACTACACAGGGTTTGGAGCAGTCATGGTCATTTTAGGCACAGAGTCACCCACTTGCACAGAGCATCTTCCACCCTGCTTTCCTCACCCAGTATTCTCCGAAGTCGGTTTTTGTTCTTTGTGGCAAGCTCCTGAAAAGAATTATTGGTCTCTTTGGCCCTTCCACAGGCAAAGCTGAAGAAGTCGGTGCAGGGGGCCACACTTGTGTTCCCAGAGGCCAGGTAATGATCCCGGAGATCCAAACACACAGATGTCTCACAGGGGCCTGTGGGGAAAAGCTCAGAGCTGGGAAAGAAGAGGCAAAAAGACAAGGGCTCCCCCAAGGGGCTAGGCAAAGAACATCAGGTGAGTAACTAAGTGGGGAGCTGATGAAAAAGAAATGGTTAGGATGCAGGGAGGAAGAAGAACCATGGGGACCCCAAGGGTCAGGGTGGGCAGAAGCCCCAGGAGCAGGGACTGGGCCTGGGCCCCAGGGCTGGGGGAGGGCTGACTAGGTTAGGGGGTCTGGGATCTTGCTTACGAGGGCCACAGTTCTGGAAGTTGTAGAACAAAAGCACAGAAAAACAAAGGAGCAGGCCCAAAATCAGGATAGCTGTCAGCACCCGCCTGGCCACTGCCCATGGCCTGCTCCCTTCCACGGGCAGCCTCTCTTCTGGAGTGCTCTGTGGGAGGAACCAAGAGGTGAAAGATACAAGATGGGGGTTGAGAGACAGGGATGGGAAGAAGAGGAGAGAGAATGAATCTGTTGGTGCTACAGTCCCTTTATACAGAAATAATTATCCCAATTCTTCCTAAACCCAGCCCTACTTTAACTCCTGGGAGATGAGAAAACAAGGAATGTCAACTGTTTTGGGTGAGGATGAAGCAGACAGTTAGTAGATGAGTGTTTGTGGGATTTTAGAGCCGAGAGTGACAACATCAGTGTATTCCAGACCCAGGAGAGGAGGCCACTTACCTCTTGGCTCCAGAGAGTTCCCATTCCACCTGCCTGGCTGCGTTCCCTCGGCTCTTCCTCACTTTGGTCCCCACCTTCCTGAAGTGAGTGGAGGGAGAAGGAGGAGAGAGAAGCTGGTTCAGGAAATGGTGCATTGAAGAGAGTTTTATCAGGCCATTTTGATACCCTCGCTGCCTGCCCTGCCCCCACACACATATTTTTATCTCGGAGCAGTGTTCCCAGATGGGCTTCAGAACGAACCTGTCCCCTGAATGTGCCATTTCTCGATCCCTCTCCCATTACCTCCCTCTCTCCCCACCTTTCTACTCTGTAAGCCTTACATTCCCTCCCCTCCAGTGGGGGCAGGACTTTTGCACACAGCCACCCTCACCCCTCCCCGCTAAGCCTCTGACTCCAAAAGGGGACTTACCATCTGTCTATCTTCTGTGGCTCCAGAATCCTTCCTGGTTCCACTCTAGGAGCTGATTCGGAGGACTGGGGTCCAGGAAACACCCCCCGCCCCAGTTCCTTGATCCTGGAGAAGGGGCACTTCTGCTGCTCTTTCGCCTTGTCCCCAGACACACAGGACTGGCCTCTGGGTGGAGCCTGCTTATCAGTGGGGGGCACCCAGGCTTCTCCTCCCCCTTTATCTCAGCTTCTCAGGGGAGAAGAGGGAGGGAGTCTTCACTCCCCAAGCAATCTTGCCCTTGGTCTGCTCCTTTTGTCTTGCACTGTGACTCTGCCCATGAAGTTCCTTTATTTCTAAAATATTCTTCCTTCTCTCATTTCTTCTGTATTAAAAAAAATATGAGGCACAGTAAAATTTTAAAGAGTTTATTTAAGTAAGAAGCAATTCATGAATTGGGGAGCACCAGACCGACAAAGGTTTAGTGTTGCGATGACAAAATGTCAGAGGCAAGCATTTATTGGGAAGTTATAGAAGCAAAATGAAACATTATTTGCTTAGTTTGCAGTTACATAATTGCATTTTTTAGGTAACTTTTTGGAAAGTCCCTAGTCACATAATCATATGTTAGTTGGCTGCTTATCATTGGCTGGGGTTAAGTTTTATTTGTTGTAAGCATTTATCAGAAATTGACCCAAGTTAAGTTTAATTTATGTTTGTAGTTTTAGCAAGAATATGGCTATTTTTAAGGTCTTTGGCTTTGTTTGCCTGGGAATTTTTCAGGCCCAGTCTCCATTTTAATTTTGTTTTCACACCTCTCTGATTGGCTTTTCTGGGATTCATCAATTCCCAGGTCAAATGCCACCTTTCCCAGGAGGCCTCCCAGCTCCATGCCCATTCACACTGTTCCCAAGCATGCTTAATTGTTTCTCTCGGTGTTTCATAGCTCTGCTGGCTGCTGGCAAAGTCATGCATTCAAAAGATCACCCAGCTAGGAGACCCTAATCTGCTAATTATTAGCTCTGTGACAATAAACAAGCCACTTAAACTCTGAGGCAGGTAAGCAAGTTTTGTCATCTGGAAAATGAGGGTAATACTTGCCTATGCCTACCTCATAGGATCTCATGCCTTCTACAAAAGAATAAGGCTTTACTGAGCCCCTCTTTCTTTCATTCTGCTTTCTGTTACACTGATAGCTTGCCTCTTCATCTCCTTAGTGATTGAAAACTATGTCATAGCATGTACAGTGTCTGGTTTTCATTCCTGCCCACCCAAGATGCTTTCTAAATGTTAATAGAAATGAATTGCATTCCAAGCCAGAAATCCTCTTTCTCACATCATATTAAGCCCTTACCTGTGGTCTGAGAGAGGCAAGCACATTTCTGGGGGAAGGTGTTTCAACTCTGTCCTTGTTTCCTCATCCCAGGAAAAAAATAATGTAATTTATTAGGTTAGTCTTGCAAATGATCCCCTGGCGATATTTCCAGATTCCATCAGCACTGTGCTAGGGCCATGGTGCACTTGCCAGGATGAGGGTGGGTGTGGAGAAGTGGAGTAAAGCCATTGTGCCCCCTGGGGCCAGCTGGTCGGGTATCATGAAAGTCATAAAGAAAAGTCAGAACTTCATACATTAGAAAAGAAAGCATTGGGAAAAATAAGGCTTTTGAGGAAAGGTGTGGCAAGATACAATAATATCTAAGAAACGCCGGTGTGGTATTGGGGATCTGGACTGATTGGATAAAAGACAAGAAACAGAGTGGTTAGTTTGGTGTTGCAGGAGTGATGAAGGGAGGGCCCGGCCCAAGGGGATGGCAGAGGGGAGGGAAGTGCGTAGAAAGAAAAATTGTATGGAATAAAGTCATGGCAATGGATTGAATGGAGGAGGGGTTTATGATAGAGCCACAGAGGAGCTCCAAGTTGCATTTCTGCATGACTAGGGGAATAGTGATGCCAGCGAACAATGGAATTTTGATTAAGGGGGGAGTAGGAATCAGAGTGAGGGGAAAAAGCTGACTCAGGATTCTAGAGGTGTTTGGTCTGTGTGGGTACACCCTGATGGTGCCTCCTCTTCAAACTTCCCTTCCACAGAAAGTCCAATACTCTCCCCATGGGCTTTTAGCTTCCTTCACACATATTCCCTTCCTCACTCCTTTTCTATCAATCAAAGCCCCTGAGCTGATGTTTCCCTAGGAAGATGATAATGGAGACCACTTAGATTTGATAAGAGAAAGTTGAAGATGGAGTGTGCTCTGTGACATTTGCCTATGGACAGCCACCACAGCCTGGACTTAGGTTCTCTCCCTGTCAGAGAAGCTGAGCCAGCCACAGGGATAGGGCAGCACAGCTGCCAGGTCCACCATTCCTACTCAGCCTCCTCCTGAAGGCCAAGCAACCTCCATCCTGGGAGCTGTCTCAGGAGCAGGACTTCTTCTTATCACCCATATCCTACTCCATGGTGAGTCATCACCAGCACAGCCATACCCAGTCACGGGAGTGCAGCAGCCTTCACTCAGATCTAAGCCCCGAGAAGAGGTGTGTTAACAGCTGTGGCACATGGACCACATTTATCTTTTCGGATGCTGCCTCCTTCTTGCCCTCAATTGTCCTGTCTGTTTATTTTAATTCCAGGAGGTTTTGTTTCATGCCATAATAGTATCAAAATAAAATATTGGTAATAATAAAAATAACCACTTTTTACGGAGCACCTTCTTTGTGCTAGGAATGTGCTAAATGTTTTGCTTGTACATTTTCCTTCAGTCTTCACAGCAACTTTCTGAGGGAAATAACAGCTTTTATTTTCCCCATTTTATAGATGAGCGGTCAGAGAGATATGAAAGTACAGTGAACTTACTCAAAGTTACAAAATTAATAATTAGCAGAACCGAGAATTGAACCAAAGCCTTAACCATTGAGCCTCTCAGTCACTAAGTATCTGTTTTTTGGAAGTTTCTTCATAGTAAACATCTTCCTTCATCTAAACTCTTCTTTTTAAACTATGTTTCACTGCTTGGCCTTGTGAGGTGACAGTTTTGGGGACTAGTATTCTCAAACTCTCTAACATCCAGTTTCATCATCTGAAGATCATGGCCTTTGCCACAATGTTCTATCCATAATCAGCTGCCATCTACAGTGGATGTGGTATCAAAATCAAGGACAGGACATTAATCTGTCTATTGTGACACTCTCAAGTGTGCACATGACTGGCAATTTGCTTCTAAGATCACTCGATTGCAGTGATAGCCACTAAGAAGCTACCCCCTAAAGAACAATAAACCCAGTTCTGAGTGAACCGAAGTAAGCCTTGACATCACAAGCAATGTTGAGGACTTTGCCCAGAAGATGATGGAGAAACAGATCATGGGGGGCAGGTTTTGGGGTGCACTGATTGCTCTTTCAAAGGAAGCAATACTTGAGAATTGGGGAGCTCCTTTGGGAAAGAGTAGCTTGTAAGTTCAGTATACCACAAAGTGGCTTTTGAAATAATTTAAGTGATAAGTAGATGGACCTCTTTCAATATGTGTGTGTGTGTGTGTGTGTGTGTGTGTGTGTATATATATAAATATATATTTATATTATATATATTATATATATATTTATATTTATATTATATATATTATATATATATTTATATTATATATATATTATATATATTATATATGTAATACATATTATACATATAATATATATAATATATATATATATTTTTTTGAGACTGAGTCTCGCCCTGTCAGCAGGCTGGAGTGCAGTGGCGTGATCTTGGCTCACTGCAACCTCCGCCTCCTGGGTTCAAGCGGTTCTCCTGCCTCAGCCTCCCGAGTAGCTGGGACTGCAGGTGCACGCCACCATGTCCAGCTAATTTTTGTATTTTTAGTAGAGACGGGGTTTCACCATGTTTGCTAGGATGGTCTCGATCTCTTGGCCTTGGCCTCCCAAAGTGTTGGGATTACAGGCATGAGCCACTGCACCTGGTCCAATATTTTCATTTTTATATACATTTTTCTTTTATAGATATATGACTCTAAGAAGACTAAAATACATAGCCTCTGTATTTTTATTAAATCAACTAAAATATACTAAACAAATAATAGCTGTATTGGTACTTGAATATGTCAAAAACTTGAAGAAAATGCTCAGAAGTCTGGAGTTTTAATTATGTATGGGTAGAAACAGCTCAAAAGGAGGATCTTTGTCCTTTTTTATTTTCTTTTTGGTATTTTCTACATGCCACCACATTTTTCTTCCTAATCCAACAGGTTTTGAAGATAGTACTCTGAATACAGAGACTCTAATAAGTTGTGTCAATTCAACATATGTTTCCTCAAGAAAATTTACATAAGTTCTTGCTAAAACCAAGGTCTTAGTCAACTACTACCATAATAATGCTTTGTTACAAACCACCCAAAACTCAATGGTTAGAGGAACAAGCATTTATTCTTTTTTTTTTTTTTTTTTTTTTTTTGAGACAGAGTTTTGCTGTTGTTGCCCAGGCTGGAGTGCAATGGTGCAATCTCGGCTTACCACAACCTCCGCCTCCCAGGTTCAAGCGATTCTCCTGCCTCAGCCTCCCGAGTAGCTGGGATTACAGGCATGTGTCATCACACCTGGCTAATTTTGTATTTTTAGTAGAGACGGGGTTTCTCCATGTTGGTCAGGCTGGTCTCGAACTGCTGACCTCAGGTGATCCGCCCGCCTCGGCCTCCCAAAGTGTTGGGATTACAGGCATGAGCCACCGTGCCCAGCAAGCATTTATTCTTATGTTTAAATGTCTCACTTGGAACAATGAGAAACAAAAGAATGGGACAAGCTGTGTGGTCTCCCTCTTAGCAAATGTACCAGTTACTTATTACTCCATAATAAACAACCCCTTATTTGGTGGCTTAAAAAAAATTGGCTCTCCATTCTATGGATTGGCAAATTAGGAAGAGCTGAAGTATCCTCTGTGCTCATTTGCATCTTTGGTTTCACATAGCAGGCCATTTCAGGGCTACCTAGTCCAGGATGGTCTCACACACATGGTTCTTGGTTGGCTGGGGCTGTTGGCCAAGGTGCCTCAGATCTCCTCCATGAGGCCCCTCTAGCAGGCTAGCTTGGGCTAGTTCCCATGGCAACTAGATTCTAAGAGAGCAAGAGTAAATGCTGCAAGGATCTGGAGACCTAGGCTTGGAGTTATACAATATCACTTCTGCCATATTCTATTTGTCAATTCAAGTCCCAAGGCCAGCTGAGATTAAAATAAACTCCACCACTTGAGGGGAGGATTTGCAAATAATTTGCAGTCATGTTTAATATGCCACAGGAGAAAGACAGTTTTCCTTTGAAGCAACCTATCATGAACAGATCACTGAACCCGGGAGTTGGAAAACTTGGTTTTCAGTCCTACATCAGTTTTAAAGTAGCTGGGTAATTTTTACCTACTTTTTTTCACCTCAATAAAATCTAGCACTGAAAACCTATGTTTCTAGGTTTCTAGTCTGGTCTCTGTTTCTTTTAAGGGGGACTTTAAGGTCCCAAGTCTTCTAAAGTCTCTTAGGTTTAAGGTCAAAGCATTAGATCAATGTATGGCAACTGATTCTCTCCCCCTTAAAGATGACCATAGATGAAAGAAGGAACTATCTAAACCCACTAAGCCAGTCCTGAAAGTGCTGGCCAAGGAGATTAAGTAGAGGGTCATATAGCAGCTATTGGGACTCTTCCTTAGGAGATACTTGGTATTTTTCCATTGCCTTGGCATGATTTGTTGTTGTTGTTGTTTTGTTTTGTTTGTCCCTTCTTCTATTCTGCTGCCTAGAAGGAAGATGTTTCCTTCTAGGAAGATAAGGATGACAGGAATGAGGTTCACACTTGGGGGAACTGTTAACCTCTTGAGCTAGAAGGAACCCAGCATCTGGGTGCTGTGGACGTTGTGGAGAAAAGTGGCCATGTCGGCTCTAGACTGCATCTCTACAAACTTTTACATGTGAGAAAATTACTATTTTCTTTAGGCTACTGTAGTTTCTTTCTATTACTTAAGACTAACTTTAATCCTACTAATAGATAAATATTAATACCTAAGATAAATGAGGTTTGACCATGTCTACCTATTCAGTGTTGTTAGATACAGATGACCATGTTGCGAACTGCACAATTTTAAGGATTGACAATTACATGAACTAAAACGTGCATGGTTTTCTATAGGGTTGAGCCACACAACAACCTTGTACCTAACAACTAGTATGATGTGGAAAGAGGAAGTTGATCTCATACTAACGTGTTGTTCCTATACTTCTTGTTGGTTCACTCAGAGACCTCAATATTCTTGCTCAAGTTGTTCAACTTGTGTTTTTTCTCTTTTCTTTCTTTTATACACAGGGTCTCGCTCTGTCACCCAGGGTGGAGTGCAGTGGTGCAATCTTGACTCACTGCAGCCTCAACCTCCCAGCTGTATGACCTTGAATTGAACACCTCTTTTTGAGATGGGGTCTCACCCTGTGACTCAGGCTGCAGTGCAGTGGCATGATCACAGCTCACTGCATCCTCTCCCGGGCTCAAGCAATCCTTCACCTCAGCCCCACCAAGCAACTGAGACTACAGGTACACACCACCACACCCGGCTAAATTTTTGTTTACTTTGTAGAGATAAGGTCTCACTATGTTGCCCAGGCTGATCTTGAACTCCTTGGCTCAAGTGATCCACCTACCTCAGCTTCACAAAGTGCTGAGATTACAGGTATGAGCCCCTGCACCTGGCCACTTTTATAAGTCTATAACTGTTGGAATCCTCCCAAGAAAATAGAAACAGCTCTAGGTATTTCAGAGAAAACTTAATACATCTAACTAGATACATAGGTAATAGAAGAATTGAGAAGTTAAATGGGTGGGGGAGAGAAAATGAGGCAGTCCTAAAATTATCAACAGAAGAAAACTACCACAAATCTTTAGTTTAGAGGAACAAAGAGGAGAAGGGGTGTTACCAGAGTCTGGGAGTTGTAGCACGTGCAGAAGATGGACCATTCTGGACCTTCTCAGCAAGCTGGGATCTTAGAAGAAAGAACTATTTGGTGGGAGATGGAGCCACTGTGGACATATGCCTGCCCTTGGAGGTGCCCCCTGAGGCAGAGAGAGAAAACAAGAAACATCCTGGTTTCATCTCTGCTTCCACCCTCTTCCCCTTGGCTGAATCTTTGCAGAAGTCAGAAAGAAAAGAGCCTGGGGAAACAGTTCCTCGTGATACAGAGCAGAACAGAGGAAGCCAGGAAACTGACCTGCAAACAGGCAAATGACTGGCACAGAGTATTTGTAGGAGTATTTGATTTGTGCGTAAAGGCACTGGGAACACGCAGTACTGCTTCATAGCCCAAGTTACCACGGGTGGCTCAAAGCTGAGCAGAAAATGCTCTTTTATGCAGAACTCCTCAGTATCTTGAAAATTAGATGTTTTTATTATCTGGAAACAGCATCCTTGAAATAGACATTGCTATTCTTATGATAGTCTGCAACAGCAGTAATAAAGGTAAGCCTCCTTCAAATACCTCTGTAGATAACAGACATTAACTCAGAGAAATAAGAGCAAAAGAAAAATAACACAGTGGATGCTGCATAGTAACCACAGCTGACTGGATGATTTATTTCCTGTGAAAACCTACCCCTCAGGGAATTCCAAAAACACTTGAAGTGAACTTTTTGGGAGAGGCAAGAACAGGATATTTGAGGTGCTGATGTTCATATGACATCATGTGTATCCCCAGATGAATGGATCAGGCATCATTTGAATTCTATGAATATTTACTTCAAGAGTGTAGTCTTTATTAATAAGCAAGCTTGGTCTATGGTTTTTCTTTTTAAAATGTCATTTTTATAGCCTGGGCAACATAACGAGATCTCATCTCTATGAAAAATTTTAAAAATTAGTCCTAGCTACTCAAAAGGCTGAGGCTGAGGTGGGAGGATAACTTGAGCACAAGAGTTCAAGGCTGCAGTGAGCTATGAAGGCAGTGACTTTGTGACTTGCAGAGTGAGATGACTTCCCCTGGGTTTTCATTTAGCCTCATATATCCCAGTCATGGAGGTGAATAATTCAGAAACCCAGAAATGAAATGGATGCAGACAATAAGAGCCCCAAGGAAAGCCTGCTCTCTCCAGCAAAAGGAGCAGGAAAAGGGCAGCCTACCAAGACAGAAAACATAATAGTCACTCTATTCAAGCCAATTACCACAGAAAAAATGGTGGCTCCTTTCCCATCCATGCCAGCAAAGGCTGACAGGAAAGCCTAGATTTCCACCTTTGAAAGGCATAGTGAGGCATGCAAACAACCTCCCACCACACACACACACACACACACACACACACACACACACACACACACACATGCGCACACACACACACACACGTGGTATCAGAGAAGGCCAAGTAGGGAGCCAGAAATTTCATCCTCACTGGACAATAAAGAGGCCCCCATCCCCTCCTGTCAGAGGTGCTGGTGGAGGGAGAGTCATGACTTTCATCATCAGTCAGTAGTAAGAAGAGCAAATCACCCCCCAGCCATAGTGTCATTGGAGGCCGTGTGGGAGTCACTCCTATCCCTCCAGACAGAAAGTCCTACCCCTTCACACAGAAAGGTATCAATAGACACCAAATGAGGGCTTGAAATCCTAACCTTGCCCAACAATAATGAAGAGTCTTAAACTGGGTTGTCAACAGAGGTCAACTGAGGAAACCGAATTTCTACTCTCACCAAAATGGTGCTCCCTACTGCCACCACTCTGCTGGAGAAGTGCCTGAAAAAGCCAGCTAAAATAGAAGGTTTAAATAAGATCTAGGTCCTCATAACATAGTACAAAGATGCCCAAGTTTCTATGAAAATCACTCATTATACCAACAACCCTGGAGATCTGAAACTGAAAGAAAAAGAAAAAGATAATCAATAGATATTAGCATAGAGGCCAGGCACGGTGGCTCACGCCTGTAATCCCAGCACTTTGGGTGGCCAAGGTGGGTGAATCAGCTGAGGTCAGGAGTTTGAGACCAGCCGGGGCAACATGGTGAAACCTCATCTCTACTAAAAATATAAAAATTAGCCGCTCTTGGTGGTGTGCACCTGTAATCCCAGCTACTCGGGAGGTGGAGGTAGGAGAATCGCTTGAACTTGGGAGGTAGAGGTTGCAGTGAGCTGAGATCACACCATTGCACTCCAGCCTGGGCAACAAGAGAGAAACTCCATCTCAAAAAAAAAATATATATATATATATATATCTGTATATATTTTAGCATAGGGATGATAGAAATGTTAGAATTCTGTGATAATGATTTTAAAGCAATCATAATACAATTGGTTAAATGAGCTGAAACAAATAAAAGAAAAGGAGTTTCAGCAAAGAAACAGAGGATGTAAAGAAGAGACAAACAAATTTTGGAACTCAAAAATGCAAAATTAGAACCCCAAAATAAATAAATAGCCCAAATTTAAAACTCAGTGGATGGACTCAACAGGGAACAGATGGGTAAAAAAAGCAATGTACTAGAAGACAAAACAACATAAATTACCCAGTCTGAATAACAGAGAGAAAAGGGACTGGGAAAAATTTGAACAGAGCCTCAGAGATCTGTGAGACTATAATAAAAGATCTAGACTGGGCACGATGGCTCACACCTGTAATCCCGCACTTTGGGAGGCCGAGGTGGGTGGATCATGAGGTCAGTAGATTGAGACCATCCTGGTCAACATGGTGAAACCCCCATCTCTACTAAAATAAAAAAAAATTAGCCAGATGTGGTGGCACACACCTGTAGTCCCAGCTACTTGGGAGGCTGAGGCAGGGGAATCGCATGAACCCGGGATGCAGAGGTTTCAGTGAGCCAAGATTGGGCTACTGCACTCCATCCTGGCCACAGAGTGAGACTCCGTCTCAAAAAATATATATAAATAAATAAAGATCTAACGTACATTTCATCAGAAAAAGGAGGGCTAAAAATGTGCTCAAATAAACGATAACTGAAAACTTCCCAAATTTGGCAAGAGACAAACACCTACAGATTCAAGAAGCTGAGCAAATCCCAAACAAGATCAACCCAAAAAAATCCACACTGAGACGCATCATAGTTAAACTTCTGAAAACTAGACACACAGAAAGATATTAAAAGCATCAAGAAAAAAATAAAGTCTATATTGGAAAAACAATTCAAAGGACAGTGGATTTCTCATCAGAAACCATGGAGGCCAAAAGGAAGTGACATAATGTTTTCCAAGTGCTGAGAAAAGACGACTGCAGCCCAGAATCCTATACTTAGAAAAAATATACTTCAGGAATGAAGAGGAAGTCAAGACATCTCAGATGAAGGAAAACTAAGAGAAGTTACCATTAGCAGAACCATCCTAAATGAATGACTGAAGAAAGTTCTCTAAACAGGAGTGAAATTACAAAAGAAAGAAGGAAACTTGGGGCCGGGCACAGTGGCTCATGCCTGTAATCCCAGCACTCTGAGAGGCTGGGATGGGCAGATCACCTGAGGTCAGGAGTTCAAGACCACCCTGGCCAACACGGTGAAACTCCATCTCTACTAAAAATACAAAAATTAGCCAGGTGTGGTGTTGCATGCCTGTAATCCCAGCTACTCGGGAGGCTGAGGCAGGAGAATCGCTTGAACCCAGGAGGCAGAGATTGCAGTGAGCTGAGATTGTGTCATTGTACCCCAGCCTGCGCAAAAAGAGTGAAACTCTGTCTTAAGGAAAAAAGACAAAAAAAAAAAAAAAAGGAAACTTGGAACATCAGAAAAAAACATAGTAAACCAGTATATAGGTAAATACAATAGACCTTCCTTTTTGTGAAGACTTTGAAATTGTGTTTGATGATTGAAGCAAAAATGAGACTATATCTGATATAAATGTAGAGAAAGACCATTACATTATAATTATGGGAGAAAATAAGATGACTATGATTAATTATGTACATGTAACATAATACTAAAGTAACCACTAAATTTATTAGGGCAAGGGCCAGGCATGGGGCTCACACCTGTAATCCCAGCACTTTGAGAGGCCAAGGTGGGTGGATTACTTGAGGTCAGGAGTTTGAGTCCATCCTGGCCAACATGGTGAAACCCTGTCTCTACTAAAAATACAAAATTAGCCAGGCATGGTGGTGTGTGCCTGTAATTCCAGCTGCTTGGGAGGCTGAGGCAGGAGAATCACATGAACCTGGGAGGCAGAGGTTGCAGTGAGCTGAGATCACACCACTACACTCCAGCCTGGGAGACACAGCAAGACTCTGTGTCCAAAAAAAAAAAATATATATATATATATATATATGCATGTGTGTATATATATATATGCAAGAAATACACCCAAAAAGACTACAAATAAATCAAAATAGTTTGAAAAATGTTCAAGTAGCCCACAGAAAGCCATGAAAAAATAGAGAAATAAAAGAGAGAATAAACATAAAACAAAAAATTAAATAAATGTTACACTTTAATGCACCAATAATTACATTAAATGTAAGTAGTCTGATAAACCAAGTTAAAGACAGAGACTGGCAGAGTAGGTTACATCCCCCCTTATATGCTCTCTACAAAAAATTCACTTAAAATATAATGATATAGACAGCTTAAAAGTAAAATATTGGAAAATGGTATATCATGCAAACATTAATCAAAAGAAAGGAGGGGACCAGGCGTGGTGGCTCACGCCTGTAATCCCAGCACTTTGGAAGGCGGAGGCAGGTGGATCACGAGGTCAGGAGATTGAGACCATCCTGGCTAACAGGGTGAAATCCCATCTCTACTAAAAATACAATAAAAATTAGCCGGGCGTGGTGGCGGGTGCCTGTAGTCCCAGCTACTCGGGAGGCTGAGGCAGGAGAATGGCGTGAACCTGGGAGGCAGAGCTTACAGTGAGCTGAGACCACGCCACTGCACTCCAGCCTGGGTGACAGTGCAAGACTCCATCTCAAAAAAAAAAAAAAAAAGAGAAAAAAGAAAGGAGTAGTTTTATTAATACCATGTGTAATAGACTTCACAGCAAAGAAAATCATCAGAGACAGAGATATTATATAAGATTAATCCACCAAAAAGACATAGCAATCCTAAAATTGTGTGCACCAAACAACAGAACTGAAAAATATGTGAAACAAAAACTGATAGAATGGGAGGAGAAATAGATAAAGTCACACTTACAGTTGGAGATTTTAACACCCCTTCTCAACAAATTATAAACTATGTAGACAAAAAATCCTCAAGGATATAAAAGAACTCAGTGTTCTAATTAACACGTATAGCACACTTCACCTAACAGCAGAATAGACATTCTCTTCATGCCCACAAAACATGTACCAAAGTAGACGATATCTTTTTTTAAAACTCAAAAATTTTAAGAGAATTGAAATCATACAGGGTGTGTTCTCCGGTTAGTGGAAATCAAAGAGCAGAAAGATAACAGGAAAGTTTCTGAACACTTGTAAACTAAGCAACAGACCTCTTAATAATCTGTGGGTCAAAAAGGAAGTCTCAAGGGATTTTTTCAATACAGTGAATTGAATGAAAATGAAAACACAACAATCAAAATTTGTGCCACACAGAAGGATTGAGAGGGAAACTTACAGTGCCAAATGCACACATTAGAAAAGAAGAATAGTCTCAGATCAACAATGTAAGTTCCCACTTTCAGAACCGAGTCAGAGGCTGCCTGCAGTGACTCACGCCTGTAATCCCAGTACTTTGTGGGGCTGAGGTGGGCAGATCACTTGAGGTCAGGAGTTTGAGACCAGCCTGGCCAACATGCCGAAACCTTGTCTCTACAAAATATAGAAAATTTAGTTGGGTGTGGTGGCACATGCCTGTAGTCCTAGCTACTTGGGAGGCTGAGGCAGGAGAATCACTTGAACCCAGGAGTTGGAGGTTCCCGTGAGCCAAGATCACACCACTGTGCTCCAGCCTGGGCCACAGAACGAGACTCTGTCTCAAAGAAAAAAAAAAAAAAAAGAACTGAACCCAGCCAGAAAGGAATGAAATGAACCCAAAACAATCAGAAAGAAGAAAATAATAAATATAAAGAATAGAAATCAATACAATTAAAAAACAGAAGAGAAAACTAATGAAAAAGAGCTGGATCTTTAAAAAGATAATGATTAAAACTGACAAATCTCTGGCAAGACTGACAAAATGAGAGAGTGAGAAAGAGAAGACACAAATTACCACATCATCAATATCAGAAATGAAACAGGGGATAACACTATAGTCCCTGCAAACATCAAAATTTCATGAACAATTCTACATGCATAATTTGACAACCTAGATAAAAATCAAATGATTTATTAAAAAAATACAAACTCTTACAATGCATTTAAGATAAAGTAGGTAATTTGAATAGCCTTAAAAGGAAATTTAACTTGTAATTTAAGAGCTCCCAAATGAGATATTGCCAGCCCCTAGTGATTTTATGGGAAAAACTAATAAACATTTACAGAAGAATTAACACCAATTCTATATACAATCTCTTCCAGAAAATATGAGAGGAAGAAATACTTTCCAATTCATTTTATGAAGCCATTTTCACCCTAATGCCAAAACCAGACCAAAAAAACACACAAAAAACCCTGCAGACCAATAATCCTCATATAGCTGAAAATTTCATAATAAAATATTATCAAATAGAATTCAGTAATATGTAAACATTATTCTCCATGGCCAAGTAGGATTTATTCTAGGAATGCAACATAGGTTTAACATTTGAAAATCAATCAATGTAATCTACCATATTAATGGGGTAAAGAAGAAAAATCATATAATCGTATCAGTTAATTCAGAAAAAATCATTAGACAAAATTCAACACCTATCCATAACAACTCTCAGAAAAATAGGAATAGATTTGACACAGTGCATCTACAAAAATCCCATAGCTGGCTAGGTACAGTGGCTCATGCATGTAATCCCAGCACTTTGGGAGGCTGAGGCAGGTGGATCACCTGAGGTCAGGAGTTTGAGACCAGCCTGACCCATACGGTGAAACTCTACTAAAAATACAAAAATTAACCTGGCATGGTGGCATGTGCCTGTAGTCCCGGCTACTCAAGAGGCTGAGACAGGAGACTTGACTGGACCCAGGAGGTGGAGATTGCAGTGAGCCAAGACCGCACCACTGCACTCCAGCCTGGGCTCCGTCTCAAAAAAAAAAAAAAAAAAAAAAATCCCATAGCTAACGTGATATGTGATAAGGGACTGAATGTTTCCCCCATAAGATCAGAAACAAGGTAAGCATGCCTAATCCACTCCAATCACTCTTATTAAATGTAGTGCTAGAAGCTGTAATAACTACAACAAAGTAAGAAAAAGAAATAGAGGGAATACAGATAAGAAAAAAAGAATTAAAATGGTTTCTGTTTGAAGATAACATGATTGCCTACATAGAAAATTCCAAAGAATATACAAAAAAAGTTTAGAACTCAAATGTGAGTTAATTAAGGTCACAGGATACAAGATAAACATACAAAAAACAGTTGTGTTTTTATTTGCTAGCCATGAACACGTAGACATTCAAATTAAAAATATAATAACGTTTACAGTCACTCAAAAAATACTTAGCAAACAAAGCGTGTAATAGTCAAGGTTCTTCAAAGAAGTAGACCCAACAGGATGTGTATATATATAGTCATGCATTGCCTAACAATGGGGATATGCTGAGAAATGTGACTATGCAGTCTCATCATGTGAACATCATAGAATGCATTTACACAAACCTAGATATTATAGCCTACTATACACGTAGGCTATGTGGTATGGCGTATTGCTCCTCGGCTATAAACCTGTACAGCATCTTACTGTACTGAACGGTGTAGGCAATTGTAACACAATGGTAAGTAGATATATATCTAAACATGGAAAAGGATTTTTTCAGCTCCATTATAATCTTATGAGACCACTGTTATATATGTGATCTGTCATTGACCAAAACGTCATTGTATGGTGCATGACTGTACATGTATGTAAGATTTTTTGTTGGTATAGACAAAGTTATTCTATAATTTATATGAAAAAGAAAAAGAATATATAAAACAATTTTGAAAAATAAGAATGAAGTAGGAGAAATCCATTTACCTGGTATCAGCAGTGATTACGTAGTTACAGTAATTAACAATGGTAGTGCTGGAGGGACATAGAGATCAGTGAAATAGAACAGAAGTCAGAACCCGTAAATCGGCCCACATAAACATATCAAGCTGATTTTTAATGAAGTGCAAAAGCAATTCATTGGAAGAAATCCTTTTCAACAAATGTTGCTAAAACAACTGGACATTCATAGGCAAATAAATGAGCCTTGACCTCAGTCTCCCATCTTATATGGAAAATAACCCCAAATAGATCATGGACTTAAGTGTAAAACATAAAAATATAAAATTGAGAGGAAAAAGCATAGGAGAAAATCTTTGCAACATAGGGCTAGACAAAGATTTCTGAGACTTGACACCAAAAGCACAATCCACAAAAGAAGAATAAGTAGGACTTCATCAAAATTAGCAATTTTGCTCTGCAATCAACCATGATAAGAGGATTAAAAGATAGACTACAGACTGGGGGAAAATATTTGCAATCATGAATCTGACAAAAGACTGGTATCTAAAATATATAAAAATGTTCCACAACTCAACATTAAAAAAACAAAAAATTCAATTTGAAATGGGCAATAGACATGAAGAGATATTTCATCAAAGATAATATAAATATGACAAGTAAGCTCATTGAAAAATGTTTAAAATTATTAACCATTAGGAAAATGCACTTTATATGGCAGTGAGATATCACTGCATATCTATCAGAATGGCTAAAATAAATTATGACAACCAAATACTAGAGAGTATGTGGAAAAACTGGATCACTCATATATTGGTGGTGAAACTGTAAGTAAAATGGTATAGTTTTGTAGAGACATAAAATGTTATATTCACATAAAATCTCTACGCAAATGTTTACGGTAACTTTATTCATAATAAACAATCCGGTCACATTCTGATGTCCTTCAATGAGTGAATGGTTAAACAAACTGTAGTAATTTATACCATGGAATATTACTCAGCAGTAAAAAGCAGTAAACTTTTTTTAAACTTTTATTTTAAGTTCAGGAGTAAATGTGCAGGTTTGTTATATAGGTAAACTTGTGTCATGAAGGTGTGTTCTACAAATTATTTCATCACTGAAGTATTAAACCTAGTACCCATTCGTTATTTTTCCAAATCCTCTCCTTTCTCCCACCCTCTACCCTCTGATAGGCCCCAGTGTGTGTTGTTCTCTCTATGTGTCCATGTGTTCTCATCACTTAGCTACCACTTATAAGTGAGAACGTGCATTATTTGGTTTTCTGTTCCTGCATTAATTTGCTAAGGATAATAGCCACCAGCTGCATACATGTTCCCGCAAAGGACATGATATCATTCTTTTTCATGGCTGCATAGTATTCCATGGTGTATATGTACCACATTTTCTTTATCCAGTCTATCATTGATTGGCATTTAGCTTGATTCCATGACTTTGCTATTGTGCATAGTGTTGTAATGAACATTCGTGTGCATGTGTCTTTAAAATAGAATGATTTATATTCCTTTGGGTATATAATCAGGAAAGGGATTGCCGGGTGAATGGCATTTCTGTTCTTAGGTCTTTAAGGAATTACCAATTACTGTCTTCCACAATGGATGAACTAATTTACACTCCCACCAACAATGTATAAGCATTTCTTTTTCTCTGCAACCTTGCCAGCCTGTTATTTTTTGACTTTTTAACAGTAGCCATTCTGACTGACGTGAGATGGTATCTCATTTTGGTTTTAATTTGCATTTCTCTAATGATCAGTGATATTGAGCTTTTTGTCATTTGATTCTTGGCCGCATGTATGTCTTCTTTTGAAAAATGTCTGTTCGTGTCCTTTGCCCACTTTTTTATGGGGCTGTTTTTTTTTTGTAAATTTGTTTACAAGTTCCTATAGATAATGCTAGATATTAGACCTTTGTCAGATGCATAGTTTGCAAAAACTTTTTCCCATTCTATGGGTTCTCTGTTCACTCTGTTGATAGTTTCCCTTGCTGTGTAGAAGCTCTTTAGTTTAATTAGATCCCATTTGTCAATTTTTACTTTTGTTGCAATTGCTTTTCGTGTCTTTGACATGAAATCTTTGCTCATTTATATCTCCTGAATGGTATTGTCTATGTTGCCTTCCAGGGTTTTTATAGTTTTGAGTTTTACATTTATGTCTTTAATCTATCTTGAGTTAATTTTGTATATGGCATAAGGAACTGGTTCAGTTTCAATCTTCTGCATATTGCTAGCCAGTTATCTCAGCACCATTTATTGAATAGGGAATCCTTTCCGTATTGCTTGTTATGGTCATATTTGTTGAAGATCAGATGGCTGTAGGTGTGCAGCCTTATTTCTGGCCTTCCTATTCTGTTCTGTTGATCTATGTGTCTGTTTTTGTACCATTGCCATGCTGTTCTGGTTATTGTAGCCCTGTAGTATACTTTGAAGTCAGGTAGTGTGATGCCTCCAGCTTTGTTCTTTTGGCTTAGCAGTGCCTTGGTGATTCAGCTCTTTTTTGGTTCCCTATGAATTTTAAAATAGTTTTTCCAGTTTTGTGAAGAATCTCAATGGTAGTTTAATAGGAATAGCCCTGAATCTATAAATTGTTTTGGGTAGTATGGCCATTTTCATGATATTGATTATTCCTATCCATGAGCATGGAATGATTTTTCATTTGTTTGTATCATCTCTGGCTTCTTTGAGCAGTGTTTTGTAGCTCTCCTTGTAGAGACCTTTCACTTCCCTGGTTAGCTGTAGTCCTAAGCATTTTATTCTTTTTGTGATAGTTGTAAATGGGATTGTGGTCCTGATTTGGCTCTCAGATTGACTGTTATTGGTGGAAAGGAATGTTAGTGAATTTTGCACATTGATTTTGCATCCTGAGGCTTTGCTGAAGTTGTTTATCAGCTCAAGAAACTTTTGGAGTGGGACTATAGGCTTTTCTAGATATAGAATCATGTCGTCAACAAATAGAGATAGTTTGACTTCCTGTCTTCCTATTTGGATGCTCTTCACTTCTTTCTCTTGCCTGATTGTTCTCCTGGTCAGGACATCCAATACTATGTTGAATAAGAGTGGTGAGAGAGGACATTCTTTTCTTGTGATGGTTTTCAAGGTGACTGCTTCCAGCTTTTGCCCATGCAGTAGGATGTTGGCTGTGGGTTTTCCATAGATGACTCTTATTATTTTGAAGTATGTTCCTTCAATGTCTATTTTATGGAGAGTTTCTAACATGAAGGGATGTTGAATTGTATCAAAAGCCTTTTCTGCCTTTATTGAGATAATCATGTGTTTTTTGTCTTTAGTTCTGTTTATGTGATGAATCACATTTATTGATTTGCATATGTTGAACCAACCTTGTATCCCAGGGATAAAGCCAACTTGATCATGGTGAATAAGTTTTTGATGTGCTGCTGGGTTTCATTTGCCAGTATTTTGTTGAGGATTTTTTGCATTGATGTTCATCAAGAATATTGGCCTGAAGTTTTCTTTTTTTGGTTGTGCCTCTTCTAGGTTTTGGTATCAGGATGATGCTAGCCTTGTAGATGAGTTAGGGAGGAGTCCCTCCTCCTCAATTTTTTGAAATTGTTTCAACAAGAATGGTACCAGCTCTTTTTTGTATATCTGGTAGAATTCGGCTGTGAATCTGTCTGGTCCTGGGCTTTTTTGTTTGTTTGTTTGTTTGTTTTGTTAGTAGGCTATTTATTACTGACTCATTTTCAGAGCTCATCATTGGTCTGTTCAGGGATTCTATTTCTTCCTGGTTCAGTCTTAGGAGGGTGTATGTCTCCAGGAATTTATCCATTTCTTCTAGATTTTCTAGTTTATGTGCATAACGGTGTTCATAATATTATCTGATGGTGTTTGTATTTCTGTGGGGTCAGTGTAATATCCCCTTTGTCATTTCTAATTGAGTTTATTTGAATCTTCTCTTTTTTCTTCCTTATTAGTCTAGCTAGTGGTCTATTTTATTAATTTTTTCAAAAAAACAGCTCCTGGTCAATCTCCTTCAGTTCAGCTCTGATTTTGGTTATTTCTTGTCTTCTGGTAGCTTTGAGATTTGTTTGCTCTTGGTTCTCTAGTGCTTTTAGTTGTGATGTTAGGTTGTTAACTTGAAATCTTTCTAACTTTTTGATGTGGGCATTTAGTGCTATAAATTTCCCTCTTAACACTTCCTTAGCTGTGTTTCAGAGATTCTGATATGTTGTATCTTTGTTCTCATTAGTTTCAGAGAACTTCTTGATTTCTGCCTTAATTTCATTATTTACCCAAAAGTCATTCAGAAGCAAGTTATTCAATTTCCAAGTAATTGTATGGTTTTGAGGGAATTTCTTAGTCTTGATTTCTAATTTGATTGCACTGTGGTCAAAGAAATTGTTTTTTATGAATTCAGTTATTTTGTATTTGCTGAGGAGTGTTTTACTTCCAATTATGTGATCAATTTTATAGTATGTGCCATGTGATGATGAGAAGAATATATATCCTGTTGCTTTTGGATGGAGAGTTCTGTAGATACCTATCAGGTCCATTTGATCCAGTGCTGCGTTCAGGTCCTAAATATCTTTGTCAATTTTCTGTCTCTATGAGCTGTCTGATATTGTCAATATGTTAGACAACAGGGTGTTAAAATCTCCCTCTACTATTGTGTGAGTCTAAGTCTCTCTTTGTAGGTCTCTAAGAACTCGCTTTATGAATCTGGATGCTCCTGTATTGGGTGCGTATATGTTTAAGAAAGATAGCTTTTCCTGTTGACTTGAACCCTTTACCATTATATAATGTCCTTCTTTGTCTTTTTTTGTTTTTGTTGGTTTAAAGTCTGTTTTGTCAGAAACAAGGATTGCAATCCCTGTTTTTTTCTGTTTTCCATTGTCTTGGTAGACTTTTCTCCATCCCTTTATTTTGAGCCTATGTATGTCATTGCATGTAAAATGGGTCTCTTGAAGACAGCATACCAATGGGTCATAGTTCTTTTATCCAGCTTCCAGTCTTTTAATTAGGGTATTTAGCCCATTTACTTTTAAGGTTAATGTTGATATGTATGAATTTGATCCTTCCATCATGATGTTAGTTGATTATTTTGCTGACTTGTTTATGTGGTTGCTTTATAGTGTCACTGGTCTGTGTACTTCATTGTGTTTTGTAGGGGCTGGCAACAGTCTTTCCTTTCCATATTTAGTGCTTCCTTCAGGAGCTCTTGTAAGTCACATCTGTTGGTAACAAATTCCCTCAGCATTTGCTTGTCTGGAAAGGATCTTATTTCTCTGCTTATGAAGCTTAGTTTAGCCAGATATGACATTCTGGTTTGGAATTTCTTGCCCCCAATCTCCTCTGGCTTGTAAAGTTTCTGCTGAGAGGTTCACTGTTTTGTTTTGTTTTGTTTTTGAGATGGAGTCTTGCTCTGTTGCCCAGGCTGGAGTGCAGTGGTGCAATCTCGGCTCACTGCAGCCTCTGCCCCCCCAGGTTCCAGTGATTCTCCTGCCTCAGCCTCTTGGGTAGCTAGGATTACAGGTGCACACCACCATGCCCAGCTAAATTTTATATTTTTAGTAGAGATGGGGTTTTGCCATGTTGGCCAGGCTGCTCTTGAACTCCGGACCTCAGGTAATCCACCTGCCTTGGCCTCCCAAAGTGCTGGGATTACAGGCATGAGCCACCGCACCCAGCCAAGAGGTCCACTGTTAGTCTGATGGGATTCACTTTGTAGGTGACCTGACCTTTCTCTATAGCTGCCTTTAACATTTTGACCTTGGAGAATCTGATGATTACACGTCTTGGGGATGTTCTTCTTGAGTAGCATCTTACTGGAGTTTTCTGCATTTCCTGAATTTGAATGTTGGCCTCTCTAGCTAGGTTGGAGAAGTTCTCAAGGATTATATCCTGAAATACATTGTCTAAGTTGGTTCCATTCTCCCCAGTGTCTTTCAGGGACAATGATGAGTTACTCAATCTCTTTACGTAATCTTATATTTCTCAGAGGTTTTGTTCATTCCTTTTCATTCTTTTTTCTCCATTTTTGTCTGACTATCTTATTTCAGAAAGCCAGTCTTCAAGTTCTGAGATTCTTTCTTCCACATGGTCTATTCTTCTACTAATACTTGTGATTACATTATGAAATTCTCATAGTGTGTTTTTCAGCTCTATCAGCTTAGTTATATTCTTTTCTATACTGGCTATTTTGTCTGTCAGCTCCTGCATTGTTTTATCATGGTTTTCAGCTTCCTTGAATTGGGTTTCAACATATTCTTGTATCTCAATGATCTTCATTTCTATCCATATTCTGAATTCTATTTCTGTCATTTCATCCATGGCAGCCCAGTTCAGAATGCTTGCTGGAGAGGTGATGTGGTCATTTGGAGGAAAGAAGGGACTGCAGTTTTTCTTTTATTTTTATTCAAGTTTTGAGTGTTCTTCCATCAGGTTTTTTTTCTCATCTTTGTGGGCTTATCTACCTTCAATCTTTGAGGTTGTTGACCTTTGGATTTTTTTTTTTTTAAAACCTATTTGATGACCTTGAGGGTCTGATTGTGGTATAAGGTGGGTTCAGTGAACTAGCTTCATTTCTGAAGGATTTTAGGAAGCCAATGCTTAGCTCCAACTCCTATACTGTGTTCTCTAACTGGAGGACTTGCATTAGGCCCCAGTTTTGTTCTCTGGCTCTTTGAGGCATGGCATGCAGTGTGCTGGTGGTGGGGGTAGTGCAGTGAGGTGCAGCAGCTGTGGCAGAGTGCTAGTGGGTGCCAAGTGCCTGCCTCCTTGCAGTTGTTCACCACAGTGACAGAGGCAATGCAGCTGGGGTGGGGGACAGTGGGGTGAGGCACCCTGCTGGACACTGTGTATAGTTGCACTGGAGGTAGTGTTGGGTCTGGTGTGGGGTGTTGGCTGGTGCAGGGTGCCTTCTCTATGCCCCACAAGCAGGAGTGATTGTTCAGGGTGGAGGAGGATGTGCTGTTCTCTGCACAGTGTTAGTTCGGGGCCAGGCACTGGCAGGGGTGGGGCTTCTGACTCTGTGCCCACCAAGGTTCCATCTGCAATGGCAGCCTGCAAAGGGAAGTAGAGCAGACTGCTCTCCCCTCCACTGACAGGGCAAAGAAAACAAACCCCTTCCACTCATGTTGGCATGTGCCAGCAAAGTGATGTGGGGAGTTGCTATGTGCCTGGAGGAAGCTTCAGTATGGGAGGGAATGGTAGGCTTGTGTGTGGCCATGGAGCCACCCAGCTGGAGCTGTCCACTGATGAGGCACAGTCCACCAGCACAGAAGCTATTGTGGTGGGCCCCCAGGGCACTGGAGATTGCCCTGCAAGAAGGTGTGGCCTGGCTAGGGCCCTAGGAGAGGCCAGTAGACCAAGGGGTGTTCAGGTTGGACCAGCCTGGTCTGATGGGCAAGACCATCCTGAAAGATCAGGTCCGACAGTTCCCCTAGGGTTAAAGTCTCCTATGGGAGCAAGTCAGGCCTGGGGGATGGCCATCCCTGGAGGTGCACCACTGCAGACACTCCCACATCAAACCCTCAGGCTCCACATCAGCTGGCTTGCTGCCTGTACCGCTTCTCTAAGTAGTGCTCCCTGCCAACTCGAGTGTCCATGGTGGTTGAGGAGTCTCCTCCTGCCAGGTTCCAGAGGCCTGTGGTGAAATCAGGTGGTCAGAGGCCCTGGCACTATATTTGCCAAAAGGTGATCCACACTATGTACTCTTTCTCCCATTTTTTACTTGGCAATTGAAGTCTGCTGCAGATGCATCTCATTAGCAAAGCTCTGGTAAAAGCCTGTGCGACTGCAAGGGAGTCTGGGAGAGCATGGTCTGATTTCTATCTTGGAGAAGAGGGATTTATAATATGGGAAATTCTCCAAACATAGAAAGACATTCAAAAGATACTTTTGAGTTACAAACACAACAAATGTCCACTACAGATAGAATACCATGTTTTGTAACTAAGAGACTATATTTGCTTTTTGAAGATCTAAAGACAATTTTCAAGTTCTGCTGGATAGAATAGGTAGGAGGGAGAAGGGAGTATGTTTCTTTGATAAATTATCCACTTTCTCCTTCAGTTCTTGGTGTTCTCTATTTCTTGATTCAATATTAATATATTGTATTTTTATAGAAACACATACATTTCACTTATTTAATTTTAGTAGCATATAACTGTGCCTAACCCTTCTTAGTTTTAATATTGTTCTCCATTGCTATATATCCTCTCTATTTCTAATTTTATTTTATTTTGTATTTCCTTTTTATTACAAAATATGTTTATTATAGCAAAATTGAAAATCATAAAAGCACACAGAAGAAAAAATCATTTTTACTTTAGTAAAAATAGCTGTAATACACCTAGTAATAGCTGTAATAAACAGCCCATTAGCCATTCCACCCATACCCCATTGTAAAACAGACATGAGGTTTAGATGGGATTCACTCTACCATTATATCTGGGATGGATCATATTTGACCTGAGCAAACCAGAGTGATTTTATTCCCCTGCCCAATGTGATTAGTTCAGGTAGAGTCATAGTTAAACCATTCAGTGTCTGGCACTCCTTGTCATAGTGATTGGTTCAGGAGTGGGCACATGACCTATGTCGGTCTAGTTTTAAAGAAGCCCAAGACATATGTTTGTTAGGATAAGACCACCATCCAGGCCTGACTAGCACAAGGGAGAAAACTTTTAGCTCCAGAGCTGCTTGAAACCTAACTGAAAATACATCTTATACTCAGGAGATGGAGTTAAAAAAAATTGTCTTAGTCCATACTGTGTTGTTGTAACAGAATATCTGAGACCGGGTACTTTATAAAGAAAAGAGGTTTATTTTGCTCATGGTTCTGCAGGCTGGAAAGCTCAAGGGGCATGGCACTGCTATCCATTCTGCTTTTGGTGAGGTCTTTATGCTGCCTCACAATATGGTGGAAAATCAAAAGGGAAGCAAATATGTGCAAAGAGGCAAAATCAAGGAGAGCCCTGGCTTTATAACAACCCATTCTCAGAGAACTAATCAATTCTCAAAAAAACTAGTCCATGCTCAGCAGAGCAAAAACTCACTCACTATCATAAGAACAGCACCAAGTTATTAATGAGGGATCCATCCCCATGACCCACACACTTCTCATTAGGCTCCACCTCCCAACACCACCACATTGGGGATCAGATTTTGGCATGAGTTTTGGTAGAGACAAACCCTACTGAAGCCGTAGGCTGAAACTATGTCTTCATCCCATTATTAGACTCTCTAGCATCGTAATCTCAGAGGTCTAGACCCAGGTTGTTGCTTTTACTTCTTAGTTGAACAAGATAAGATTTATACAGATTTATCATTTGACAAAGCAAAATGTGTATTTTGGCTCTAAACCTACTCTAGATCTACTTGTGTGGCTGTCTTAGTAAGGGGTCTCTATGATAATTCTCTTTTGGGGACCTGGAGTCTCCCTAGCAAATCCTATTTTGAAATAAAATTTTCTTACTTTGCTTTCCAGATTGTCCTCTAAATTTTCTAAAGCCTGTGGTCCATAAATATAGAACTGGCGGATGTAACTTGATTTTATTACAGCAGTCTGGGTTTTGGTGCCAATGCTATGTTGAAATGTAAGAGTGTTATTGGATTTGTACTATCTATATTTAAAAGACTGGTGGGTTACTTGAGCCTGGAATGCCTAACAACTTCTGAGAAGGGTCAGAACCACACTCTGTTCACTCAAAAAAGAGATGACCCAGAAGCTGGCTGGCTGTGAATGTCTAAAGCTACATGACATACACCCTGTCCTGGCTTCTACTGTGGAACCTACGGAAACCCACTTAAAACTGTTGTGCCTCCACTGACTAAACCTGAGGACAGCCAGTTGCCTTGAAGGCCTCCAGGCTGTCAGGAGAAGCCCCCCCTTACCCCCCCGCCACAATTTCTCTCTCAATATTTCCAAACACACTGTGCCTGGGGTAGTGAGAAGCCCTACAGTAATATTGTATACTTTATTTTATTTGAGATCCTCCTCTGTGAGCAGTGGTGGGGCAAAGCTAGCATGCTTCCTTCATACCTAGAGATTCACTCACTTAGGGAAATAATCCATTCTAGTTCCTCTATGTAAGTCAAAAGACAGTCTGTATAAAGTGACCACTGACTCCCATTCTCATATTTATAAATGGCAGGTCTTGTCTTCATTCCTGACAGGCTCTTCTCTTCTGATGTCTCAGTTGTCAGTTCTTCTCAATTGGGTGTGAAAACTCTAATCTCTAGTATGTCTTAAAACCTCTGTGTATTTTGTACCTGTCTCTGACCATGACATGGGATGGGGGAGTTCCACTGCCTCAGGCAATGCACTACCTTCTCTAGGTCTCCACTTCATCTTCTGGCCTAGGGAGTTTTGGGAGTTGCTGTTTCTGAAAAAAGACAGGTATTGGGAGTTGGGTAGGGCCAGGGTGAATGTGTGTTCTGACACCCAGAGGGAGAAAGAGGCAGACAACATACAAGTATACAAATGAATAGTATAATTTCAGGTCAAGATAACTGCTGTGAAGAAAAATAAAGCAGAAAAGGGGGACAGAGAGAAATGGTAGGGTGTAATGAGGTCATTTTTGATAAGGTGATCCAGCATTTGAGCAGAAGGAGTAAAGGAGTTGCCTATGTGAGGATCTGAGGGAACACGTTAAACTTTCCTTTACGTGTGGTGGGATGTCATTGGGCAGATTTTAAAGGCTTGTCCAGGCTCCTGGGGGAGGTGGTGTTAAATGGAATTACTGCAAGATCCAGGCAAGAAATGAAGATATGGATTAAAGTGATAGGAATGAAGGTGGCAAGAAGCAGCTGAAATCAACATATATATATACTTTCCTCAAAGGTAGCACCAGTAGGGCTAGTTGATTAATTCCGTGTGAGATGATAATGCTGAGGTTGATGCCTGAATAGTTGGATGAACGGTGGCGCCATTTTCTGAGGGAAAGACAATTGAGGGAGGAACCATATGTGAGTGGGTACATGTGGAGAGCTTACTTGGTTTTAGATGTTTAAATTAAGGGATGTTTATTAGACTTTGAAGAAAAGATTTTGAGTAAAATTTTAAAAAGTGATTAGAGCTTAAGGGAGAAATCAAGGCCAGGGATAACAACTAGGAAGTTTGAATTGAAATATATTATAATTACAGCCAAGGGACCATAGAAAATCACCCAGGGATGAAGTCAGAGCATGGGCCTCTCTAACATTGGACAGACAGAAGGAAAATCCAAGAAAAGAGATTTTTTTTTTTTATTGTAGATTCAGGAGGTACAGGTTTGTTACATGGATATATTGTGTAATAGTGAGATTTGGGCTTCAAGTGTACCCATCACCCAAATAGTGATCATTGCACCCAACAGGTAAGTTTTCAACTGTCACGCCCTCCCCATCTTTGAAGTCCTCAGTGTCTATTATTTCCATTTTTATGTCCAAAGTATACTCATTGTTTACCTCCCACTTATAAGTGAGAACACATGGTATTTGATTTTCTATTTCTGAGTTATTTCACCTAGGATAATAGCCTCCAGTTCCATATATGTTGCTACAAAAGACACAGTTTCATTATTTTTAATGGCTGCATAGCATTCCATCATATATTTATATATAATGTGTATATCACATTTTCTTTATCCAACGTCTGTAGATGGACACTTGGGTTGATTCCATATCATTGCTATTGTGAATAATGCTGCAATAAACACACAAGTTCAGGTGTCTTTTTGATGTAATAATTTCTTTACCACTAAGGAGATACCCAGTACTGGGATTGCTGGGTCAAATAGTAGTTCTATTTTTAGTTCTTTGAAACATTTCCATATTGTTTTCCATGGAGGCTGTACTAGTTTACATTCCCAACAACAGTATATAAGTGTTCCCTTTTCTCTGCACTTTTGCCAACATCTGTTGTCTTTTGACTTTTTATTAGCCATTCTGACTGGTGTAAGATGGTGTCTCATTGTGGTTGTAAGATGCATTTCTCTGACGATTAGTGGTGTTAAGCCTTTTTTCCTATGTTGGTTGGCTGCTTGTATGTGTTCTTGAGAAACATCTGTTCATATCCTTTGTCCTCTTTTTAATGGTTTTTTTTTTCTAATTGAGTTACTTGAGTTTTTTGTAGATTCTGTTTACTCTGTTGATTATTTCTTTTGCTATGCAGAAGGCTTTTAGTTTAGTTGAAGCTAATTTGTCTATTTTTGATTTTGTTGCATTTGCTTTTGGGGTCTTTATCATAAATTCTTTGCCTAGGCCAACGTCTAGAAGAATTTTTCCTAGATTTCCTTGTAGGATTTTTATAGCTTCAAGTCTTACATTTAAGTCTTTAATCCACCTTGAATTAACTTTGGTATGTGGTGACAGATAGGGGTCCAGTTTCATTCTTCTGCATATGGCGCTCCAATTTTCACAGCACCATTTATCTAATAGGGTGCCCAGGAAAGGAGATTAAGTTAGGGAATGTTAGGACTTTTTTCTCTCCCTCTAGGTGTGTATATTGATTTTTTATTTTTATTTTATTTTTTTTTGAGATGGTGTCTCCCTCTGTCACCCAGACTGGAGTGCAGTGGGGCGATCTCTGCTCACTGCAACCTCTGCCTCCCAGGTTCAAGTGATTCTCCTGCCTCAGCCTCTCGAGTAACTGGGATTACAGGATGCACCACCACACCCAGCTAATTTTTGTATTTTTAGTATAGACGGGCTTCACCATGTTGGCCGGGTTGGTCTCAAACCTGGACCTCAAGTGATCCACCCACCTCAGCCTCCCAAAGCGCTGGGATTTCAGACGTGAGCCACCACGCCCAGCCTGATGTTTTAAAATTGAATATGTCACATTGGGGTACCCATACAGATATATTTATGCGCTAGAATTATTCTGTTTTAAAAATTATATTTTTATCACAAGTTTATCCATTTTCTTCCTCTCATCAAATAACTAGCTTTTAATTTTGTATATAATTATGCCAGTTATTTTCCAGGTTATTAATTCATGCTTTTATATTCCTTCCCTATTTTGCTTTAAATTAATACTTTATTCTGTTCTAGAATTCTACAGTATAATCATTTTTTCATGAATATCTCTTTTTTATTTCTTCTTATTAAAGACCTTTAAATGAGTACATTTTCTTCTAAACACTGTTTTGGCCTACGTCCCAATACATTTTAATATGCAGAGCTGTGTATTATTACTTTAAAATATATTTTATTGCATTCTTAATTTGTTTCCTAAGCCAATTTTTACTTATAAAAAAGTATTTTTAATACTAAAAAAATTAAACAATTTGTTAAGATTCTCATTATTTACTTCTTTTTAAAATATGGTTAAAGCATGTAATGGGCAGAATTTCTGCCATTAAGAAGTTGGTGGTTAATATTTGTAAATATATCCTTATGGCTTATTTAAGATTTTTTTGGTAACAGCTATACACCGATATAGTTTTAATTTTCTCGTCTAAGTTTACAATTTATTGAAGTTGCCTGAGTAACTGGATTGACCAAGTATTCAATATTTTCATTAATTAGTTTTATTATCATCTTGATATTTTCAGTCCCTACCTTTCCCACCCCTAAGAATCACCATTCTTTTTTGAGGTAATCCTGACCAAGAAGAATTGCATCCAAGGTATTAGTACTGCCCATGCAAGGAGTCTGTGATGAGTCCTCTTTTTCCTAAGAGGTTATTTGTGATGACTGGGTGAGCCTCCAGAGTTACTGTTTTCTTACCATGACCTATATATCGACTGATGCAATAGAAATTCTGCCCTCATTTCTGGTTGTAAAAACTCTAGGACTGGATAACAGCTCCACCTTGACCATTGTTGTTCCCTGGGGAGCTTGATTTTGCTCCCTAAACCCTCAGTAGCTGGGTGAAGAGAGGAGTCAACCACAATTATGCATTCCCAGTTACTTCCTGGTGCTGATGCATCCTGCATTGGAGACCTACTACTACTTGGGATCTTCTCAAAACATTGACTTCTGCCAAAAGAAATCGTTGCCACTAGTATCTACCCCTCTTAGAAAGTCATTATATTGCTAAGACCAATTCTGACTTCCTTTTTCTGCCACACGTGAAATATTGAGTTCTAGTATGACTGCTACTTGAACTTGCTAACTTCAGTGATGTGCAACTCAGATCTTTCTCCACAAATGCATTATTTTGTGATTCTTTTTGTGTTATTCCATGTTCTCAGAGAAGCAGATGTCAAAACCAGATTAACCATGCAGGTGCTTATTAGGGGGAAATGTCTGTGAAGGAATATGGAGAAGGAACCAGAGAACATTGGGAAGAGTCATCAAGCCACAAAGCAAGTCTGACCTGGACTGAAGGATGCAGAGAGACAAGGTTAGTGGAAACTTTCTAGACATCCACATTGTCTAAGAAGGTTGGGAAAACCAATGGGGAGTCCTCAAGCGAAAGTTGCAGTCAGAGATAATCCTTGTCTCCAGGAATAGGTTGTGCCTTAAATCCCATGAGAGCAGTATGTAGGTGGCATAGCCTCCCATAGGGATGGATTCCAAAGCTGGCAGCTGGAACTCTCCTCAATTAGCTCCATATACTTGGAGGTTTGCAAAGAGAATTTTGATGGCTGCAACATTCTCCTCCATGTTAAACAATTGTGCATTAATGTTTTAATGATACATTGTTTAATTGAATGTAAAGTTGTTAAGTGTTCTTTTCTATTGTGCCTTTTCATTACATTATATAGTTACCCCTATGCTTAATAATTTATGTGTTGATTTCTACTTTTTTTTTTTTTGAGACAGAATCTCACTCTGTCACCCAGGCTGGAGTGCAGTGGCGCTATCTTGGCTCGCTGCAACCTCCGCCTCCCGGGTTCAAACAATTCTTTAGTAGAGATGGGGTTTCACCATGTTGGCCAGGCTGGTCTCGAACTCCTAGTCTTAACTGATCTGCCCACCTTGGCCTCCCACAAGGCTGGGATTACAGGCCTAAGCCACTATGCCACGCTATGATTTCTACCATTTTGAATATTATGTATACTTTCCCTGTAATTTAGAAATGTCATAGCTCATCTCCAATTTTTAAAATTGTATAAATTGACTTTGTTTTTCAATTTAGAATGATAGTTTTCTGAGAGATGGGTTTTATTTTTGTTTTTGTTTTCCAAAATAGTAATTATGGTTGAAATCCACTCAACGAAATTGTTTTGTCCCCTTCCTATACTTCTTATCCTGTTTTGCTTTAACAATTATGCCTTTTTATACATAGACAATATTTACATGTTCTTCTAAAATGAGTTGAAGATAGCTTTATTTAATTCAATTCCACAAAGTTAACTAATACAAAGATTTTTTACTTCCAGTTCCAAAATGGCAATATAGAAGCAAGATGGTTTCACTTTCCCCTGCAAAAAACTGAAAACAGTTATACAGTGCCAAGATTTTCACCAGCAACAACCCAGAAGTCAAATACGAGAATGAAATAGTTTCCAAGGCCACAGAGAAGTGAAAAAAACTAAGCAGATGGTAAGAGAATCGGACTTACACATCTGCAAAGCTCCTCCCCCACCATTCTGCCCAGCAACAAGTACATGGAAAATCGTCCCCCAACACAATCTACACTTGAAAAAGTATGATTGAGGGAGTTAACCAGCTTCCCCATCATCTTGGGTGCTCTGGCAGGAGACCTTTTCTTGCCTTAACCCAGAGAAAGCATAAAGACTGCCTAAAGGGAGAAATATCCCTAGGGAGAGGCAGAGACAAAGTGTGTAGGCATGACTAACATCCACAGCTGCGGAAATTGATCTATTAGCTAAAGAAGACGCCAAATCAGAGTGGTTGTTCAGCAGCACCATGCTTTAGAAGGTACATTCCACAGGTCCCCTGGGCACAAAGCCCTAGCCAGCCTTGATACCACCTAGATAATCCCTTTGGGATCTCCCCCATTCAGGATAGGCAGTGCTCTGATCATTTACTACAGCTGAGGTGAACCTGGCACCATCTTGAGCTGAAAAAAGGGCAGCAACCTA
The DNA here is from genome assembly GCF_000001405.40 of Homo sapiens. Classification (NCBI taxonomy): domain Eukaryota; kingdom Metazoa; phylum Chordata; class Mammalia; order Primates; family Hominidae; genus Homo; species Homo sapiens. The sequence continues at coordinate 142,993,176 of NC_000007.14, forward strand.
GCAGTAAAGATTCACTAAGCATATATGTCCAATAAAAACCAAAACAAGCTGGACAGAGAAGATTGAAATGAACAATCCTTTAATGCAAACATATAGACATATACCCACAAGAAACAACTGCAAACAGAGAACCATGACCTCCCTAAAAGAACAAAACAAAAATCCAGTGACTGACCCTAATGAGATGGCAATACGTGAGCTCTCTGACCAAGAATTCAAAGTTGCAGTTTTGGGTAGTGAAATAACCTGCATTTTACTCATGTGACAAACCTGCACATGTACCCCCTGAACCTAAAATAAAAGTTGGAAGGAAAATAAATAAATAATAAAACTTAAATCTCACTTTAAAAAGATGTTTTGATCAAAATAATTTTCAATTGTTTAACATAAAGACTAAAATAATCACCTGTAATGACGAGCTAGTGACATTATTCAGTACAAAGATGTTGTTATTAATGAGGAGGAATGTTATAATAGCACGTATCTGAGTTGGCATAGCTATTCATTGCAAAGGTAAAGGAGCATGTGGAAGTATTCTTGGAACCAACCCCAATGCCCATCAATGATAGACTGGATAAAGAAAATGTGGCACATATACACCATGGAATACTATGCAGCCATAAAAAAGAATGAGTTCATGTTCTTTGTAGGGACATGGATGAAGCTGGAAGCCATCATTCTTGGCAAACTAACACAGGAACAGAAAACCAAACATCACATGTTCTCACTCATAAGTGGGAGTTGAATAATGAGAACACATGGACACAGGGAGGGGAACATCATACACTGGAGCCTGTCAGAGGGTGGGGGGCAAGGGGAGGGAGAGCATTAGGACAAATACCTAATGCATGTGTGGCTTAAAAACTAGATGATGGTTTGATAGGTGCAGCAAACCACCATGGCACATATTGTATACCTATGTAACAAACCTGCACGTTCTGGACATGTATCCCAGAACTTGAAGTAAAATTTAAAAAAGAAGTACTCTAGGAGGTCAACTAAGAGAATGTAAATAAAAATTTAAAATTAGACAGCAACCTAGCAGTAAAGATTCAGTAAGCAAATGTATCCATTAAAAACCAAAATAAGCCAAACAGAGAAGATTGGAATAAATAATCCTCCCATGCAAAGATGTGGACATATTTCCACAAGAAACAACTGCAGAGAATCATGACCTCCCCGAAAGGACAAAGCAAAAATCCAGTGACTAACCCTAAGGAGTTCAGTTTAACAGAATCAAGAACAAAAAAAATATAATTATTTCAATAGATGCTGAAAAAGTATTTCATAAAATTCAACATCCCTTCATGATAAAATTTCTCATAAAAATACATATAGAAGGAACATATTTCAAAGCAATAAAGGCCATATATGACAAACTCACAGCTAACATCATACTGAACAGAGAAAAAATTGAAGGCCTCTCCTCTAAGGACTGGAACAAGATAAGGATGCATACTCTCACCACTGTTATTCAATAGAATACTGGAAGTCATGGCCAGAGCAATTAGGCAAGATAAAGAAATAAAGGGCATCCAAATTGGAAAGAAAGAAGTCATATTAGCCTTATTTGCAAATGACATGTCCTTATACCTAGAAAAACCTGAAGACTGTATCCCTCAAAAATAACTGTTAGAACTGATAAATGGGTTCAATAAAGTTGCAGGACACAAAAATCAACATACAAAATTTAGTGGCATTTATATGCACCAGCGTCAAACAATCTGAAAAAAATAATCAAGAAGACGATCCCACTTACAATAGCTACAAAAAATATAAAATACATAAGAATCAATCTAACTAAAGACATGAAAGATCTATACAAGGAAAACTGCAAAACTCTGATGGAAGAAAGTGAAGAGGACATGGAAAATGGAAAGATATTTCATGCTCATGAATTGGAAAAATTAATAATGTTAAAATGACAATATACCAAAAGCATCTTACAGATTCAATGCAATCTCTATCAAAATGTCAGTGACATTCTTCACAAAAAACAGAAAAAAAAATCCTAAATGTATACATAACCACAAAATATCCCAAATAGCCAGCTCAATCCTGAGCAAAAAGAACAAAGCTGGGGGCATTACACCACCTGACTTCAATATTTACTATGAAGCTATAGTAACTGAAACAGCATGGTACTGGCATCAAAGCAGACATATAGACAATGGAACATACTAGAGAACTGAGATATAAACCCATGCATTTATAGCCAACTCATCTTTGACAAAGACACCAAGAACATACACTGAGGAAAGGATAATCTTTTCAATACATGGTGCTGGGATATGCAGAAGAATGAAATTAGACCATTATCCCTCATCACATACACAAATCAAATCAAAATTGATTAAAGACTGAAATCTAAGACCTGAAACTATGAAACTGCTGGAAGAAAACTTTGAGGAAATGTTCTAGCACATTGATCTGGTGAAAGATTTCTTTGTCTAAGATCTCAAAATCACAGACAACCAAAGCAAAAATATGATGAGATTACAGCAAGCTAAAAACCTTCTGCACAGCAAAGGAAACAGTCAACAAAACGAGAAGACAACTCGCAGAATGGGATAAAATATTTGCAAAGTATCTACCTGACAAGTGATTAATAACAGCCAGAATACATAAGGTGCTCGAAGAACTCAATAGCAAAGTAAACAAACAAAAATAATTCAGTTTTAAAATGGGCAAAAGATCTGAACAGACATTTCTCAAAAGAAGACATACAAATGATCAACAGGTATTTGAAAACAATGTTCAACATCACTAATCATCTGAGAAATGCAAATCAAAACCAAAATAAGATATCATCTCATCCCAGCTAAAATGACTTGTATCAAAAAGACAGGCAATAACAGATGCTGGTGAGGATGTCTAGACAGGCGAGCCCTCATCCACTGCTGGTGGGAATGTAAATTATTGCGGCCCCTAAAAAGAATAGCATGGAGGTTCCTCACAAAACTAAAGATAGAACTGCCATGTCATCCAGCAATTTTACTACTAGGTACACATCCAAAACAAAGGAAAGCAATATATTAAACAGAGTGCAGAGTCTCTGCACTCTCATGTTTAATGCAGCACTATTCAAAATAGCCAAAATTTGGAATCAACCTAAGTGTCCATCAACAGATGAATGGATTAAAAAATGTGTTATATGTACACAATGAAATATTATTCAGCCATAAAAAAGAGTAAAATCCTGTCGTTTGCAGCAACATGGGTGGAACTAGATACCATTATGTTCAGTGAAATGAGCCATGCACAGAGAGATACATATTGCATGATCTCACTTATATAAGCTAAAAAAGTAAATCTCATGAAGACAGAGAATAAAATGGTGGTTACCTAGATGCCAGGACGGGTAAGAAGGAGGGAGGGATAAAGGGGAAAATAATAATATAAATGTATTTATTATTATGGTACGTTTAAAACGGTAAAGATTGTAAATTTTATACATATATTGTACCTCAATTTTTTTAAAGTGTAAACAAAATTTCTATTTCTAAACTGGAAAAAAAATGTTGGATTTCTTTCTTTAATGTGAAGTTTTGTACTAGTGGGTTTACGTCTAAATGTTTGTCTCCATTCTCTTTTTTGATCTCATCTAGGGTTTTAAATCCAGCATTATACTAGTCATGACATCAATCCATTAGCTGTCAGGGTTCTCAATGATAGCTTTCAACATGATTTTCCCACTCAGTAAGTTTCTTAGAAAAATAACTTTAAATGTTATTCAGAGATAATAAATGTGGTCAGCAAATCTCTCTCTGGCCTTTGAATCTGTGAGTAATTTTTCTACTTTTTGTTTTGTTTCCAAATAAATGATCACCTAACCAGAAAAAATGGTCTTTGGGGGAGTAGGTTTTCTTCAATAACTTACAAATATTGTCCTCTTCAAGGATTTTATGATATAGGTTCTAAAAGTTGTAGTCATCCTAGGCTAGGCACGGTGGCTCATGCCTGTAATCCCAACACTTTGGGAGGCCGAGGTGGGTGGATCATTTGAGGTCAGGAGTTTGAAACCAGCCTGGTTAATATGGTGAAATCCCATCTCTACTAAAAAAAATACAAAAATTAGCTGGGCATGGTGGCAGGCAATGGTAGTCCCAACTACTCAGGAGAATGAGGTGGGAGACTCGCTTGAACCCGGTAGGCAGAGGTTGGAACGAGCCGAGATCGCGCCACTGCACTCCAGCCTGGGCAACAAGAGCAAAACTCTGTCTCAAAAAGAAAAAAAAAAAAAGAATAAAGGTTGTAGTCTGCAATATTTTGAATATTATCAGTTTATTTTTAGATTCACGTATCATCATTACATTGCATTGAAATAAAAGGTGGAAGCAAGTAACTGTGTTGGCTTGTTTACCAGTTTTTTTTTTTCTATTATTGGTCAGTATGTTTCTGGATGTGAACGTCTGATACCCAACCCGAACTAATTTAGTCAAGAAGATAATTTTTTTCCTATGTAACCACAAGAAAGGAAGAGGAGCAGTGGTATAGCTGGACTATTTTGCCCTCAACTCCTTATCATAGCTTCTTTCTAACACTGGCTCCATTATCTCTTCTGCAACCTGGCTTCCTCCACGTGGGTGCTCTAGGAATGCACCTTTGAGTCCCAATATCAACAAAGGAATGACACTCCTTCTCCTCCAAGTCCAGTTTGGCATATGCTGAGGGAGAGCTGTGATTGGTCTTGCTTGAGTCAGGTAGACACCAACACCACCTCTTATCACTGGGGTGAAGTGGTGTCTAAATGGTTGGCCCAGTTTGAGTTATGTGTGCACCTTCAGGCCTATCATCACTTGTGGTCAGGTGCATAGACTGGGAAGGAAAATCACATATTCTTAAGCCAAATGTTTGCAAAGGTGAAAGGAGCATTTCCCAAGGGAAAAAGTTGCTCCCTCAGAGAAAGGAGGAAGGCATTCTAGGCAGATAAAACAATTCCTATTCATTATAATAACTTTTAATCATTTGACACCACCTATTCAGAAATTCTCTTTATATCCAAGACAGATTATTATACACCATTCTCAAGTTTTGTCATTTTTAATGCTTTATTTTAATCCAATTATAGTTTGGGTTTGATTTCCTAGTCTATCCCATCAATTAACTTTTCAAGGTTAACAACAATAATCTTCTTTATAGACACTTTAAAAATAACTTTACAAAATCAAGAACTACAGCTATGCATAAAGTAATGTGAACATTTCTGGCCCGTTGTCCATTCACCCCATATCTTCAGCCAAGTGATATAACAGGTCAATGGGTATCTTTCTAACCCTTTTCCTAATCATATCCTAAGACACACAGACACACACACACACACACACAGAAATGTTTTTAAACAAAATATATGATACCTTGTATGGTATTCTATAGCTTTCTTTTTATTTATTTTAAAGTAGTCAATTTTATATATCAATATATATAGTATTCCCCACTTCTATTTAATGGTTACGTAGTAAGTATTCCATTTAATAAATACAACAGAATTTATTTAATCAGTTCCCTTTCCTTAGACACTTAAGCTGCTTCCAGTTGCATTCTTTTATTTTATTTATTTTTATTTTTTTGAGACAAAGTCTTACTTAGTTGTTCAAGCTGGAGTGCAGTGGTGTGATCACACTTCACTGAAACCTTGACCTCCCAGGGTCGATCCTCCCACCTCAGCCTCCTGAGTAGCTGGGACTACAGGTGCCCGCCACCAAGCCCAGCCAATTTTTAAAATTATTTGTAGAGATGAGGTCTTCCTATGTTGTCCAGGCTGGCTTTAAACTCCTGAGCATAAGCATTCCTTCCGCCTCGGCCTCCCAAACTGCTGGAATTATAGGCGTGAGCCACTGCACCCAGCCAAGTTGAATTATTTTAAAGCAAAAGATATATATGTTTCCAACAAGGGATATATGTGTTTCCAACAAGGGTGTATGTGTCCTTTTGTACATATCTCCGCACCCTCGCATCCTCGTGTAAGTACATTTAGAAAAACAATTCCTGGAAATGGATAGCTGGGTCAAAGAGTATGCCAGCAATAGTCCTAATCACTCTGTTAAATGGTTAATCATTATGTTACCACCTCTTTTATTCTAACCTGTCCTAGATTAATGACTGCTACAATTCCTCTCATTTATTTGCTAAAACATATTACCCATTCTTTAAATTTTGACTGTGATTGTTGGAGTCATTCCACTGTAGAAAAGTTAGAAGTTTCTCCTGAGCTCTTATAAAGTTGTTTTCTTGTACAAGAATAATTTTCCTGACTCCCTTTTTGCATATCTACTGCCAATTTTTGATACTGATGTTTTCATTTGTGTTCAATAGAAAAAGAAATCTCTGACCAATTACTCTGGCATTTGGTGATATCTTCAGTTAAGCATTTAAAAATATACTCCAAAACACCACCAACCTGAAATGTGTTATTCCATTTTCCAGAGACTCTAAGTTTTAGACTTAATCATCAAAAGTTTTTATATTTTATTTAAATGTTAGGCATGAAAATCAGTCTTAATAGATTCTATTGAGCATACCTGAATGTCTTCTTGGTTTCTCAAGACGATCATTAGGATGCCACTGTCATATATACATGATCTCAGAGAAGGTTTGCTCCTGCACTAAATGAACAAAAATGTCTTAAGTCCTTTGGTCAGCTTTGTACAGTTGGTTTTTAATTTCTCTCAACATGTCTCTTGATTGAGAGCTAACACACTGCTTGTTGTTTTCAGTAGACCTGTCTTTTCTTATCTCCTTTCTATGAGTAAATCATTTTATCAAGCTTATTTCCAATAAATAAACAAACAGATAAAAGGGACTCTAACAGACTTCCTGTGAGTAAAGTGGCTAAGCTTTATGTGGTTCATGGACTTTGTAACATTTATTTTGTCTGCTTGCTGGTTTATTTTGCTATTTTCTGATTCCTAGCTATGTTCTAGAAAGACTACATAGTTGAGTTTTGGATTAATAAGATATATATGTTAATTATAACACTTAGAGAATCAGGATCATATAGTACCCCAAATACAGATGTTTTTAAAAGTGCCAGAATATCAAAAGAAGATATAACTATATTCAAATATTAAAGCATCAAAGCATAATATACTTCCATGGTTCAAAATTTTAAAGGATACTTTGAAACACTTTTCTATCTGATCCTCCTCCCTCAAGGCAACCAATGTTATCACTTTCTTCTGTGTCTTTACAGAGGTAATTTTAAGCATATACGTCTGCATAAGCAAATGCATACAAGCACATTTTCTTTTTGTACAAATGGTAGTATATCGAACATATGTCCTATGCAGTACAGATCATTGTATATTTATACATAAGACATTCTTGGTTCTTGTTTCCTTTTTTAATAACTCCAGATTATTCCACCAAATGGAATACATACATTATTTCCCTGTACACAATATCTAAATGACAATTTCTAGAAGAGGAATTGCTAGGCCAAAGCGTAAAAGCATTTGTCACTTTAATATATATTACATAATTGCCCTTCATGCAGGCTATTACATTTTACACTACCTATTTTCACGCAGTGTACTATAAAACTTTTTGACATTTGCCAGTTTAATAACTGAAAATAGTATCTTAATATGGCTTTAATTTTTATTGTTCTCCTTATGAATGAAGATGAAAATATTCTCACATGTGCTTATCTTTTGCCCATTTTTCTGCTGAGTAGTTTTATTTTTTTCTTATAGGAGCTTTTTACACATGATGCAAACTAACCTTTTGTGATATGAGTTGAAATTGTTTTCTGGTGTTTTCGTGTGTCTGTTTACCTTGGGGTAGTATTAACCATAGCAAATTTTTAAAAAATTCTTCATAAAGTCAATCTTCTATGACATCTGTGTTTTAAGTCATCCTAAGAAAGGTCTTACCCATTTTTATAAACATTCTTTTATTTCTTATGTTAAATCTATGTTTTTTTTTTACATTTAAATATTTGACCCATTTTAAACAGCCTGGTATGACATAGGCAGTAATGGAATTAACTTTTGTTTTTTAGGTAGCTGCTAGTTTGTTTGACCATTTATTGAATAATTCATTTTTTCCCAATGATAGTACTGTTTACATTATAGCTATATAGTCTGTTTTACAGATGTAGTTATTCCTCATTATGCTTCTATTTCAGAATGTTTTTGAAAATTTTTTGCTTGTTTATTTTTCCATAATAAAAAGTTTAATCTAAGCTGGGCACGATGGCTCACATGTGTAATCCCAGCTATTCAGGCGGCTGAGGTGGGAGGATCACTTGAGTCCAGCAGTTCAAGTCTGTAGTGAGCTATGATCATGCCACTACACTCCAGCCTGGCTGACAGAGCAAGACTCTGTCTCTAAAAATATAAATGAATGAAATAATGCATGAATAAAATGTAATCTGCTTCTCTAGATTTAAAAAATACTATTGATTTTTAAATTGTGATTGTATCATTTTTATGGATACACTTAGAGGAGAATTGATATCTTTGTATTGTTTACTCCACCTTTCCATTTGCTCAAATCTACTTTTGTGTCTTTCAGGAGCATTTTTTTAAATGTCAATCTAGTTTAAATGTAAATCTTTACTTGTTAAGCTTATTCCTAATAATGTTATATTTCTTTGCTTTTGCTTTTGTAAATGAGGTTCTTTCCTTCCATTATATTTTCTAACTTAATGTGTTTTATATGTGAAGTCTTTTGACTCTCAATATAAATTTTGTGCCCAGCCACATTGGTTTTTTACTTTATTTTGTTGAGATTTCCAGATAAACAAATTATTTAAAATTCATGTTAATCTTTTTTTCTCCTCCTTTTTAACATCTTGGCCCTGCATTTTTTTTCTCTTGTCTAATTGCATAGGCTAACATGCCAGAAATTTTAATTAGTTTACATAGAGATGCAGTACATAAATTTAAATTGAAGATCTGTCATTACATAAGACAAAGGGTATGTGTGTTATTATTTATTTTAGATTGGTCCATCCTCTCACCAGGAGCTCAGGCAGCTGTTAAACTCTGGAAAGAGGGCCTAAAAAAGATAGGGGTATGGATAATGGAAGCCCTGCATAAATTCTAAGCAAAGTGGCAGAAAGCACTTTCTAACCCACCATCCTGCCTCGAGGGAGGGCAAAGACTGATGTTAATGTCTTTGCTGACCTCTTCTGGCAAATCTGAAGTTAGCCAGAAGATGGAAGATTTGATTGGTTATTTTTTTCACTTCGATTTCATATGATCACAAAGTCCCTGGGTTTGCCTGATTCGCCTGTTTGAAAAGATTTTTCAATATCCCAGAAGTTGTTTTTAAAGTCCACACTTTCTTTAACCTCTCAGTATTCTTCTTTTCTTCCTCCTCTTTTATAAAATATTCAAAGCTTTATCTCCCTTCCTTCTCTCACATTTTTGGCTGTTCAAATATCTCTTATCCACCATTATCTTCCCCAATTGACTTTATTTCTGAGCTCCAAATTCATGCAGTCCTTGGAAACAGGGCAAATAAATGGGAAGTCAGTTTGCATGTGAAAACTGATCAGCTTGGCTGGAACAGTTTCAGTGGACAGTGGCAAGGAGAATCCAACTTGCTGCGGATTAAAAAAAAATGCATGGGAAGTATGGAAATAATAACAGTGGGTATGTACTTGTATTTCAAAAGCTTTGCAGGAAAGGAGATATAAGATTGGATGGTAACGTAATGGTTAAACAAGGATAAGAAAAGGGCATTCGTTCATTCATTCACTCATTGTTTAGGGTGTGCAGTGGCCCTGCAAATGCCCCTCTCACATCTCTAACGACAGGGAGCATAGCTGACTGGCAGCCCTAGCTGCTATGCTCCAAAATCCTTCTCATGTCTTAGTTAGGTCATGCTTCCCACAGACTGCTCCTAGCTAATGACTGTGGCTGGCAGGGAGCCACTCAGGTAAGCAATGTAAACTCAAGAAGAACTCGGTGCACTTGTTGGACTTTGTTAGAGCTGCACTGCAATCGCAGACTCTTCCACTCAGTCTTCCCACCTTGACTCTCTCCTTCATAATGCTCACGCCCCCATCACTATCTGATGGCTCTCGCTGCCTTCCCAATGCCAGGCTTCTTCCTTCTTCTCCCTCTGTATTTTCCCAAAGAAATTGCTCAGACTTCTGATCCTGCTGGGTGTCTCCTTCTTGGAAGACTCAGCCTACCACAGAGTGGAATAGCCTGGAGCAGGTTTGTAGGGTAAGAGTAGAGGTGAGAAAAGAGTGCTTTACTTCCCATTTCTCAATTGCAGATTTCTTCCCAAATTTTCTAGTCTTTGTCTGTCTGCCAGACTGGTGTGCTGCTGTCTTGCTACACCTTCCCGTCTTTGCATTTTCCTGATGTGACCCTTTACCTTGTCCCAATTCTGAACTTTCTATCTAGCTTTCAACCTAGGTAGACCAAAGGCATCTGAGCAACATCGGTGTACTCCGAGGAAGGCAGCCATCTTCTCCTAGGGTTTTGTTTCGGCTGCTGAAATATTGCCCTCTTGTGGTTGCCTCTATAATGACATATGAAAATTAACATTTTCATATGTCATAGAATTTCAAGGCCACAAGAAATAGGCATTTAGTACCAAAATAATTTAAAGAAGTGCCAGACACAGATCTGTAAGACATTAAAAATGCCATGACAATCCATTGGCCTTTGTTTCACCAGCAACCCATGCTATAAAGAAAAAGAGTGTTTACTAGAGGGAGGAAATTCACGGGAGTAGAGTTTTATAGCTCCTTCTCCCACATGCCCTAGGCAAGGAAAGGCCGTCTCCAAGAGGCTTAGGTCCTTTACTTATCCTATAGAAGTTAGGTCTGTTTCTTAGCCACTTCCTGGTTGAACACAAAGTCCCAGAAGACCCACCCTGGTGCCCCTAGGGGAGTGACATGGTGAGAGAAACTCAGGAAGCAATGTAGCCAAACCCAGGTTCAGCTGCTCACTGCTCAAAAGCCCAGCATGAGACACGAATTGGTGGGAGGAAAAGCATGTTCATTCGGAGAGCCAGCAAACCGAGACGATGATGGAATTGCATCTTAAAGTACCATCTTAAGTCGGTACAAATTGTACCCTTTTTATGTTAATGCTGGAGGAGGAGGAGGGGGTTGGGATGGAGAGGTGACCAATGACCTCAGACATCCGGGCACCAGCGAGGGTCTGAGGAGGCGGGGAACTTTCTTGTCTTCGGTCAGGTCATGATGCTCCTATAAATCTTTAACAAAACTTCATGCAATTGTTTACATAAGTCTCCTTTAATCCCAGAGTTAGTTTTTAAAACTACATGATTGCCGTTTTTGCGTAATATCTCAGTGCTCTAAAATTATCCTAGCCTACATGCAGGCATGGGTAAAGGTCCCTGAAACAAAAATGGAGTTAGTTATGTTAGTTCTCTTGCTGTTTCACTGTTACAGCAATGAACACCTACCTTCAGAGTCTGAGAGAGCAAAGAGTCCTCTTGCCTTATTAGTGGGAAGTTATGATAGCAAGCTGGTATTCCTATCATTGATAGGGCAAAAGGGGCCACGTGGATGCCATGGGAATGATGAACCTTGGTGAAGGTTCCTGGCCCAAAAGTGGTACCTCCTCAAATGAGACCCCAGCACTGAGAGGCTGTAAGTTTAACAAGCACAGGAATTGAAGGGGATCACAAGGCAATGTGAAATGCAGGTGTTCCTACAAGGTATCTAAAGAATCCACAAATGCACCCAGTAAGAAAGATACCGTTTGGATGCTTGCCCCGCAAAAGGGCATCAGCAGCTAGGGATGGGACAAACAGCTCCAGGCAAGTGAAGAGACATCATCCCCTTCCCCTTGACCTCCTCTTCCCTGTCTTAATACCATAGGATCCAGGCAAAGATGGGGGATTGGAGTAGATGAGTAAGGAGGAGTGAAAAGAGCAAACCATTTCTGCTCTCCACCTGCAGGTCTCTAAATAGCCAGTCAGCTCTGATCAGTGGAAAAGAAGTTCTTTAAATTGGATTCAATATTGAAGTTCTAATATAGATTGAAAAGCACAGTTTAACACCTGATAATGGGTCTTCATGAACACTATGAAGGCATTTTTAAGCAAAGCAAGGAAAATTACAGGATCTGCCCTAAATGTGACAGGGGAAGGACAGGGAGATCTGATGGAGCCTGTTGGAGGCAAAGAGAGAGGGAAAAATAAGGTTTTGTCCTATTTCTATCCCATTGAATTTAGCACATTTAATAAATCGACTACACACACCTTAAAACGTCCTTACATAATACAGGATGAATGAAAAGGTTCTGCCAATGAAGTGAATTGAAGTATTGTCAGGGCCCTTTAAGGGAACCCTATATCTTATTCCTAGTTCATGTCACTCCTCTTTAGGGACAAGGATCTTCCAGTGCCTGGGGCTTCTCTAATTTTGTGGACGTCAAATTGTGTAACCCTTATAACCCTTACAGATTCCTGTATTCCCTAAGGCCACTCTTAAGGAGCTCATACAGGGAACAGACAGATTTCTTCTTCTCTTGATCTCAAAAAGCATTGCTCGTGATCGTTTTTGATACTTCAAGACTGCCATATTCTTTCGGATCTGGCCAATGCTGTGTACGTTCAGGAGCATGAAAAGCATATTGTTGCATTTCAACATCACATATAATTTTAAAACTAGTTAGTTACAATAAATTAATGGTTGCTTGGCAACCAAAGAGCTGAGGTTTTGAAAGGAAGTACTCTATTACTGTTCAAATTAGAACAGCAAGACTTGTTGAAATATTCTGAGTTCTGTTGAATTCCTTATGATGGAACCAAACCCAGGGAAAAACAAGGGAACACTCACATTTTACAGCTCAGTTAATTTTAGGAGAGTAGAGAGGAAGTAAATTGCATCTCATCTCCTAGCTTGGGTTGGAACTGCCCAATTTAAGAACAAGTACTAATTAGCTGAAAGTAAAGCTCAGCTGTGACTTGGCTAAAAATGGGACCTCTTGCAAAAATGTACTTAAAACTGCGTGTGATAGATCTGATTCACTTTGCATGTGAAAACTGGACTCATACTGACAAAACAACGTGTGGGGGAAAGAGTTTGGGAGCATTTTTAAGACTTCAAGATGTTTGTTAGAGAAATGACCATCTAGTTTGCCCATAATGTAACCAGAAATAAAATCCAAACTGACATTTTGGCCCAGAGTCTTGATGAGTATCTCTAGCCAACATTCACTTGGTTGGCTAATGGTCAATCTAATAACCAAGAAATAGAACTGGATATCAGAACAACAGTTTTGATAAAATAAAGGAAAGGAAGACAGGCTGGATAATTCGGAGCTTTCTAACAGGGTTTTGGAAATGTGCATAAAGTTTTGGAGAAAATTTAACCAATCGTTTTGAAGCCTTCCATTAGTAGCAACTCAAAACTATTCAAAAGACTGAATGGTGAATTAACTCATTTTATTTTGAAACTCCTCTGTGCTTAGCTTTTGACTGAATTTAAATTTCTGTTGGAGCAAGCTAAGTTGTTTTAATTTTGATGTTCAAGTCAATTAACCTCTTATTGTGACTTTTTGCCTTAGTTATACAAATAAAATTTTATATAATGTTGGAGACTCAATCATTTTGATGCTGACATTTCTTAATCCTACACATGGTCACATACCCTGGAAAGATATACAAGGCTCTGAAAACACAGCTGCCACGGGGAAGTGAGATTGGATGGCTGGGAAAGAGATTGCTTTTCATGTTATTTGTTTTCACGTGGTCCTATACTTGTGTACTTTTTGAACTTTATGCCATATGAATTTATTAATAATTTGACAAATCAATTTAAAACCAACTTTAAAATCAAATTTCAAATGCATGTGGTTCAAAGAAAAGCACCATGATAGAATTGAAAGAACAGGATCTGGAATTAGGGACCTGAATTTGAATCTCCTCTTGGCGTTTGTGTAGTTAGGAGAACTCGGGCAAGTTACCTGACATCTCTGAATCCCTGTTTTCCTTATCCTTAACGTGGGACAGAGTATTTAATTTACATGGTTTGGTGAGGACAAGGCAGGTAATATCTCTCTGACAGACCTACTTCATGGCATGTGCTCCATGGACTGGTTATATTATTGGTAGCATTCAATATATTCAGTAAAAACAGTATAATGTGTGCCTTCTGTAATCCCCAAGGAGACAGTAAATGTGTTGGTAACATCCCAGTTAAATGCGTACCTGAGAACAGGATTTTCCCAGACATAGCAACATGGGTTTACAGTTTTAACCATTTCACCAACCTCTGCCCCAGGCTCTTCTGGAGGGAATCAACACAGCATTGAATCCCTTTCAATTAACCTTTCTTCTTAAGATCATAGTTCTATCAAACTTTTAAAAATTAGTTAAATTGGCCAGGAGCGGTGGCTCACGCCAGTAATCCCAGCACTTTGGGAGGCCGAGGCGGGTGGATGACCTGAGGTCAGGAGTTCGAGACCAGCCTGGCCAACATGGCGAAACCCCATCTCTACTAAAATAAAAAAAATTAACAGGGCCTATTGGCAGTTGCCTGTAATCCCAGCTACTCAGAAGTCGGAGGCAGGAGAATAGCTTAAACCCGGGAGGCGGAGGTTGCAGTGAGCCAAGATCGCGCCACTGCACTCCAGCCTGAGCAACGAGAGCGAAACTTCGTCTCAAAAAAAAAAAATAGTTAAATTGTGTTTCCCTATTCATGGAAATCATTCTGCTATTATTCTCAGTGAGTGTCTTGGTTCGTGGGTCTCCCTCAAACCATTTTTTAAAATTTGATTTGCTTCAGAATGTCTCTTATTTTTGTTTCAAGTTTTCAAAAAATTGTCCCCGATATTTTCGATCTTTTGTGTTTTTTACTCTCCCCCTCACTCTGGCAATAAGCACAGGCTCTGCCCCCTTTCTCCCTTCATCCTCCGGGGAACAGGCTTTGCAGTCGGAGGCCTGAGCGCCCCGGTACCTCCGCTGCACTACGTAGAGCTGCCACCAGGTGGAGCTGAATCCACACCTCTGAGACCGCACACGCCTCTGACACTTGGCATCGTGGCCTCTCTGGGTCCTGATTCTTTGGAAGGTAGGCGGTAACAACAAACTGTTAATAAAAATTAATTAACTTGGAAAATGAGAAAAATACAATGATAGCAGAAACTATCTCAAGCAAAAATCATTTCATATAATCTCGTCGCTGTAATTAGCAGCATCCACGGAAGACGGTGGCTTCCTCTCATATAGATCCAGTTTAATACCCCAGGCTCAGCCCATTAGTCTCTCCTTCACCTCATTCGTTCTGCAGTGTGTTCCTCTGAGCGCCTCATAGTCACACATCTGCAGGCAGTGCACAATGCCTTTTGCACACGGTCGAGGTCCTTGAACTGAGTACTTTGTGCATGCTATTGGCCTGGAGATTACACAGGCTGCAGAACATGGCTGGCTTGGGAAAGGCAGCACACGGTGGCTACCAAACTCCTTCAGCGGCAGAATTCCCCTAACAAATTGTGAGAATCCCCCACTTGACGCTAAAAGTTATTAAATGGATCCTTTTTATCCCTTCGTTGAGAAAATTCATGCAATACAAAAATTGCAAAATCAGCAATACTCTTCAATGGGTGGGCATTTTCTTTGTAAGAGCATCAGCTGCATACGCTTGAATGTAGCCAGTATTATTTAGTCAGCGCATTGGCAGTGGTTTGTGAGCACCTCACAATAGTGGCTGGGAAACCTCAGGGTAGCTCTTTGGCATCAGCTAGAACCAAGTTGAAATACAATTTCTGTCACTTTCAAGATGTTTCTTAACCTCTGTGGCCCTCACGCTCTTCACCTGTAAAGTGGAGATAATAACCTTTTCTTAGCAAGGCTATTGTATTATAAATAATGTGTGTGATGGATGAAACTGGAGGTCATTATCTTAAGTGAAACAACCAAGACACAGAAAGACAAATACTGCATGTTCTCATTTATAATTGGGAGTTAAATGATGTGCTCACAGAGTGTGGAATAATAGACAATGAAAACTCAGAAGAGTGGGGAGGAAAAGAAGGATGGATGATGGGAAATTACTTAATAGGTACAATAAACATTACTTGAGAGATGGATACCCTAAAAGCCCTAACTACTATGCAATCTATGCATTTAACAAAATTATCTCCTAAATTTAATACAATTTTTTAAAAAAAGCAATAATGTATGCAATGTCTTCATCATGACGGCTGGAAGTATGTTGTCAGTAATGGTAGTCATTATTGCTAAAAGCTAAGTTTCACTCCTAAGCAGCTTTGCTGTTTCTGTGGTATTTAGAGTCTCTCCCATCCTTGCCTACTGGACCCCAGCTTTTCTGCCCTAGTGTCAGCCAGCTGAGCTAGTGTCCCCCGGAATTTGCATGCATGAACTCTCCCTAGCTCCACCAGCCCCTGCCTCTGTTCCTTGTTCCCCAGCCCTGACTTTGTGAATCTTCCTTTCACGGCCTCAAGTCGTCTCCAGTTCTGCTCTAAGCTGAATCATCCTTTCTAATGTATAGTCCTTTCTTCCTTACTCAGTCCCCAAGTCTCCTTCCATCTGTCTCTGTCCCTCCACACATTGAATGGTCTTCAGTTACCTTGATATCTACTCACATGTCTCTCCATCTTCCCCATCTCTCCAATTTCCCACTCAAATTTATATCAACACATCATACATTTATTTTAGCTCAAGGGAAAAAAATATAAATATAATCCATATAAATAAGACACTGGCCCATTTACATCATTAGACAAGTCATTCTTTCTAATTATTTTTTTCATCTGAAACTTCTTCTAACACCTTAATTTTGCACGCTGACTTTAGAAGTGTTTACTTGTATATTTCAACTCGTAACGCCGCATGGTCTACGCATACAGCTTATACTCTCGCTCCCCCCATCACACACAACATTCTAGAAGCATTACTCACCATAATACCACCTTTCTTTCTAGAAAGGCCCAAAAATCACTGCTGCAACATTTTTGATCTGGGCCTCTTCTCTCTTAACATGGCCTGGGTCTCGAGCTTTCTGCAAAGCAGCAGATCTTCGTACACACAGGGGAACAGAGCGGCAGTCAAAAGGCTTGATCAGGCAGCTGTCCGCTGCACTGTGGCCCCTGCCTCACCCCAGGTTTCTGCTTCTGTCGTGCCCAGCCTGCCCTTGGAAGGGCTGGGTAATCTTACTTTGAGTTTGTAGTCTTGCTTATAGATTAATGAACAGACTCCTTCATTTATCAACATTCACTTATTTATGTTTCCTTCCTTTCATATTTTAGTTACACTTTCTGCACCCTGGGAAATTCTTTTTAGGATCTGACTATGAATCTTCCTCTATTTCCATTGGTTCCCTGAGCAATCTAACCAACTTGCAATCTTTGTTACTGTTAATTTGCCTATGACATATAGATATATATATTATTATATACATATTCTTTCCCTTGCACCTTTTCCTATTACATATATATTTTTATGTGTATCATATATAACACATATATATGTATTATATCTATAATATATGTTATATATAATATCCTATGAAAATATATATGGATCATATATATATAATAGGAAAAGGCGTAAGGGAAGGGAAAATAATCCATATATGTTTTCTTGGTTGGGCGCAGTGGCTCACACCTGTATCCCAGCACTTTGGGAGGCTGAGGCAGGTGGATCACGAGGTCAGGAGTTCGAGACCAGTCTGGCCAACGTGGTGAAACCCCGTCTCTACTAACAACATAAAAATTAGCCGGGTGCAGTGGTGCATGCCTGTATTCCCAGCTACTTGGGAGGTTGAGGCAGGAGAATCACTTGAACCCAGGAGGCGGAGGTTGTGGTGAGCCGAGATTGCACCACTGCACTCCAGCCTGGGCAACAGGGCGAGACTCCAACTCAAAGAAAAAAAAAAGAATAGATATGTGTGTTCTTTCCCTTGCACTGTTTCCTCCCTAGTCTACCTTCTGTTTTGTCATTCAGCAGACCCAAGCTCAATTCCTAGCACGGACATGACTAACCATGTAACCAATGATTTATTGTCCAAATTCAAAGAAAAAAGAAATCCAAAGATCAAAGAAAAGTGTAGATGATCTCAGATGGCTCTTCCACCTCTGAAGCTTATGGCCAGATGTGAACCTGCTCCTTTAAATGTGAACCTCCTCCTTATGGCCGGATGTGAACCTGCTCCTTAAATGTGAACCTCCTCTTTATGGCCGGATGTGAACCTGCTCCTTAAATGTGAACCTGCTCCTTAAATGTGAACCTGCTCCTTATGGCCAGATGTGAACCTGCTCCTTTAAATGTGAACCTCCTCCTTATGGCCGGATGTGAACCTGCTCCTTAAATGTGAACCTGCTCCTTAAATGTGAACCTGCTCCTTATGGCCAGATGTGATCCTGCTCCTTTAAATGTGAACCTCCTCTTTATGGCCGGATGTGAACCTGCTCCTTAAATGTGAACCTGCTCCTTAAACGTGAACCTGCTCCTTATGGCCAGATGTGAACCTGCTCCTTTAAATGTGAACCTCCTCCTTATGGCCGGATGTGAACTTGCTCCTTAAATGTGAACCTGCTCCTTATGGCCAGATGTGAACCTGCTCCTGTATTTTTTATGTTCTTCATCTCCTAAGAAGTGGTCCCTCTCATAGTCACAGGAGTGGATACCTGACCTAAGCTCATACAACTCAGAATGGGTAGAGCTGAGACTTGGGCCTAAGTCTGGCTGTAAATTCCATGTTTTTCCACGAATTGTTTTCCAATGATGAGACGAAATTCAGGGGAAAGAATCTGGGCCTCTGAGAAAGCTACTCTTCTGCACTTATAGCCTCTCCAGAGTAGTTTTCTGATCAAATTTTAAAGTGTTCTGGGAGGCTTCAGGAAAGTAGCTCATCCGTGAGAAAGAAAGAAAATAACCTGGCAGAAGCTGGTTACCTTCTGAAATCCCAACTCCTGAGCGGGGAGTTCTTGCTTGTAAGATCGCTTTCTGAATGTCCTCATGGTTGACTTAACATCAGCTGAGTCTTCTATGAAATGTCTATTTAACGTGACTAGAAATGCATGCCAAGAGATTAACGCTGAGCGGGGCCAAGTCCCAGCTGAAAACGGGTGTAAGACGCAGGGGACCCAAGATTTTCTGCCTGATGATACTTACTTTTCTTTCAAACATGAAATAAAACATACCCCCCACAGGGGATCCACCCTTCTTTTGCTCCCCCATCTAATTAGAAAGATTGACTTGTCTAATGATATAAATTGGCCAGTATCTTCTTTATATGGATTATCTTTATAATTTTTCCCTTGAGTTAAAATAAATGTATGATGTGTTGATATAAATTGGAGTGGGAAATTGGAGAGATGAGGAAGATGGAGAGAGTTATGAGTAGATATCTATCTAAGTTACTTATTTCCCCCTCCAGGCCCAGTTGGCTGTTCCTCCTCTGTGCTGCCATGCTCCCCTGCACACTCCTCTGTGGGGTGCTTGTGACCATGTGCTGTTCACTGACTCGTCCCTCTCCGTCACTGTACTGAGCTCTTGGATGGATGAGCTGGATTTCATCTCTGAGTTCTCAGTGCCTAGCATAAGGCCTGATGCTGAATGAGTATTCATTCAGAGTGTGTATGTGCGTGTGTGCGTGTGTGTGTGAGAGAGAGAGAGGAAGAAGGAGAGGGAGAATGGGGGGTGGAAGTGAAGGGGAAAAGAGAAAAGTAAAAAGGGGAAAAGGGAGAAGAAAAGAAGTAAAAAATGAAGGAACGAGGCCAGGCGCAGTGGCTCATGCCTGTAATCCCAGCACTTTGAGAGGCCACGGTGGGTGGAACACCTGAGGTCAGGAGTTCGAGACCAGCCTGGCCAACATGGTAAAACCCTGTCTTTACTAAAAATACAAAAAGTAGCCGGTCATGGTGGTGGGTGCCTATAATCCCAGCTACTCAGGAGACTGAGGCAGGAGAATAGCTTGAATCCAGGAGGCAGAGGTTGCAGTGAGCCGAGATCATGCCATTGAACTCCAGCCTGGGTGACAGAGTGAGACTCAGTCTCAAAAAAAAGAGGGAACGACTGTGAGATACGTCTGGATCAGCACTTCATTCCTTACCTGACTCCTGTAGATTTCTCTAATAAGAGGCCCATTCATGGTGCTTTGGATCTCTGGGAATAAGTTTTAACTCACATATTACTCTATACCACAGCCCTCGACATATCTGAATATTCCTCTGTCTCCAGTGATGGTTACTCATGTAGATGGCTGTAGGGGAAAAATCGGGGAACTGCTACTAGACATACTTGTCATGGTGTCGCAGGGCCCTACCTCTGGTGCCTCAGATTCCTTTTCGTTTGATAGATCGTGGGTCTGTGGACTAGCTCAAATCTGGAGATTTGGCAAAGGATCCTGACTTTCCAGTGGGGTGACTGTCCTTAGCCTTTTTCTTCTACATTCTTGATCTCTTTCAGTTATGTATATTCAGCAGAACTCTTGTTAGCTGCCCACACAGCCTGCCTCAAGAACACTATGTTCTGTGAGCCATCTCCAAAGATCCCTGCAATTCAGCCTGCTCCTATCTACCAGTTCAACCTTTCTGCCCAATAGGGTAAGTCCACCCGCTTTGCATCTGACAGTTAAGCACTGCCACCTGGCCTCTGCTGTTCTAGTTATCCATGTCCCCTTGCTACTAGAGAACTCAGTTCTGTAACAGCAGCTCCTAACATAATCCACCCCAGCTAATACTTTCTTTTACAGCACATTCTTTTTAATCATCTTGCTAGGCAGAGTGTCCTCCAGGTCTCCTTGGGAACATGATCAGCCGATAGGCTTTTCGGTCTTACATAGTAGATCCATTATAGCATTTCCACTCTTCTAAGCCTTTTGATCCTTTCCTTTATCGTCTTCCAAGGCAATTTTTGGCATCTCCGCTTAATTTAATGAAGGATGTTACTTTTTCCAAGCTTCCATGAGTCAGCAAATAGCATATATTTGACTCATTTTCCAAGCTCCTTGCCAGCGTATTAAATCCTGCATGATGGGAGAGTGGCTTCATGTTAACAAACTCTTCCTTATCCAGCTTTATCTTCCAGTCACCCCCTGGATCCACTGGCCTCTGGATCCACCCACAGGCATCTCTCCTAGTACCTGCTAGTGCACATTGGCCCATTCTTGCAGGAGCTCTGGGGTACAAAATCTCTTTTCTGTGAGCAGCCTCAGATCTTCCCCAGCTTATGTTGATATTTAACCCTGTGTATGAATCGGGTAGAAGGAGAAGAGGAGGGAGCAGTTTCTGAGGAAGACAAGCATCGTCTCGTAAGGCACCAACTTTATTTGAACTCTTTGCATATTCCTAAAGTAAGAGAGGGTGCCATATCTTCCAATAAGGGAATGAGATATTTCTGCAGCCCAAGGGAGTTCAGAGAAATCTGGGTGTTCAAAGTTCTCAACTGCATTTATCTAGAAATCTTTACACCAAGACTGAGTCCCACTCATTCCCTATCATGAGCCAGTCTTTGCTACAGGAGATTTGGTTAGACTGAATGAATCTTCTTTGAAATTCTGTTACTTTTACAGTTCAATTCTGAGTCTTCTCTTCACTTTGTCAGCCCTTTGACTGCAGGGAGTGTCTCTTTAATTGCTGCCAAAGAAGCTTTCTGACTCTCATACCTTTAAGTAGAGCTGAGCGTGTCATTTTCTCTCCTCAACAATGTTGGGGCACTTAGCAAACATTGACTGAATTCCACAGTCCTTATAGTTACTGTTTTCCTTGAACCTTTCAAATACTGGTGCAAAGAGGAGAAAATCTTAACAACTGCATTCACTCCATCATCTCATTGCTCTGGGGTCTATCAGTACCTCCGCTGATGCAGTTCTCTCTGACATCTGCCAGCAAGTGACCCACCTCCAGATTGTCTGCTTTTAGAACCACTTCCAAGAGACTTGGATTGGGCTCCCTAGGAGCGGAGCCTGAGACAGGGATTCCTGTGGAAGTGACATATGGTAGAAATGCTGTCTGGGAAAAGGGAGGAAGGCAAGCAGGATAAGCCAAGGGCAGAGAGCTAACCCGGGATATGGTTTCAGCCACATCCCATAGGACCTCCATAGAGGTGATCTTGTGATGAAACCAGTGGAATGGCTTTTTGTATCTCTCTGTCAGGCAGTCTGCCTCGGGCTGTGGGGATTTTTTGGGGAGGGGTAGAGTATAAATTTGCATGAGGTGGTTTCTGTTCAGCCTACTGTGATTCCCTGAAGGGGAGGTTGTAAGCATTTTTAGAAGACAATTCTCACAGTAGCAGGGGGGTGGGTGTTAGAGTGTGAGTGTGGGGCAGAGAAGCATCAACAGCTCCCAATTCCATGACATGTTCCAAAAAGTCACCTAAGAGAAGACAGAACTTTTTGATATTTAGGGAGAGAAAAGTCTAATACACAAACGGATTTGGCTTAAGCAACTGGACAGAAGATCCCAACATCAAGGAAATGTCAAAGCTATAGATAAATTGTGTGTTTGCATGTATAGGGTTAGATCCCTGGTTAATTCTCATTAAATTATAAGTTTTTGTTGTCCTCAGGACTGCTGCTAACATCCCATTCTCAAAAAGTGAACAGGAGGCAAAAATAAAAGTTAAAGAAAAAAGCTTTATCCCCTTTACCCTAATTCTGGAAAAGAGCATCCAAGTATTTATGTAATGGTGAAGAAGAGAAAACAAATTTAAAATCTGGTCATTTCTCTAAGAATGGTATTTAGTGTTAACCATATGAAAGAAATTGCCAGTAAATCTAGGGAAAAAGGGTATATGTATGTATGTATGGGTGATTTTGTGGAAAACTGTTCAAAACAGTTTTGAACCGTGCAGGTTCATGGCCTTCAGAACAATAAAAAATAAATTCAGGAGAAAAAGTTGCAAACAAATTGTTTTACCAAGACCACATGGTCCAGGCATACTGGAAATAATGACCAAGAGATGAAGAATTATCCCTCATACAAATATCTATCTGGTTAGGCCAAAGAGAGAACAACATCAAAAACAGCTGTGATAACACTGTGAAGATTTCAAAATATCTCACAAATTTAAAGTATTCTACTGGTTATTGTTTCTGTGTTAAACCCAATGTGTATACCCAATCTAAATACCCTGAGCCCAAGATAACAGCAATGCATGACTAAAGGAATGTGTAGCATATGGTTCACTAAAGACCACCAAACATCTCGACCTCCCAACCAGATTAACTGAACCCCTCAGACTTCAAGCTCAACCGAAGAAGAGGTTTGTTCATGTCCAGATTTTAAGTGTTTTTCTTAAATAACTGTTTTCACAATTATCCTTGTTTATCTGGCCAGACAGTCTGCAGAGCTTCCCTGTCAATCATAGTTGCTTTAAATCTGCTCACCAATAGTTACAATGTCTGGATCAGCTCTGCATTGAGTTCTGTTGTTTTTTTCTCTTGAGAATGAATTGTTTCCTTGTCTCAAATTTTTTTAAAAAAGGCTGTAAATTGTATGTAGAACAGCTGAAAAACAATCCATTTTCAAGAGTAAAAAACAATGGAACTCAATGCAGAGCTGATCCAGACATTGGAATGATCGGTGAGTAGCTTTAACACAACTATGATTGACAAGGAAGCTCTGCAGACTGCCAGGCCAGTTAAACAAGCATAATTGGTGAAAAAAAGCATTTAAGAAAAGCACTTCAAGTCTCTGGAAATTGTACTGAGAGCATACAGCAAACAAAGAAAACATTTACTTAAGAAAATCTATCAAAGCTTGGTCAGAAGAGTGAGAGTCTATGATATTTGAACTACAACCCACTACCTTCCTCCCACCTCCCAGCTCATTACGATAGGAAATCCACTCCAGGCACGTGCAGCCAAGAGCACTGGGCTTCTTTACTATCAGCTCCCAGTCAAGGGCTCTGGTATCTTCCCAGAAGGGGTAGGTAGCCAAGCATTGCTCATCCCTCTCTTTTCCATGTACACATTGCAGAAATTAATTTCCAGGAGAGGAAAGACGAGAGGTCAGAGACTTCCTGCTATTACCCAGTCCTCACTCATAGGGCAGGGGACCTGGCTCGAGAGAAGCATGCTGAGGATGCTAGGATCCCACTCATCCTCACTCACAGAGTAGAAGCTCTACACCAGAAAAGGCAAAGCAGGAAGTGCAAAGCTGCTACCCCTGTCTGCCACCCTGAAACTAAAGCAGAGTTGTCACTTAGTGAGAGCTGCACCACCATCCTCACCCCCAGCTCAAGAGCTATGGCTCAGATATTTTGCTCAGGGGAAGAGCCAGGCCATAAAACAGAAAGCTCTGAAAGAATTCACTTTGTTTGAAAGAGAGGGTAGGAAAGTTCAAGTCCAACGAAACTCTCAAAAACAATGAAGGTTTTAGTGGAAGGCAAAGAAGAAGGCTGATACATTCATGAGAGGTAAGAAATAAATTATAGACCAGATAGATTAACTGGGAGACCCTGAGAAAGAGAGAGCTAAGAAATCTGACCTCAAAGCCACTGCTATAAAGGAATCCAAACTTAATTGTATCAGACTATGGAACAATTTACAACCCAGGCATTATCAAAAATAATAGGACCATCAGCTGGCAATTAGTGGAGCCTAACAATTGTGTGTGATCAGTGTGACAGTCAAAGAATCCCTATTAAAATCACTATTACTTCAGGATCTGCATACATAACCAAGACTGCACCCTCTAAGAGCAATGCTAGAGAGTACACACAGCCAGGGAAATAGTCATGTATCACTTAATGGCGGGAATACATTTTGAGAAATGCATTGTTTAGTGATTTTGTCATTGTATGAAAATCATGAAATGTACTTCAACAAACCTAGATGGTACAGGCTAGATGGTATAGCCTAGTGCTCTTAGGCTACAAACCTGTACAGCATATTACTATACTGAATACTCTAGGCAATTGTGACAGT
Organism: Homo sapiens; assembly: GCF_000001405.40. NCBI lineage: Eukaryota > Metazoa > Chordata > Mammalia > Primates > Hominidae > Homo > Homo sapiens. The sequence goes on from NC_000007.14 coordinate 143,018,011, forward strand.
GGCAAGCATTTCTGTATCTCAACATAGAAAATATATGTTAAAAATACAGTATAAAAGATAAAAAATAGTACACTTACCATAAACAGAGCGTGCAGGACTAGAAGCTGTTCTGGGTGAGTCAGTGAGAAATGATAGGTAAATGTGTTGACCTGGGGCATTGCTGTACACTGCCTGCTGTAGACTTCATAAACACTGTGCACTTAAACAACACTACAGTTTCTTTCTGAAATAATAAATAAACCTCAGCATATTGTAACTTTTTTACTCTATAAACTTTTTTTAACTTTTGGACTCTTTTATAATAACACTTAGCTTAAAACACAAACACATTTTACAGCTGTACAAAAATACTTTCTTTCTTTAGATCCTTATTTTATAAGCTTTTTTCTATTCTTAATTTATTTTTTACTTTTTAAACTTAAAAAAGAAAAACGAAGACACAAACACACACATTAGCCTAGGCCTACAAATGGTCATGATCATCAGTGTCACTGTCTTCTACCTCCACATCTTGTCCCAATGGAAAGTAGTCAGTGGCAATAAAAAGCATAGAGCTGTCATTTCCTATGATAACAGTGCCTTCTTCTGGCATAACCTCTTGAAGGATCTGTCTGGGACTGTTTTATAGTTAACACCTTTTTTGTAAGTAGAATGAGTATATTTTAAAATAATGATAAAAAGCATAGTATAGTAAATACATAAATTAGTAAAATTAGTATTATTGCCAAGTATTATGTACTGTGCTATACTTCTAACTCTATGTGCTATACTTTTATACAACCACAGCATGGTATGCTTGTTTGTTTATACCAACATCACCACAAACACATGAGAAACGTGATGTGCTATGATGTTACAACAGCTACCATGTCATTAGGTGATAGGAGTTGTTCAGCTCCATTATAATCTTATAGAACCACCATCTTACATGCAGTCCATCATTGACTGATATATTGTTATATAGTGCATGACTATAAACAAATTGATAACCAAATTACAATAATAATCCCCTGGAAGTGAGATAACAGTATCCATAGTGATACAATATAATATCTAAAATGTGTAGTTTTCAACAAAAAATTACAAGATATGCAAAGAAACAGGAAAGTGTGACTCATACACAGGAGGAAAAGCTAACAATAGAAACTGTATGTGAGAGGGACCAGATGGCATATTTAACATTTAAATTCAAAGTAGACATTATAAATATGTTCAGAGAATTAAAGGAAATGATTTTATTTAAAAAGTAAAGAAAAGTATGATGATAATGTTTCTCTGAGTAGAGAATATCAACAAAAATATCAAAATGATAAAAATGGCCACATGGAGATTCTAGAGTCTGAAAGTACAATAAGTAAAAAATTAACCAGAGGAGCACAACTGTATTTTGTAACTAATGGAAGAAATAATGATTAAACTTCAAGATAGGTCAATAGAAATCACGCAATCCAAAGATCAGAGACAAAAAAGAAATACAGAAAAATGAAAAAGTGTCAGAGAAATATGGGATACCACTAAGTGTACCAATATACATGTAATGGAAGTACCAGAAGGATAGGAGAGATACAGAAGAACGTAAAAAATATTTGAAGAAATCATGGTTGAAAACTTCTCAAATTCGATGAAAAATATTAATCTACTCACCCACAAAGGTCAATAGACTTCTAGTAGAATAAACACAAAGAGATCTACAGTAGACAAATAATAGTAAAATCTCTGAGAAACAAGGAAAAAAATCTTCAAAGCAACAAGAGAAAGTGTCTTCTCACATCTAATGGAACATCTCACATCTAATGGAATCAGTAAGATTAACAGCTGACTTCTCATCAGAAACAGTTGAGACCAGAAGGGAACAGGATGACATATTCCAAGTGGTGAAAGAAAAAACAAGGTCAACCACAAATCCTATAGCTGGCAAAATTATCTTTCAAAAATTAAGGCAGAAGAAAGAAATTCTGAGATAAACTAAATGAGAGAATTTGTTGCTAGCAGACCAAACTTACAAGAAATACTAAAGGAATTTCTGCAGACTAAAAGCAAGTGACATCAGACAGTGTTTATAATCCACATAAATAAAATAAAAAGCATTGATAAAAGTAAGTTTTTATGGTAAGTAATTATAAGGAATATATAGTAAGTAATTATAAAAGAAAGCATAAATGCATGTTTATTCTCTTCTTTTAACTAGTTTAAAAAAACAGTTACATAAGACAATAAGTATATACCTTATTTGTGAATGGAAAACATAAAGAAATGTAATAGATTTACCAAAAATAGCACAAAAGAGTTAGCTAGGAGCAGAACAGTTTTGGAGTAATGAAATGAGATCAGATGTAAATGTGAATCTGAGAAACAAATGAAGATAACCAGAAAAAATAAATAAGGTTAACATTACAAATGCTAGAAATATGCAAACGTTCTCCTTTCTTCTCCCATCTCCTTTAAAATTATAAGTAACAATTATAACAATATATTGTTAAGTTTGTAAGTAGGTGAACTATGTATTACAACAATAACAGAACAAAAGGAGGAAAAAGAGAATAGAGCTATATAGGAGTAATGCTCCTATATCTCACTGGCATTGTTAGTATAAATCTGAAGCCAATCTGATAAGATATATATGTTAAGCTCTAGAGCATTCATTTAAAATACAATTTAAAAATCAACAAAGGATTTAAAATGTTATACAGTGATCCCTCAGTATCTGTGGGTGCTTGGTTTCAAACCAAGGTTCCAAAAGAGGAACCCCACAGATACAAAAATTCACAGATGCTCAAGTTCTTTATATAAAATTGTATACTATTTGCATATAACCTACATACATCATCCTGTATACATTAAATCATTTTAGATTACTTATAATACCTAATACAAGGTAAATAGTTGTTATTCTATATTGTTTAGGAAATCATGATTTTTAAAAAGCATGTACATGTTCAGTACATACACAACCAACCTTTTTTTCCCAAATATTTTTTATCTGCAGTTGGTTGAATCCAAGATGAAGAATCCATGGATATGAAGGGTTGACTGCCATAGAAAAAATATTCACTTAATGCAAACATAATATGTGTAATGAAAACGTTAAATGATGTTGTTGAAAAGGTGGACAACATGCATAAACAAGAAAAGGTTTCTGATAGACAGCTTAAAACTATAAGAAAGAATATAATGGAAATGTTATAAATAAAACCACGATATGGGAGATGAGGAATTATTTTCACAGGTTCATTGGTAGATTCAACATAGCTGAAGAAAGAATTAACAAACTTAAAAATAGGCCACAGTGTATGCATAGTACAAGTTTCCTAGGTTTCCTACTGCTATGGTTTGCACGTCCCTTTCAAAACTCATGTTGAACTTTGGTGGCCATTGTAATAGTGTTGAGAGGTGGAACTTTTAAGAGGTAATTAGGTTATGAGGGTTATGCTCTCAGGGATAAATTAATGTCATTATTGGGGGAGTGGATTCATTTTCATGAGCATGAATAAATTCGTGTGAGGGCAAGAGAGTTCAGCCTCTCTTGCTCTCTCTCCCTCTTGCATTTCTGCCTTCCACCATGGAATGACACAGCATGCAGGCCCTTGGCAATGCCAGCACCATGCCTTTGAACTTCTCAGCCTCTGAAATCATGAGCCAAATAAACTTCTTTTCTTTATAAATTACTTAGCCTGTGCTAGTCTAACAACAAAAAACAGATTAAGATAGAAAATGTGCACCAAGAGTGGGGCTTTTGCTATAACAAATACCTGAATATGTGGAAGTGGCTTTTAGCTGGGTAATGAGCAGAGGTTGGAGGAATTTAGAAGAGCAGGCTAGAAGAATCCTAGACTACCATAAATTGAACACTAAGGGAAATTCTGGTAAGAACTCAGAAGAAAAGAAGAAATGTAGAAAAATCTGAAACTTTTAAAAGATTACTTAGGTGGTCGTGATAAGAATATTGATAGAAATATGAAAAGTAATGGCCATTTTGATGAAAGCTGAGACAGAAAAGAGGAATGTCCATCCTTTTTTTAAAGTAAAGGCCATTCTTTTTATGAGGTGGCAAGGAACTTAACTGAATTGTGCCTGTGTTAGTCTGTTCTCACATTACTATAAAGAAATACCTGAGACTGGGACATTTATCAAAAAAAAAGAGGTTTAATTGGCTCATGATTCTATAGGCTGTACAAGAAGCATAGTGGCTTCTGCTTTTCAGGAGGCCTCTAGAAGCTTCTAATCATGGCTGAAGGCAAAGGAGATGCAGGCTTCTTACATGGCAGGGGCAGGAGCAAGAGAGAGAAGGGAGGTGCTACACACTTTTTAAATGGCCATGTCTCATGAGAACTCATTCACGATCTATCTCAAGGACAGTGCCAAGGGGAATGGTTCTAAACCATTCATGAGAAATTTGCACCCATGGTTCAATCACTTCCCACCAGGCCCCACCTCCAATACTGGGGATTACAATTAGACATAAGGTTTGGGCAGGGACACAGATTAAAATTACATCTGTGTCCATGCCCATGGGTTTTATGGAAGGTAGAATTTAAGAGTGATGAATAAGACTATCTGGTGGAAGAAATTTCTAAGCAAAATATTGAAGGATCTGCAAGGCTACTTTTAACCATATGCAGTAAAATGTAAGAGAAAAGAAATAAAGATGAAATCTATAACCAAAAAAAAAAAGCAGAATGAAAAGATTTTGAAAATTTTCAGCCTGCCCACATAAAGAATGAAAATGTGTGTTTAAGAGAACAGACCAAGGGTGTGACCAAGTGACCATTTGCTAATGAGATTAGTATAAATAGAAGGGCTCATCAAGACAATGGGCATTTCAGAGATCTTTGAGGCTGCTCATCCCATTACAGGCCTAGAGATCTAGGAGGGCAGAATAGCTTTGGGGAATGGGCACAGGGTACGCTTCACAGGCCACCTGGAGTTGCTGCTCCCTGCATTCCTGGACAGTGTTCTTTGGCTGCTCATGGTGTGGTTCAAGTAACCCCAGGTGTGGCTTGACCTACCACTCTGGAAGGAAGGTACAAATGGTAGACTTTGGTGGCATCCATTTGGTGTTAATTCTACAGGCATGCACAGTGGAAGAGCTACAGAGGCATGACTTCCTCTACCTAGATTTCAAAGGATGCCATGTGAAGCCTGTGGGCTCAGGCAGAAACTTGCTGCAGGAGCAGAGTCACCACAGAAAGTCTTCACCAGGGGATGCCTAGTGAAGCCATGGGAGCAGAAATGCCCCTGACACTCAAGAACTGCAGAGCTACTAGTGTGCAATGCCAGCCTGGGAGAACTGCAGGCACTAGACTCTAACCTGTGAGAGCTGCTGAGAGGACTGACCACAGCAAAGGCTTGAGGGCTCAACCCCAACCCCAGCATGCCCAGGATGTGGGACATGGAGTCAAAGGAGATTATTTTCCAGCTTAAAGACTTAATGTTGTTTTCCCTATTGGGTTTTAGACTTACTTGGGACCAGTCAACTCTTTTTTCTTGCCTATTTCTTTCTTTTGGAATGGAAATGTCTATTCTATGCCTGTCTTACATCATATTTTAGAAAGATGTAACATTAATTCACAAGCTCACAGATGAAGAGAAATTTTCCTTGGGGTAAATCGTGCCTTGAGTCTCACCCATATCTGACTTAGATGAGACACTTGTCTTTGGACTTTTTTTTTTTTTTTTTTTTTTTTTTGAGACGGAGTCTCGCTCTGTCGCCCAGGCTGGAGTGCAGTGGCGCGATCTCGGCTCACTGCAAGCTCCGCCTCCCGGGTTCACGCCATTCTCCTGCCTCAGCCTCCCGAGTAGCTGGGACTACAGGCGCCCGCTACCACGCCCGGCTAATTTTTTTTTGTATTTTTAGTAGAGACGGGGTTTCACCGTGTTAGCCAGGATGGTCTCGATCTGCTGACCTCGTGATCCGCCCGCCTCGGCCTCCCAAAGTGCTGGGATTACAGGCGTGAGCCACCGCGCCCGGCCGTCTTTGGACTTTTGAGTTGATGCTGGAATCAGTTAAGACATTTAGCAGCTATGGGGAAGGGATGAATGTATTTTGTATGTGAGAAGGACACTACTTTTGGAGAATGAGGGGTGAAGTGCTATGACATGAACGTCCCCTCCAAAACTCATGTTGAAATTTAATTACCATTGTGACATTGTTGAGAGGTAAGACCTTTAAGAGGCGATTAAGTCATGAGGGATATCCCCTCATGAATGAATTAGTGTTGTTTTCACAGGAGTGAGTTTGTTATTCTGAGAGTGGATTTGTTATGAAAATGAGTTTGGCCCTCTCTTGCCCTCTCACTCTGGCCCTCTCTTGCCCTTCCACCTTCTGCCATAGGATGACACAGCACCAAGGCCCTTGTCAGATGCCGGTGTTATGCTCTTGAATCATAAGCCAAATAAATTTTCAGTGTCCAGAATCATAAGCCAAGTATGTTTATTTTCTTTGCAAATAATCCAGGCTGGTATTATTTATATTCTGTTATAGCAATGCAAAATGGACTACCACTATCTTATTATGACTATACTAGAACCTAATTATAGACATCTACTATCTAATTATTTGGATCTTATATCTTATATTTCTACCAGAAGTTGGTTTTTTAAAAACCCTATTCGCCAGCATTCAGATCAATACTTAGTATTCTCAGAGTTTTATGTTTTTCCAATCTGATGGATGTGATACAGTGGATGGCTAAGTAAACTTTGGCAAGTTATTTAAATTCTCTGAGCTTCTATTGTCTCATCTCTTAAAGGATACTTCTCTGGATTAATGAATTAGAAAAAAGGTATTCTTTCTGGTCAGAACAGATCCTCATTTACTGGGCTTGGAAACCATGGGCACCTTTGTTTAAGCAAAAGTCTCCCCTTTCTCCAGCCAATGCAGTGCCACCAGAGTCCATTGGTTGGCTTGCAGAGCATGGGCTGGCTGAATTTAAAGCTCATTCCCCACCTTGTCTGGTACTTTAATGCAATGCAAACTACCCAAACATACATGACGGTTATCACTCCTCACAGGACAAGACAACCTGGCATCCTCACACAGTACTCTTCAAAATTCTCAGTAGCCTCATCATCCCACTGCTGAACAGCTCAATTTTCTCACTTACTTTAGGGCTGGTAGAATCTGCTGATTGTTGTTGTTTAGGTAAACTTCTTCCTTATAAGGACTTCTTCCAATATTATGTGAAATTCCAACAGTTACACTACCAAACAGCCAATCCCTATAATTTCTAGAAAGCCGGGAGTCAAAAGAATGGCCTCTTATTTTTAAAAAATTCTGCCCACAGAGAAGATACACATGATGGTACTGAGACTGTTGGATTTGAGAGACGGAGAATCAAAAGACATTATAAAGTTTGAAGTCTAGATCTGGATACAGTCTGAACAGACATAGTTGTGTTTAACAGCCATAAAATACAGGATGCTCTCTAGAATTAGTCATTTAGTTCTTATTTGCCCCTGTCCCTATACTCACCACAAAGAAGGGCAGTGAAAGGAATATGCTGAAGCTTAACAAAAATAAATTTTCCTCCATTTTTATCCTCAAATATTTTTATCTTCTTTACACCACAAATATCTCCTGAATGAGAAGCATTCCAATCCTCATATCGCCATTCTAGACTGGTTCTGTGACAAAACGTAAACAGTGTTACACTTCCTTTCCAGTATCAATGGGGCAGAGAGAAAGAGCTTTAGGATATCTAAAATGCATATGGCCATCTTGCCAAAAAATTGCACAAAAATATAGGGAAGAACTTAGCAACAGGTGATGAAGGACCAAAGTGAGCATCTCTACCTTTCTACTCTGATTAGGACACCTTTCTCAGTACACCTCCCTCCACACTTCCTCCCTTCCCCAGAAAATACATTTTCAGAGATGGACTATGAGGAAATGAGTTGGGCTAATAGAATTCTTACAAAAATGTCTGCATTTCCTTTCTCTAGTCCCCCCCAAATCACAAGAATATGTTCAACAGTGGAAACAGGCAGGAACTAAGGCTATGAGAGTCTCCTGGACAGACAATGGATTTCATTATTACCAGCCTAATCTACTTCCATGGTGTGATGGCGAATTGTACACACTCTTTGACTTTTGTAATGAGAGGATAAGAGAAAAGAGGAGTTAGAATTTTCTAGGTGACTTAATAATTAACCCTGAGGCTTGGACCACCTAAAACTGACTTACAGAACAGCTAATCTTTCAGGAGTTGACAGCAGCGTTTCATCCCATCTCGGAGGGCCTCTTTGACTTTGTCATTCCGAAGAGTAAAGATGAAAGGATTCAGGAAGGGGGTTAACACAGAAACCAACAGGGAAACTATCTTATTGTACTCAACTCCCTGTGTTTGCTTGGGTTTCACGTAGAGAAACAAGCAGCTGCCATAGCCAATCACAACACAGGTGAAGTGGGAGGCAAAAGTGGAGAAGGCTTTCCTCCGGCCAGAGGCTGACGGGATCTTGAGGATGGTGGAGATAATGTAGGTGTAGGAGACAATCGTAGGGATCAAAGAACCAATGAGAATAAAAACAGCCATTAAGAAAAGGATAAACTCTGTGAGAAGAGTGTTATCGCAGGACAGTTTGAGCAATTGCCCTCGGTCACAGTAAAAATGGTCTAATGAATTTGATTTGCGGAAGGTAAACTGAAATGTGGCATAGATGGGCCAGATTTCAGAAAGAAATCCAAACACCCATGACACTATTACCACCCAAATACAGGTACTGCTGTTCATAATGATGTTGTACCTCAAAGGGTTACACACAGCCACATAACGGTCCACAGCCATCACTCCAAGTAATGCAAACTCCATGGTCCCACAGGAAAAGTTGAGCGATACATGTAGAGAAAGATACTGTCTGCATCCCAGGAAGAGCAATCCCCAAAGCATCATGGGGACAATTATGGTTGTGACCAGGATCTCCAGGGTAGAGAGGTGGCTGAGGAAGAAATACATGGGGGACTGCAGACGTTTATCCACACAGACAATCACAATGATGACCGTGTTTCCCATTAATGTCACTAAATAGAAGAAAAAGAATATAGCAAAAAGAATGTGGTGTAGTCCTTGGGACCCAGGGAAGCCTAGAAGGTGGAATTCAGTGGCACTAGAGTGGTTGTCCATCATTTAGTCCTTGATTCTGCTTGTTTTGAAGCCCAGAGATTAAAAGAGAGGTGGCATTGCTCCACATGGTCCTGCTCTCAAGAGAGAAGGAAGAAAAATTAGGTTAAGAAACTATTTCCAACCTGAGAATCAGGTGACATGTCCCTGCTACTGTGGTCGGCACATACATAGCTTGAGGTACATGTTGTCATCCCAAGTCTACAAGTGAGGCTCTCACTTCCCTGTGTAACCAGCCCCCTAGAATGGGTGAAGACATCTTCTTCTACTGGTGGTGAAATACCTTCCTTGCCTTTTTCCCCATTAAATATACCTTCTCTCGGGGGCAGAGGCTAAGACCTTTTAAATAGGCCAGTTTTAAAGGTGAGTCAATCAGGTCCCTCCGGTCCTGGAGTTACTTTCTCTTAGGTTAACTGTGCAAGATGACACAAAGGCATTTTATATGATGTTCAAAGGACAGAATTTTAAACCCCAGCTCTCATCTGTAATGGTAATGCATAGACCCACCTTTGGGGCCAGCAGAAAGGAGGCAGAGGATGTAAGACTAACATCTCTGCTGTTCCAGATTTTAAAATCTCCATTTTACAGAACAGCAAGATCTCTAAATGAGAACTCTAGAGCTTGGGATAATTTCCCAGAACAGATCCATTCTTCTCTAATTCCATTTTCCTTCCAAAGTTGTGGGAGGAAGGAAAGATGGCACCTGGCACAGAAAAGGAATAGATCTGGGACCGCCAGCTGTTAAGGATGCCTGGCTCTCTGCCTGTCGCTTCATTCCATTATTCAAATGTCACCCTTTCCAAAGACTCTTTCCAATCACTCTGCCCAAAACAGAAAAGACACACTTATTATTGGACTTCCATTTTTTTAATAACAGTTGTTATTACCTTGTATTATGTCTAATTATTTACTTCATTCCTTTATTTAACAATAAACAAATGTAGTCATGAACAGAACAAAGAAAATTCCATGCCCTGTGGAGCTTATATTCAAGGAAGAGGTGGGGGCTAGACCACACACAAGACACCTAAGTAAAATATGCAATAGTTTAGTTTGCTTATCATGTCACAGGGAAAAAAATAAGCAAGAAAGAAGGAGAGGAAATTTAAGTGTATTTATTATTTATCAACGGCATTAGAATATAAACTCCATGAGGGCTAGGACATGTCTTCACTGTTGTATTCTGAGGCTGGCACATAAAATGTACATACATAAATTAAGTAGTTATATATTTTATATATATATATCATATATCTTTTATATAGATATAGACAGATACATTATGTGAAATGAATATATCATAGATATATCTTATATATTAAATTATGTATTAATTTATCACAAGGTAACCGAACTAATAGCTGTGTGAGTCAAGATTTGAACCTAGGTCTGTCAGATTTCATCACTCACACAGCTAACTACCACACCTTATATTATATTATTATCTTATATTATTTATCTTATTTATATAAGATATATGAAATAAGATATATGAAATATATCTTATATTATATAAAATATACATATATTTTTTATTTATAAGATATTTAAATACATAAGATATATGTATCATATACATAAAATAAGTAGTGCTGACAAATTTTGCTAGATGAGGTATGGATGGATGGATGGATAATATATGATTAAATAATACTTGTTCTGGCCAGGGCCTGGGCCACATTCCCTCAATCCTATTCTGGTTGGTTTTCCTTCCTGCCTCACATTACCATTTTCCCTCCTGCCCTTCCCTTGCTTAGGTAACCCCTTCCCTGTCTACGTCACTGTTTTACTAATGGTTTAAAAAGCTTCAGGGACAGAATTGATGGGAAAGCTCAGTGTTCTGGTTTTCCACAACCTCTGCATAACCAGCACGAGATGAAGAAACATGAGCGAGAAGGACACCGACTGTCAGGGAGCCGTGACTGTGTTAGCATTGGGTCCAAGAGGAGCCGGAAGTGCTCTCTGCTATGCAGGAAGGGTCTGGAGATGAGCCTATACACTCTACTGCTCCCCTAGCCCACACTTCAATATCTGGGTGACTTTGTTCTAGAAGATAGGCAGGCCCAGGATGTCCCATCCTAAAATGCTTTTACCCTCTTCTTCATAGAGGAGACCCCTTGGAAAGACACTCACCTTTACAGAGGGGCTTCGCCGCCTCTTCTGATGTTCTCTAGGGCTCCGCTGAGGCTACCTCCTGTCCTGCTAGTGCTGAGCCATGCACAGGGGCCAGAACAAGTTGCTGCAATCCCCACTCATGGCGAAGAAGGGAAATGTCCTCCCAGAGGAGCTTAGGAAAAAGCCCAGAAATGAGTGTTGGGCAAAGTTGAGGGTCCTCTCTCTCTCCCCTCTCCTCCCTCTTCCCTTCTTCCCAAGGGTACTTAATCACCGAGTTACTACTTCTTAATTAGCCCACGTTCAGGGAGTCCCCAGGCAATCAGTCTAGTGGGAGCAGAACAAACTTTAAGTTATTCCCATTTTTTGACCAATTAAGTTTTAGAACTTTTGAAAGTTTTTGTTTGACGGGAAAACCTGAAATCTTACCAATCAGGGACTTCTTAATACTGGGGCTGCCTTCCTGAAAACCTCAGGTCTAGGTTTCCAGATGTCTCAGATTCTAAACAGTCAACTACCTCTGTCGTTTATCTTAGGCTTTTCTCAAGTTTCTCTAGTTATTCGGAGCCTAAATCAACCCTTTTCCCCCAGTAGGAGACACCACAATTGGCCTCTAAAACATGCACCAATATCCCAAAAAAGTCTGCATATTGGTCTTGGTCAAAGCCTTAACTTCACCAAATATCTTCTAAAAAGCCTGATGACTCCTTCATTCATTTTAAAAAGGCTCCTGCGTTTAGTCCTGTGGACCCTACAGAATACTGTAAGAGGTCCCTCCCCTAAATCGAACTCTATTCTGTTCTATTGTCTCAGGTTTTCACTCCTCTTGATATATGTGCATCTGTATGCATTCCAGCAAGATTCTTCCAGACTTTTTTTTTTCCTATGGCATGTCCCTGATTACCAGCTGGACCACTGCAAAGTAGAGAGAGCATAAGGACAGCTTATGTACACAGTTCTGTTTGCAACCTGGAGGAACTGACAAAATGTAAGTTGGAAATCTGTCTAATGCTGGAGTAAGACAGAAAAAGTAGGAATTACAAAACATTTGTCTGCATTTTTGTTTTCATTTTAAGTATTTTAAGTACACCTGTTAAATCTGAGAATTTCAATTGGTGCCTAAGGGTATAAATTGGGATTAATCTTTCTTCCAATTCCTTAAATTGCCCAAGCCCAAATACTTGCCATATAATTTTAGAGAAATTTTCCAAGCATGTATCTCCATATTCTTTTTCGTAAAGGCTGTGAAAATCTGTTTGCAACCTTTTCTTTCTCATTTAACAACATATAAAATATATCTTTCCATGTCAGCACATATTACTCTACCTCTTTTTTTTTTAACATAGGATTCCATTATGTGGATGTCCTATTCTTTATTAGATAGACATTTATTAATTAATTTTCATTGTTGTTTCCATTTTTAATTATGAAAAAATGATGCTATAAATATTCTTAGATATTTGTAAGTACATAAACATGTACTTGTAAGTAAAGTAAGTACGTATACATGTAAGTACATAAACAATTATATTTCTGAAAAAGAAAAAAAAGATTCCCTAGAGTTGGAATGTCTGGGTCAAATGCAGATGTATTGAAGCTATTACTTTTTATTGGCACCAAATTACACTCCAAACATTTTGTATTGATTCACACAATTACTAAGACTGTGTAATAGAAGGGGTCTTGTTTTCCTGACCTGTTATAAGCCAAAGGCATAATTAAAATTTTAATTTTAAGTTGAAGAGAATAAAAACAAGACACCTTAAAAGGGAAATCAATTAACAAGCCTGATGAAATGGAAAATTTTTGAAAGATAAAAATGACCAAAACCAACTCAAAAACAAATATGGATATAGAATCAACTTGAGTATCCATCAATGGATGAGTGAACACAGAAAATGTGGTGTATATATACAATGGAATAGAATTCAGCCATTAAAAGGAATGAAATCTTGTCATTTGTGGCAAAATGGAGAAAACTGGAGGGCATTCCATTAAGTGAAATAAGCCAGGCACATAAAGACAAATACCACATGTTCTCACTCATATGTGGAAACTAAAACAGTTGATCTCATAGAAGTACAGAATAAAATAATGGTTAACAGAAGCTAGAAAGGATATAGGGGAGGGGAAGACAGGAAGAGTTTGGTTAGTGGTTACAAAATTTCAGTTAAATAGAAGAAATAAGTTCCAGTGTTCTGTGGCATAGTAGGGTGACAAGTTTAATGACTATCTATTGTGTATTTCAAAATAGCTAGAAGAGAGGAATTTGAATTTCCCCAACACAAAGAAATGATGAACGTTTGAGGTTATAGATATCCCACTTACCCTGATTTGGTCACTACATGTTGTATACATATATCAAAATATCACATGTACCCCCAACATGTGTACAATTATTATGTACCATTAAAACTTTAAAAGTAAAATAAATGGCCACAGATGTTGTACAAAATTTAATCTTAATAGAGTTGAAAATATTTTGTAAAAAATAAATCCAAACAAGGGGCCAAGATGGCTGAATAAGAAAAGCTCTGGTCTGCAGCTCCCAGTAAGACCAACACAGAAGGCAGGTGGTTTCTGCATTTCCAACTGAGGAACACAGTTCATCTCATTGGGACTGGTTAGGCAGTGGGTGCAGTCCACGGAAGGTGAGCAGAAGCAGGGTGGGGCATTGCCTCAGCTGGGAAGTGCAAGGTGCCAGGGGACCTCCCTCCTTGCAGCCAAGGGAAGCCATGAGGGACTGTGCTACCCAGCTGGATTACTACGCTTTCCCCACAGTTTTTACAATCTGCAGATCAGGTGCCTACGCCACCAGGGCCCTGGGTTTCAAGCACAAAACTGGGTGGCTGTTTGGGCAGACACCAAGCTAGCTGCAGGAGTCTTTTTCGTATCCCAGTGGTGCCTGGAACCCCAGCAATACAGAACCATTCGCTCTCCTGGAAAGGGGACTGAAGCCAGGGAGCCAAGTGGTCTCACTCAGTGTGTCCCACTCTCACAGAGCCCAGCAAGCTAAGAACCGCTGGTTTGAAATTCTCACTGCCAGCACAGCAGCCTGAAGTTGACCTGGGATGATCCAGCTTGGTTGGGGTAGGGGCGTTCACAATTACTGAGGCTTTACTAGGCAGTTTTCCCCCGACAGTGCTAAGGCAGCAGGGAGGTCTGGACTGGATAGAACTCACCACAGTGTGGCAAAGTGGCTGTGGACAGACTGCTTCTCTAGATTCCTCCTTACTGGGCAGGGCATCTCTGAAAGAAAGGTAACAGCCCCAGTCAGGGGCTTGCAGACAAAACTCCCATCTCCCTGGGACAGAGCACCTGGGGGAAGGGGAGGCTGTGGGCACAGCTTCAGCGGATTTAATCTTTCCTGCCAGCTGGCTCTGAAGAGAGCAGCTGATCCTAACAAGAGGAATTCTCCCAGCACAGCACACCAGTTCTGCTAAGGGACAGACTACCTCCTCAAGTAACTCCCTGACCCCGTGCCTCCTGACTGGGAGAGACCTCCCAACAGGGGTCGACAGACAGCTCATACAGGTGAGCTCTGGCTGGCATCAGGCCGGTGCTCCTCTGGGATGAAGCTTCCAGAGGAAGGAGCAGGTAGCAATCTTTGCTGTTCTGCAGCCTCCACTGGTGATACCCAGGTGAACAGGGTCTGGAGTGTACCTCCAGCAAACTGCAGCAGACCTGCAGAAGAGAGGCTTATTAGAAGAAAAACTAACAAACAGCAACAACATCAACATCAACATAAAGGACCCCCACACAGAAACCTCATCCAAAGGTCATCAACCTCAAAGATGAAAGGCAGATAAATCCACAAAGATGAGGAAAAACCAGCACAAAAATGCTGAAAATTCTAAAAACCAGAATGCCTCTTCTCCTCCAAATGATCACAACTCCTCTCCAGCAAGGGCACAAAACTGGACAGAGAATGAAATGGATGAATTGACAGAAATAGACTTCAGAAGGTGGGCAATAACAAACTCCTGTGAGCAAAAGGAGCATGTCCTAATCCAATGCAAGGAAGCTAAGAACCTTGACAAAAGGTTACAGGAACTGCTAACTAGAATAACCAATTTAGAGAACATAAATAACCTGATGGAGCTGAAAAACACAGCACGAGAACTTCTTGAAGCATACACAGGTATCAATAATAGCCAAATCTGTCAAGCAGAAGAAAGTATATCAGAGATTGAAGATCAACTTACTGAAATAAGGTGTGACAAGATTACAGAAAAAAAATGAAAATGAATGAGCAAAGCCCCCAAGAAATATGGTACTATATGAAAAGACCAAACCTATGATTGATTGGTATACCTGAAAGTGACGGGGAGAATGGAACCAAGTTGGAAAACACACTTCAGGATATTATCGAGGAGAACTTCCCCAACCTAGCAAGACAGGCCAACATTCAAATTCAGGAGATACAGAGAATATCACTAAGATACTCCTCAAGAAGAGCAACCCTAAGACACATAATTGTCAAATTCTCCAAGGTTTAAATGTAGGAAAAAATGTTAAGGGCAGCCAAAGAGAAAGGGCAGGTTACCTACAAAAGAAAGCCCATCAGACTAACCGGATCTCTCTGCAGAAACCCTACAAGCCAGAAGAGAGTAGGAGGCCAATATTCAGCATTCTTAAAGAAACAAAATTTCAACCCAGAATTTTATGTCCAGCCAAACTAAGCTTCATAAGTGAAGGAGAAATAAAATCCTTTACAGACAAGCAAATTCTCAGGGATTTTCTCACTACCAGGCCTGCCTTTACAAAAGCCCTTGAAGGAAGCACTAAATATAGAAAGGCAAAACCAGTAACAGCCACTGCAAAAACACACCAAAATATAAAGACCAATGACACTCTGAAGAAACTGCATCAACTAATCTGCAAAATAACCAGCTAGCATCATGATAACAGGATCAAATTCACACATAACAATATTAACCTTAAATGTAAATTGGCTAAATGCCCCAATTAAAAGACACAGACTGGCAAACTGGATAAAGAGTCGAGGCCCATTGGTGTGCTGTATTCAGGAGATCCATCTCACGTGCAAAGACACACATGGGCTCAAAATAAAGGGATGGAGGAATATTTACCAAATAAATGGAAAGCAAAAAAAAGCAGGGGTTGCAAACTTAGTCTCTGATAAAACAGACTTTAAACCAACAAAGATCAAGAAAGACAAAGAAGGGCATTGCATAATGGTAAAGGGATCAATGCAACAAGAAGAGCTAACTATCCTAAATGTATATGCACCCAATACAGGAGCACCCAGATTCATAAAGCAAGTTCTTAAGAGACCTACAAAGAGACTTAGACTCCCACACAATGACAGTGGGAGACTTTAACAGCCCACTGTCAACATCAGACAGATCAATGAGACAGAAAATTAACAAGGATATTCAAGAATTGAACTCAGCTCTGGACCAAGTGGACTTAATAGACATCTACAGAACTCTCCACCCCAAATCAACAGAATATACATTCTTCTCAGTGCCACATAGCACTTATTCTAAAATCAACCACATAATTGGAAGTACAACACTCTTCAGCAAATGCAAAAGGATGGAAATCATAACAAACTGTCTCTCAAACCACAGTGCAATCAAATTATAAGTCAGGATTAAGAATCTCACTCAAAACCGCACAACTACATGGAAACTGAACAACCTGCTCCTGAATGACTACTGGGTAAATAACAAAATTAAGGCAGAAATAAAGAAGTTATTTGAAATCAGTGAGAGCAAAGACACAACATACTAGAATCTCTGGGACACAGACAAAGCAGCGTTAAGAGGGAAATTTATAGCACTAAGTGCCCTCTCTCATTACTCCTATTGGATGTTCTGGCTAGGGCAATCAGGCAAGAGAAAGAAATAGAGGGCATTCAAATAGGAAGAGAGGAAGTAAAATTGTCTCTGTTTGCAGATAAGATGATTGTATATTTGGAAAACCCCACTGTCTCAGCCCAAAAACTCCTTAAGCTGATAAGCAACTTCAGCAAAGTCTCAGGATACAAAATCAATGTGCAAAAATCACAAGCATTCCTATACACCACCAGTAGTCAAGCAGAGGGCCAAATCATGAGTGAACTCCCATTCACAATTGCTACAAAGAGAATAAATACCTAGGAATACAACTTACAAGGGATGTGAAGGACCTCTTCAAGTAGAACTACAAACCACTGCTCAAGGAAGTAAGAGAGGACACAAACAAATGGAAAAAAATTTCATACTCATGGATAGGAAGAATCAATATTGTGAAAATGGCCATACTGCCCAAAGTAATTTATAGAATTCAATGCCATTACCATCAAGCTACCACTGACTTTTTTTGCAGAATTTGAAAAAAACTACTTTAAATTTCGTATGGAAACAAAAAAGAGCCCATAGAGCCAAGATAATCCTAAGCAAAAAGAACAAAGCTGGAGGCATCACGCTACCTTACTTCAAATTATACCACAAGTCTACAGTAACCAAAACAGCATGGTACTGATATCAAAACATATTTCTGAAATACACCACGCATCTATAGCTATCTGATCTTTGACAAACCTGACAAAAACAAGCAATAGGGAAAGGATTCCCTATTTAATAAACGATTTTGGGAAAACTGGCTAGCCATATGCAGAAAACAGAAACTGGACCCCCTCCTTACACCTTATACAAAAATTAACTCAAGATGGATTAAACACTTAAATGTAAAACCCCAAGCCATAAAAACCCTAGAAGAAAACCAAGGCAATACCATTCAGGACATAGGCATGGGCAAAGCCTTTATGACTAAAATACCAAAAGCAATGACAACAAAAGCCAAAATTGACGAATGGGATCTAATCAAACTAAACAGCTTCTGCACATCAAAAGAAACTATCATCAGAGTGAACAGGCAACCTACAGAATGGGAGAAAATTTTTGCAATCTATCCATCTGTCAAAGGTCTAATATCCAGAATCTACTAGGAACTTAAACAAATTTACAAGAAAAAAACAACCACATCAAAAAGTGGGCAAAGAATATGAACAGACATTTCTCAAAAGGAGACATTTATGCGGCCAACAAACGTGGAAAAAAAGCTCATCATCACTGGTCATTAGAGAAATGCAAATCAAAACCACAATGAGATACCATCTCATACCAGTTAGGATGGCAATTATTAAAAAGTCAGGAAACAACAGATGCTGGAGAGGATGTGGAGAAATAGGAACGCTTTTACACTGTTGATGGGAATGTAAATTAGTTCAACTATTGTGGAAGACAGTGTGGTGATTCCTCAAGGACCTAGAACCAGAATTACGATTTGACCCAGCAATCCCATTACTGGGTATATACCCAAAGGATTATAAATCATTCTACTATAAAGACACATGAACTTGTATGTTTATTGCAGCACTATTTACAATAACAAAGACTTGGAACCAGCCCAAATGCCCATCAATGATAGACTGGATAAAGAAAATGTGGCACATATACACCATGGAATACTATGCAGCCATAAAAAAGAATGAGTCCATGTCATTTGCAGGGACATGGATGAAGCTGGAAACTCTCATTCTCAGCAAACTAACAGAGGAACAGAAAACCAAACACTGCATGTTCTCACTCATAAGTGGGAGTTGAACAATGAGAATACATGGACACAGGGAGGGGAACATCACACACGGGGGCCTGTTGGGGGTTGAGGGGCAAGAGGAGGGAGAGAATTAGGACAAATACCTAATGCATGTGGGGCCTAAAACCTAGATGATAGGTTGATAGGTGCAGTAAACCACCGTGGCACATGTATACCCATGTAACAAACCTGCACGTTCTGCACATGTATCCCAGAAATTAAAGTAAAATTAAAAAATAAAATAAAATAAAAAGAAATCCAAAATATATAACAGAGGATGGGGCTTGTTATTGGGGGCCTGATGAGGACACAAATGAGGTAAAGGCAGGTGAAGGATAAAGATAGCATTGGAGTGAGTCAGAAAGCAATTAGAATAAGTAGGCAAAGTGAGTTAAATAGATTATGGCTTTTGGGTGGAGGTAGAGATGAGGATGGGAGAGCAAATGAGGAATCATGAAGAGAAAATGGCTTATCTAGCCCTAATAGATGTCTGAGTGTGGCAAGGAGCTTTCAGACCCTTCCCCAAACAGATGTCTCTTTGGCTAAGTTCTATCAAAACATTTCTAAGCAACGTTCTGCAAACACCTCTTAGGGGAATAGAACATTTTCTTTGTAAAAACGAAGACAGATATTTTCTGTCAGTAGAGCCCATAACATTGAGAGCACAATTTAAAAGTGTACATCTTTGGTGAAAGTGGAAAAATTTCAAAATAGCGTAAGATCATGAATAAAACATTGAAATTGGAATCAGGAAACCTGAGTGCTGATTCCTTCTCATACTTATTAGCTCTGTGATACTTGGTGTGAATTTTCAGCCCTCTAGGTTTGAAATATCAGACCCCTCATCTGAAATATCAGGGCATTGATGGGCATGATGTGTAATTTTTCTTCCACTTTTACCTTGTGAAAGTCAAGGGGCCGAAATGGAGCTAGTTTTTTTTTTGTTTTTTTTTTTGAGACGGAGTCTCGCTCTTTCGCCCAGGCCGGACTGCAGTGGCATTGTCTTGGCTCACTGCAAGCTCCACCTCCCGGGTTCATGCCATTCTCCTGCCTCAGCCTCCTGAGTAGCTGGGATTGCAGGTGCCCACCACCGCGCCCGGCTAATTTTTTGTATTTTTAGTAGAGACGGGGTTTCACCGTGTTAGCCAAGATGGTCTCGATCTCCTGACCTTGTGATCCGCCCGCCTCGGCCTCCCAAAGTGCTGGGATTATAGGCGTGAGCCACCGCGCCCAGCCATGGAGCTAGTTTTCAAGCTTTCTTCTTAATGGTGACCTGAGCCTCTCAGTCCAACATGAGGACTCTCCACTCATGACTCTTTGGATGGAACTCCTCCACAAAGCTAACATTTTTGTCTGAATCAGTTCTCTCTAGATAACATCATGGGCCATTACAGTCCACACCAGATCTAGTACATAAACTTATCCTAGATTAATGATTTTACAAGTGAGTAGAAGTGTTTGCTGAATATCCTTAAGCTCAAGGCCATTCCATGTCTATGTTTGACTTTCCCACATAAGTATACTCGGACACAGGTAAGAGAAGTCATCATGGCCCAGAGAAAGAAAAGGACATTCTGGCAAACTAGTAGAACAGATAGGGTTATTACCTATCCACTATATAGGGTTGCATTAATAATGTATGTTATTAGAGATAGGATTATTACCCCAGTGGCAGAGACATTACCCACAAAACAGGAAATGAGAAGGAACAAACCTTACTGACCTGCCACAAAACTTCCTAACTGACCTTCACATCTACCCTCGCTTCCCTCTGTCTACTCTGTTCTCCCCATAGCAGCCTGCGTGATCCTTTAAAACACAGACTAGATCAGGTCTCTCCCCGGATTAAAACCTTTCTCTCTGCCATTTGGTTAAAGTCCTGAGACCTGTGAGGCTCTGCATGATTTCTAGAAATACCTTTCTCTAATGTCATCTTGTGTCACTCCTCTGCTCAGTGACACTGACATCCTTTGTGCTCCTGTAATGGCACGCTGCTCCATCTCTCAGAGTGCTCATTGTGATTCCCACCATGCTGTGCCTAGTTAGCACCAGATACCAGTTAATGATTACTCCTATAGATGCTTCCCATAACCTCACAGACATATCCATGTTCAGGTTCCCTGCCAGGGGCTTTCCAGATATTACAGTAAATGCTGCAGTGCGCTGCCCGGACTCCCATTCAGAACCAAGATGCTAATTACCCCCAAATTGCTCCCAATCAAAGAGAAACACCTTCCCCAAGATTATAGCCCTTCCTCTAAGGTAGCCTGCATCCAATGGCCTATGGATGCAGAAGTATAATGCCCAGGCCCCAAGTTTCTGTTCAGGACAACTCTGGGCACAATTCAGGACAACTCTGGAAAGCCGTCCTAGCTCAGAGCTCCCCGTAGGATTTAAGCCTCTGTTGTGACCTCATCACAGGTCTGTCCAAACATCTTCTCCCTCATCACTCCCAGATCTAAGACAACCACGTAGTTTCTTGCTCAAAACAACTCACTATTTTGTAAGTGTGTGTGTGTGTGTGTGTGTGTGTGTGTGTGTTTACCTGGTTTTATAGCGTATGGTAACATCGGTCTTCATCAAATATGCTCCATAGTGGGGAGACCATGTCCACTCTGTTTACTGCTGTATCTTCAGTACATTGTCTAAAAAATAACAGTTATTCAAAAACAATTCTTATTAAAGTTTGTTTTTTTAATTTACAGTGAGATTGAGTTCTTTTCATGTTTAAAAAATCATTTGCAGTTTTCTTTAATGAATGTACAGGTTTGTAAGAGAACATTTTGCATAAATCAAACAAATCTTTATTTCATGTTTCTGTTTTTATGTTTTGTTTCTATCTTGCATAAATATTTCATCCTTAGGCAGTTACACTTAACAGTCTTTTAGACTCCCGGGATCCGTGTTTTCCTTTGAAAAGCCTATGTTCATACTCCAAGGAAATTAAAAACAAACCAAAAAATCCCATTTTTTACTTTTTACATTTAAGTCTGTTTGAGCCATCGGGAATTTATTATTTTTTGGAAGCATAAGGTATAGATCCAGGGTTTTGGTTTTTCCAGATATTCTGTGAATGTAATACATATTTCTAGGACAAAGGGAAGGTGGTGACAAGGAAGGGAGAAGAGAGAGAGAGCCCCCAAAAAACAAACTTAGAGGCCTGCCATGGCAAAAAAAAAATACCTCCTCCTCTATCTGGGTTGGGACACAGAGGGCATCCATATTTGGATGTGGAGAAACAAGAGATTAGAATGACTATGATATTAATAAGGGCCAAAGAATATCAGCAATGGAAAGATAATGTTTTCCAACACTTCGTTTTACATATTGTAAGCCTGAAACTCAGAAATCGAGTGACTTGTTAAGGTCATGCTGCAGTTTACTAGCTGAGTTGACATGAGTGACCGGGAACTCCTAGACCACCCTTCTACAGGAGGCAGTCAGCTGTTGTCAGCAGGGAATGAAGCACCAGTAGGTTGAGTGGAGTGACCTTCAAGAATCCTGGCAACCCTGAGATTCTGAGACTCACAAATGTGCTTTTGAAGATCAGCAGTCTTATAATCAAAGACAGATGCTTTAAGGTGAATAAGTTACATACTGGAACACAGTAAAAGCTCAATAAATACCTCAGCAATGAGTGTGGCATGTCCTTATCAATAATGATAAGTAAATGTGCCTCTGGACATGATGAAGAGGATCCATGAGCGTAAGTGTGCAGTTTATGACAACGTCAGTGTCTGGGATGGTTGCTGGAGTGCCAGGGAGACACAGCCCCTTGGGACTGAGCAGTGGAGAAAGGGGGAAGGGGACCTCACAGCTGGGGATCCTGAAGCTTCAGACTCTCCTCCATCCTGTAACACTGGGATAGTGAGGCCAGACAGCAGGAAAGGGCTGGAGAAGAGCATTGCTAAACAAACTTAGCTTGCTCTTGTCAGCTTACTAACATCTACCATGCTCTTCTATACCCCAAGACGACCTGTACTAGTGTGTTACATAACATGTTTTATTTAATTCTGAAATTAACCTTATGAGGGAGGCATTACTATCCCCATAATATTGGGGATTTTTTATTGAATAAAATTCCAGATTTTTATCTGCGTTACATTTACTTAATGAATGCTTAGTCAACAACTACTATGTAAATGTTACATTTCAAACCCAGGTCGAACTCCAAAGCCCCCCACCACACACACACACACACACACACACACACAACTGAGGTGCTGGACCCAGTCCTCATCTGCCTCTTGTTGCTGTCTGACTGTACCCATTGTTAGTTTAAGCATCAGCGTTGTACAACCCAAAGGACTCCTGGCTTTCCCTTGTTCCCACAAGGAGCACCCTGCTGGAGTCTAAAGTTTCCCATTTGGCCCAGCTCATTTCTTAAAATCAGCAAGACCCAAAGGTTTCAAAACAGAGTGGGTGAACAGCACCATCATCCCTGGGAGCAAAGAACAGCAAGAGAATCATTCTCATTGGATTTCCCTGCCACCTCCATGCTATCTCCAGCCTGACATCAGTCATGGATACTGCTGCCCTGGGCTGTATAGGGAGAAACAGTAAGTCTCTTCATCACAGACTCAATGAAAGTTGCTGACAGATTCTAACTTGTGGAGTCACTTGCAAAGCAGGGCCAGGGTTGCTTGCCCCATTCCCAAGGGGCTTATGTCTCCGTGTCAAAATCTGGGTACCACAGTCAGGAAGCCGCCGAAGTAAATGACCTAATAAGAAAAGCTCGCCATGCTGGACTTATGAATTAAGATGCATTGGCTGGGTCTGGAGAATGAATGAGTTATAAGGATTCGGTTTCGGTTAGTCAAGATGAGTTTAGACTTGGCATTAAGATTAGTGAGAGGGTTGCATGCTTACTGCTTAGGGAGATAGATCCACTTCTGTGATTAGATGTCATTGCTGATGGCCAGGATACAGTTCTAGGAAATACCTGTGGTTCCAGAGAGACAGCTAACATGTGTCTTCTCAGGGCTTCATTTGTGTGCTCTCATTTCTGATTTTATTTACTACTTATGGATCTCTAAAGGTATTCATTCAGTTAACTATAATTAAAGTGTGCAGCCAGCACACTGCTGGACCCATACATAGATGCATCAACACACACACACACACACACACACACACGCACACACACAAACCCATCACCTTCACGTTAAAGAAGTGTGGTTGGCGGTTGGGTTAGAAGGGGAGATGATGAGAATGAAGTTTCCATGCCAATAACAACAGCGGAAACTGCTGTTATTGAACTCTTCCTATGTGGCAGCCATAATCCAATTTGATGCTCACGCTAGCTCTACTATTTTTTATCTTACATCTGGGGAAAATTCCACTCCAAGAGGATTAGTATCAGCCCAAGGTCATACAACTGGCAATTCACAGGGCCAGGATATAAACCTAGACGGTCCAAGGTCTGTGCCGTCAGCCCCCATACAAGAGTGAGTCATGTCAGGGAAGGGTGGTCCACTAGGATAGTCACAGCATTTTAAGAAGCAGAGCTAGAAGTCCAGTGCAATCCACATACCACACACATCTTTCAGGGACTGTCAGAGCAGCAGCATCCAATGGGTCTTGCCTGGATTCCAGAGCTTGAATCTAAATATCTTGATTCCCTTTCTGCCTTCAGCCATTGTAAACATGTAGCAGATGGTCACCCCAAAGGGATCTTATTGTCTCTCTGTTCTGGCTCCCCTTGCTTCCTGAATTGAATGGCTTTGCTGCTGCTGCTGAAAGCTGGAAATATGTGGCTGAGTGAGAGTTCTCAGCAGAGGGGCATCTAGAAAGCCTCACAGGGGTGCTTTAGACTGGCTTCTGTGCTCAGCCTCTGGCCATGCTCAGTCCCGTGTCCTGCCTGCCTTTCCTCCCTCCTTCTGCTCACAATTTCTGCTTTTCTTTGTCACTTCTGCTGCTTCTCTTGGGTTACCTTTTATTCCTTCTAGCTTTCTGTCTGCATTCCTGGGCCTCCTGTGTCTCTCTGTCTCTCACTTTCTCTCCATTACTGCTTTTCTAACACCTCGCCTCTCTGGTTTTGTGTTTCTCGCATCCACACTGGCTCTCTCCTGTGAACCTTGGCCTTTCTTTATCTCTGACCACAAAGGTACATAGGGCTTAACACAGAAACGATGAAAGGAAACTTAAGGGATTAGAATGTAACACTAACAACATCTGCTACAGCAAGGTCACGCTGAAGTCACCAATAACTCAAATCTTTCAACGGCTTTTAACAACTATGTTTGTTTCTCACTCATGCCATGCGCCCATCACTAGCCAGGAAGTAGACTCTGCTCATTATTATACTGTAGGGACTGGAGCAGTAGAAAGCTCCCTTTAAACACATTCTTCCATGATCTCAGATGTGGAGAAAAAGGGAATGTGACTCAAATGCCAACCCTTAAAGCTCTTGCTATGAAGTGACTCTCATTACTTCTACCCATATCTCACTGGCTGAAGAAAATCACTCGACCACTCCTGAATTAATGGAGCAAAAATATGTGATATTCCCACTGGGAGGGTCACCTCCAGGAAGGACAACAAATATGAGTGAACAATTATTTGTCCATTATAAACGTCTGGGTTTCTGTTTGTTTGTTTGTTTTACTTATTCTCTTCCTCATGAATTTTGGGTTTAGCTTATCAAATAATGTAAGTAATTTCAGTTTCACAGTTTCTGTCACTGCTGAGCTACAGAATATCTGAAACAGTCATAGCATTACTATTCTTGGCATGATATAGAGGGAAAGGACAGTGTGTGAAGTGGGTGAAATCAGAGCTTCGGTCTCAGGCCCCAACATGTGATGACTGAGAAACACTGACATTTACTTAAGCTCTGTGAGATTCTACATTGTTATCTAAAAACTGAATATAATAATTCTCCCTCACAGGTTAACTCCAGAATAAATCTGTAGTCATTACATGTGATTTTTTTCTCCTATGTCTCTCATATTCTTCTCATTCAATCAGCAAGATATCTTTTATATAATCAATATAAATCAATAAGCAATGTAATGATATACAAGTTTGGATTATGTTTAGGTTGGTGAGACAAAATGACATAAAAATTAAGAGCAGAGTCTTTGGGATCAGATCTGATTCAAATTCAAACTCTACCATGCAGTAGCTGGTGTTAGTAGCTACTATCAATGTTTTTGTTTGTTTGTTTTGTTTCTTTTCTTTTGAGACAGGGTCTACCTCTGTCACACAGGCTGGAGTGCAGTGGTGCAATCATAGCTCACTGCAGAACTCCCAGGCCCAAGTGATCCTCCCACTTCAGCCTCCTGAATAGCTGGGGCTACAAGCACGCACCACCACACCCATCTAATTTTTGTATTTTTTGTAGAAATGGAGTCTCACTATGTTGCCCAGGCTGGTCTCGAACTCCTGGGCTCAAGCAATCCTCCTGCTTCAGCCTCCCAAAGTGGTGGGATTACAGTCATGAGCCACCATGCAGCCACTATTGTCAATATGATTAAGGATTGAAAGCCATTCCAGCCAGGTGCAGGAGACATCCCTATTTGTCATTTGTCTACCATTGCAGCCCATATCATTCACGATTTATTTGCCTTGCTCCACCCCTTCCTTACTCTGAAAAATTAGAATATTAATAGAAAACAGGTTTTAGGATCAGTTTTTATATCACACAAACATTTACTAATGCTTTGAGCTCAGATATGTAGGAATATTTATGTAAAGAAAAACATAAGTTGTATAACCCTTACCAAATTTTCCAAGAGTCATGGATTCTTTTACCAAGAAAAACCTCACAGATAAAGAAACTTTTTAAAAAGTCTTGCTTTTTTTGTTAAAATAAATTTTTCTCTAATTTTTGAGAGCTAAATGGTTAACTGAAAAATAAGCATTCATTAACAGAATGTGTTACACAAAAATTTATCACACATTTTAAGAGACGTATTACGATATATGCAAAAATCAAGACTGTGCTGTGTGGTTTTTAAGCTTAGTGACAAGTAGATCAAATAAGGTCTATGAATCGTATTTGTGTTTGACATCTAAGCAAACTGTCTGGGATCAGTTGTGGGAGTAAAGCAAGATGTTTTTGAGGCCTCGCGATGTGCATGTGTGATAGACAGAGTAATATTTTGTTGTTTTTATGTTTCAGAGATGCTTGCAGCTTGGGTGATATAAAACTCCCAGTGGGGCAATGTGTCTGCCTTCCTCATAAATGGACAAAAAGGAAGAAATACAGTGTAGTATCAGAACAAGCTTGACTTCAGATACTGCAGCCTCCTGTTCTCTGAGAAGGGGAGTGAAAAGAGAGTGGGGTGAGTTAGTGTCTTTCTTTCCATTCAGGATCAGATATCTGACAGAGTAGTCTAAGCCTTAGAAAAAGAAAATTTTGTTGACTTATCCATGACAGGTTTTTTAAAGGGCCACAAATTTTTTGGCACTCCTCCCATTAAGATATGGCTCTGGCTGGGTGCGGTGGCTCACACCTGTAATCCCAGCACTTTGGGAGGCTGAGGCAGGCGGATCACGAGGTCAGGAGATCGACACCATCCCGGCCAACATGGTAAAACCCTGTTTCTACTAAAAATACAAAAATTACCTGGGTATGTTGGTGCATGCCTGTAATCCCAGATATTCAGGAGGCTGAGGCAGGAGAATCACTTGAACCTGGGAGGCGGAGGTTGCAGTGAGCTGAGATCACACCACTGCATTCCAGCCTGGTGACAGAGTGAGACTCTGTCTCAAAAAAAAAAAAAAAAAAAAGATATGGCTCTATGCCCCTGCCTCTTGAATCTTGTGTTGCTTGGACTCATAAAAGTATGGCAAAAGTGACCATATGTGACATCTGTGACAATCTTATTTGACAAGTAGATCAAATAAAGCCTATGATTTGTATTTGTTTTAGACATCTAAGCAAACTGTCTGGGATCAGTTGGGAGGATAAAGCAAGACATTTTGGCACAAGTACTGTGTATCATCTTTGTGCATAAAATGGGTGCCCCTTTCCATCAGGTAGATGCAGCTCCTTCAGCCCCCATGTGCCCCTTCAGTCTCTCCATCACCACCTTTGTACAGTCTACAAGCCACACAATTTTACTCAGGGGCCCTAATTCAGCTCCTATCTCCATCCACCACCAGGCAAGTGCCCTCTTGCTAGACTCTTCAATTCTCCAGGTGACCCACATCAATTCTCAAGAAAACTATTTTCTGTCTGATTCCAGCCTACAGGTATTATCATGTGAGATAATTTCTTCCTCCAATCTGTCTGAAAATCTAGCAGTTACATATTTCTGTGCATTAATAGGGAGCTACCCCATCCCCTGATTTGTTAGTAAGTCAGAATTGAGGGAGGAAACTCCCACTCTCAACTCTGCCAGCAGTGAAAATCTGCAGAGATGTCATAGAAGACAGCTGGAGATTGGGGCAGAAAAGCCCCCAGTCAGAGGATATCTGGCTTTGGGAGGCAGAGCACATCATGAAAACAAAGGATTCCTGTAGCATATAAAGAAAAAATTCAGGCATCTAGAGTGAGCCATTCAATCCTTCCTTACCTCCTTCCTTTACCATGAACAAAACGAGATGAGTTAAATAGTTGCCAAAAATTTGATCATAAATTTTCTTCTGTCCCTACCACCAAACATGTTCAAACATTCCATCCACCCCTTTCTAAACATATTGTCCTCGTGCCACTCCAAGTTGGCTTTATGCCAAAATGTAGAGAAAAAGAGTTGCTTTGTAGTAGCAATGGGCCAAGATTAGATATGGCACATCCAAGAAAAAGAGTACACCAGGGAGTAATCTGTGTCTCACCTAATGGCCAGGCACAGCTTTATGAGATTGAGTCTAATAATGCAAGTCAAAATGTCAACATATCCCAGGAAACAGTAGGGCAGATCTGAGCAGAGGTGCTGACATTTTTATTGTAGTCCCTGGACTCTCTTCCTCTTCTGGAAATGCACATTCAGAGATGATTACAGTGCAATCTAACGCCCCCAGGAACATATACAGCTCCTTTCTCAAGCTCTTCCCCGACTTCAGGCATTTTCTTCTTCAGATTTTCAAAAACAAAACAATAATTTTATTACAAAACAACTGAAACAAGAAGTAGCTCAGATTATCAGTTACTGATAAGCAGGTTGGTTTTTATGTTTGTGTATTTTGCCCACTTCCAAGGGCCTGAGTGTGATAATTACATATGGTTTGATGATGAAAATAAAGATGCTTTAGCTTAGATATTTGTTAGTATTTTCCAGATTACCTTAGAATCCATGAGGACTGGCCCACCTAAAACTGATTTAGGTCAGTAAATCTGACCTGTAAGAAGGTTCAGAAAGGGGGTCAACAGGAAAATAAACAGGAAAACTACCTTGTTTTATTCTGCTGCCCAAATTTGCTTGGGTTTCACGTAGAGAAACAAGCAGCTGTCATAGTCAATCACCACACAGGTGAAATGGGAGGCATGAGTGGAGAAGGATTATTTTTTGGCCAGAGGCTGAGGGGATACTGGAGTAGGAATCAATCTGGATCAAAGAAGCAATAACAATGGAAATGTCCATTAATAGACTGTGTGAAAAGATGAAGAGTTGACTGAGGAAGAAATCCCCGGGAGACTGAAGACTTCATCAATTCAACCATGTAAATGACTGCATTTCCCATTAATCTCATCAAGTGAAAGAAGAAGTTAACCAAAAGGAAATGGGGCAGTTCCTCAAAGCCTGGGAAGCCCAGGAGACAGAATTGAGTGGCACTAGAGTAGTTCCCCTCGCTGTTTCAATCCTAGCTCTTTCTCTCTGGGAAGGCTAGAAAGGAAACAAGAATTAACATTGCTCCACATGCCTTTAATCCCAAAGGAAATAAGGACAGATTTAGGATTATGCTCCTGGATTATGGAGCCTGCTCTATGTTATGATCATTTAACCGAGTTGACGCTACATATTTATTAAGGAATGAACACAATTGTGTAAAGATGAATGGATCTGGTCAAATAAGTGGTTCACCAGGCACCAAAGCTGCATGGTAGTCATTGCGATAGGCAGAGGAATGCCCCCTCAACGATGTCCAAGCCCTAATCCTTGGAATTTGTGAAATGTTGCTTTACATAGGAAAGGGGACTTTGCAGGTGTGATTGGGTTGAAGACCTTGAGATGAGGGGATTAGCCTGGGCGATCCAGGTGGGCTGAATCTAATCTTAGGGGTGATCCAGATGGGCTGAATCTAATCTTAGGGATTTGTAAAAGTGGAGAAACTTCTCCTCTGAGTTCAGTCAGAGGGCTAAGTGATGACAGAAGACGGTTCTGAGAGACACATGTGACTGGCTTTGAAGATGGACGAGGGAACAATAAGCCAAGGAATGTGGGCAGCTTCTAGAAGGTGGAAAAGCAAGGAGACTCCAGAAAGGAAGGCAGCCCTGATGACGCCTTGATTTTAGCTCATTGAGGCCTGGTCAAGTTACTGACCTGGAGAATTTGTCAGGTAATAAATTTGTGTTGTTTAAGCTACAAAATTTGTGGTAATTGGCTACAGAAGCAATAGAAAATGAATAGTCATGAAGGCCCATGTAGCCCCGACCTATGCTCCTGCCTTTCAATTCCCAAGCCCCTGCCTCCAGCCCTGCTCTGCCCAGGACCTGTCTTCCTACCTGAGCTCCCTGCTAGCAACTGGCTCCTTTCTTCTTCCTCCTCCATTTCTAGCCTTGTGACCTACATTTTTCTTTACTTTCTTTCTTTTTGTTTTTGTTTTTGTTTTGAGACGAAGTCTTGCTTTGCCACCCAGGCCGGAGTGCAGTGGCACGATATTGGCTCACTGCAACCTCTGCCTCATGGGCTCAAGCAATTCTCCTGCCTCAGCCTCCTGGGTAAATGGGATTACAGGCTAATTTTTTGTATTTTTAGTACAGACAGGGTTTCACCATGTTAGCCAGGCTGGTCTGGAACTCCTGACCTCAAGTGATACACCCACCTTGGCCTCTCAGAGTGCTAGGATTATAGGCATGAGCCACCGTTCCCAGCCTCTTCTTTGCTTTCAATGGGTCAGCTCCAAATCTCAGTTCCAAGCTCAAGTCCTACAGAAAGATTGCCTGGTCAACCCCTCCAGCCCTGGTTATTCTTAACCTCAGGGCCCATCTGTACTACCTTCATTGCACAGCTTTTCCTTGAAATCTTTGAGTCATTATTTCTGTCTCAGTGTGGGTGGGGTTGCACTGGGTATCATGCATAAGGTTTAAATGTCTCTGAGATGAAAGACTGTGACTCAGAGTTTACTAGGGAGCTGGAAGCTTGGAGTGGCCTCCCCATATTCCCTTTACCTTTGTCCCCAGGGTGTGTATCTTCTCACAGGAGCCAGATCCCAAGATGTGTCCACCAAGGGCCCTGCCTCTGGAGGCAGATATCTGTTTGATTCCCAGACTTCTCCAAATGATACTTTCTTTGGAGAATTTTAACAAGAGGCTGCTATGGTCCAGGGCCTCCATTCCCTGCCTCCCTAGATCCCTAAACCCTGGATCCACTTGGAGATTTTGTCTGCAAATGGAAACTCTGGATCCAGCCCTGGCTAGGTACCCAGGCTGTCATAATTTTAGTCCAGCTGGGAAAATTCCTTTGTGTTTTTTCCATGATCTCATATTTTTTCCATGGTCCTGGGAGGAGGGGAAGGGCCAGGAGACAGGCACTGCCGAGGTGCTGATCCTAAGCCGTCAGCTGCTTGGGTGTATCTGGGTCTTTATCCATTTCTTTATTCAGATCTTTTTCTCAAATGTTACTTCCTCAAAACAGAGGACATCTCATTATTCTAAGGAGCAACGTCAGTGCCTCAGAAGTCCCCAGAGGGCTCCTTGGCTTCCTGTCATTCCCACAGAAAACACTCTGCTGGAGTCTAAGTTTCCCATCCAGCATAAGCTGAACTGTAAACATCATCAAGACACGAAGGACTTGGAGATGTGGATGAGAGAAAGAGCTGAAAACACTCATCCTTGAGAGAGAATGGACAGAATCAGCACCTTTCCCCTCTGGTCTCCTGAGGGACTTATTTCCCATCTCCCAGCCCCACATCAATGCTGCTGCCCCTGGCTTTGTAGTGACACAGGGTAGGTGCTGAATTAGAAAATCAGCATAAGGACTGGCAGAGTTTTAGCTCACCCAGCAGTGCCACCTCTTCCAAGCTGTGCACAAAGCCCCTTTCCACCCTTTCCAGCCGCAAGACACAACCCAAGGGAAAGAGACTGCATCTCTGATGTCATTCATGTTATAGAGTGAGGCCAGTAGGCAGGTGTCTCCAGGTATGAATGCCTAAGTGAGAGCAGCTTACAAAGAAGACAACAGGCTTGGAGGCTAAGGTGAGGGGGGGAAGTCTGTATGTCAGTCAGGTTCTCATGCAACACAAACATAAGGACTGGGTTTGAATTTAGTCAGTGCTGGGGTAGATTTTAGGATTTTAGACCTACCGTTAAGGCTTGCCAGTGGCATGGGTGCAAGGCTTTATTTATTTATTTATTTATTTATTTATTTATTTATTTATTTTTTATTGTTTTTGAGATGGAGTCTAGCTTTGTCATCCAGGCTGGAGTGTATTGGCATGATCTCAGCTCACTGCAATCCCACATCCCAGGTTCAAGTGATTCTCCTACCTCAGCCTCCCAAGTAGCTGGGATTACAAGTGCCCGCCACCATGCCCAGCTAATTTTTGTATTTTTAGTAGAGACGGGGTTTCACTGTGTTGGCCAGGCTGGTCTTGAACTCCTGACCTCGTGATCCGCCCACCTCAGCCTGCCAAACAGCTGGGATTACAAGCGTGAGCTACCGCGCCTGGCCGGGTGCAAGGCTTTTTAAAATTAGAATGTCATTGCTGTGTGGCCAGGACACAACCCCAAATGAAGCATTTATGGGGCTGGAGAAAGGGCCAGAGTATATCTACACACAGCTTCACTCCTTCCACTCCTGACAGTTTGTGTTGTAAATACTTTGTTTGTGTTTGAAATGTTTTAAAGTACCCTTTTAGTGAACTGAAATTCCAAGAAACAGTGTAAAGCTGTAAAGATCTTCACACACACACATGCTGGCAATGAGAAGAAGTGTAGAGAGATGATGGGCAAAAAAAATTTGAGTTCTATTGACGGTCTAACAATAAGAACAGTGATAACAATAACAACAACGATTTGTTGGCTAGTATGTGCTAGTCACTGCACTAAGTAGTTTACTTATTTAATTTTATAATCACCATAGAGGCTAAGTACCAGTAATACCATTATTTTACAGCTGAATAAACGGGCTCAGAGAGAGTAAGTAACAAAGAAGAGCAGATTTACGGCCCGTGACAAGCAAGTCTAGAGCCAGAATTCAAACACAGGCAAGCCAACTCCATAGCTTACACTTTGCACCACGGCGGGAGGGGAAGTGCAATGGAGACGGCAAAGCAGCACCCTTGGGTAGACAGATTATGCCGTTGGGAAGCCTGATGACTGTGTGTGTCCTGGGAGAGCAGCCACTTGGATTTCCAGGCTCGCTCCCTGACCTGCTGCACCCTTTCTGCTCTCCATCTTTGCAAACACGAAGCAGAGGTCTCCTCTAAAGGAAGTTAATTTCTGGACTCAAAACTCTGACTTTCACTAATTTCATGATCATAGCCGGAGAAATGTGCACAAGCGAGGGTCCTCAGAGAGGCAGCTCAGAAAGGTTTGCAGGGACCCTTTAAAAAGGGTCTTGGGGCACAACCTCTGGGTGTGACATAGACGGATTAGCCTACATTTGGGGGCTTCTGGGTCACATGCACTAATGCTCTCTCTCCCTCTCTTTTTCTGTGTTCCTCCCCTTCCTGTATTTCTCTATTTGAATTTTTTCTGTTCTTTCTCTGGTCCTCTGTTGTTTCCTTCTTGTTTTCTCCCTAAATGTCAATGTCTGTTGCCATGTGGTCTTCCTTAATCTTTTCCTCTGTTTTTCTTTCTTCCCCCCCTTTTTTTTTTTCTTTTTTGAGATGGAGTCTCACTCTGTCACCCAGGCTGGAGTGCAGTGGCACGATTTCGGCTCACTGCAACCTCCACCTCCCAGGTTCAAGCGATTCTCATGCCTCAGTTTTGCAGGTAGCTGAGATTACAGTTGCCTGCACCTGGCTTATTTTTGTATTTTTAGTAGAGACAGGGTTTCACCATGTTGGCCAGGCTGGTCTTGAACTCCTGACCTCAAGTGTTCCCCCTGCCTCGGCCTCCCAAAGTGCTGGGATTACAGGCATGAACCACCATCCCCAGCCTTCTCTCTTCTTAATAATGGCTTTCTATGTCTTTCACTTCTCTCATACCCTCACTCTGTTTCTCCTTGACTCTCCCATTCCTGTTTTGTTATCTTTCTTTATTGCCGTTTCTTTCTGCTTTTCTGTTTATCACTCGCTGGCTACTTGCCTTTCTCTCTCTATTCTCTGTCTCTGTCCCTGTTTCTTCTGTTTCAAGTTCAATGGTTCTCTGTCTCTATCTCTCTGTTTCTGCCTCTCCGTCTGTCTTTTGTTTCTCTTGCATGCAGGGCCCCATACTGTGGATCATGGCAAATCTGAGCCAGCCCTCCGAATTTGTCCTCTTGGGCTTCTCCTCCTTTGGTGAGCTGCAGGCCCTTCTGTATGGCCCCTTCCTCATGCTTTATCTTCTCGCCTTCATGGGAAACACCATCATCATAGTTATGGTCATAGCTGACACCCACCTACATACACCCATGTACTTCTTCCTGGGCAATTTTTCCCTGCTGGAGATCTTGGTAACCATGACTGCAGTGCCCAGGATGCTCTCAGACCTGTTGGTCCCCCACAAAGTCATTACCTTCACTGGCTGCATGGTCCAGTTCTACTTCCACTTTTCCCTGGGGTCCACCTCCTTCCTCATCCTGACAGACATGGCCCTTGATCGCTTTGTGGCCATCTGCCACCCACTGCGCTATGGCACTCTGATGAGCCGGGCTATGTGTGTCCAGCTGGCTGGGGCTGCCTGGGCAGCTCCTTTCCTAGCCATGGTACCCACTGTCCTCTCCCGAGCTCATCTTGATTACTGCCATGGCGACGTCATCAACCACTTCTTCTGTGACAATGAACCTCTCCTGCAGTTGTCATGCTCTGACACTCGCCTGTTGGAATTCTGGGACTTTCTGATGGCCTTGACCTTTGTCCTCAGCTCCTTCCTGGTGACCCTCATCTCCTATGGCTACATAGTGACCACTGTGCTGCGGATCCCCTCTGCCAGCAGCTGCCAGAAGGCTTTCTCCACTTGCGGGTCTCACCTCACACTGGTCTTCATCGGCTACAGTAGTACCATCTTTCTGTATGTCAGGCCTGGCAAAGCTCACTCTGTGCAAGTCAGGAAGGTCGTGGCCTTGGTGACTTCAGTTCTCACCCCCTTTCTCAATCCCTTTATCCTTACCTTCTGCAATCAGACAGTTAAAACAGTGCTACAGGGGCAGATGCAGAGGCTGAAAGGCCTTTGCAAGGCACAATGATGAGCCCAGGGCCCAGGGGAACCTGGCCTGCCTCCATTGAGCAGTTCTGTGGGGAGGGAGACCTCCAGCAAGTGGGAAGAACACTGCTGAGTTTCTTTAGTTTTTTTCCCTCTGAGCAATAACTACAGTGAGCCCTGAGTGCTGCACTGTCTGGCCCAAAGCTCTTATGGACCACCATGGAAGAGTTCCCTACATCCCCTGGCAGCCGTAAGAACTCTGAGAGTAGCCCAGAGCTTTCAGTAAAGGGAAGTGCATGTGCTTTGCATTTAAGGAAGAGCAGCCAAGAAGTGCTCTATGATCAAGAGGTAGTGTCCAATCCCAGTATGTGTGCATGGGTGTGTATGTGTGTACATATGTGTGTATGCGTGTGCATGTTCCGGGTGTGCTTCTCTATCACAGTATGCACTGCTGCTGAGTGTATGCACCATAAGTGCTTGGGCTACATGGGATCAAGAGAAGAAGCAAAACTTACCAAAAACAAACTGATTGTTTTTCAATGTGTGTGTGAGTGTTGGGAGGAGGACTGGGTCCTTGTATAATTATTCATCCATTTATTCATTCATTTCTTCAACATTGAGTAGGCTGTGTGTGTCAGGCACTGTAACAGGTAGAGGGTAGAAAGGTAAAAAAGGCATAAATGGTTCTTAACCTGACAAAGCTCTTGGCCTAAGGAAGGAAAAAGTGATAAATAGCTGTTTCCAGCACAGTGGGGAACGTGCAACAGTGGATTCACAGACGGTATTATGAGCACACAGGGGAGCAACACTGAGACCAGGAGGAGGCTCAGCGACGGCTTCCTGACAAGATGACACCTGAGTAGCACATTGACTATAAGGTGGACACTGTGAGAGTGCAATTCATCAGGTACCTTTGCATCAGAGAAAGATGAAACAGAGAGAAATTAAAACAAGATAAATCTCCGCTAGTGAGGAATTATGTGGTTTCCAGAGAGGAAATATTCAGAGTTTTAGAAAGACAAAATAAACTTTGCTCCTGTATGATTAGAAACATTCATTTGCCTAAAGGCAAGGGATTGTAATAAACCTAGTAAGTTCACTTATTCAGTGATTATATATCCTATTTTACACACATACATATTATATTGTACATTACATAAAATATGAACATTATATTACATTCACATACGTGTGGGTATAAAATTCTTGAAAATCTATTATGTCCCATGCTGCCTTTGGAGTTAAACATCAGCTCCACTGTCCTCCCTCCTCCAACTATAGCCTGAAATTTTTAAAATCTTCCAGTTACTTTGACCTCAGGATCATGGTGTTCCCTTAGCTTTTGCCCATGCAGAATTTTCTAAAGTAGCCCCAATTTAAGTTGTTTTGACACACTGTTTCTGTAAGTACACTTTAATTTACCAAACTCCATATCCCAATTTGTGATATATAAACTACAACCAGGAGTTTATTCGTAGCTACACTTACTTGAAAACAATAAAACTACTAATTTATCACAAATGTCAAGCATTTAAAAAATCCACTATGTGGAAATGAATGAGGTAAGCTCATTTGGAGCTTGAGAGATGCAGCTTGCTTACCAACCCATTGGTTCTCCTTGTGACCTCCTCTTACCCCAAGCTAACTCCTTCCTAAACGAGGCATCCCTTTCTCTGGCTTTCTGAAAGTGTCTTTCTTTCTTGCTGAGATACCCCTTAGCCAAGTCGGAGGGTCTTTTCACATTCCCAGTTTCAGTTTCTGGACCAAAATTTTGCTTGTTCTTTAATTACATAACAGAGCAATGATTCTGTTGTTTGCAGTTGCTATTGAATGAATTGATGTTTTTTTCCTCTGTTTATTCTCTGCTTGCTACCTAGAAAAGTATTTGTAGAGTAAATGAAAGAAGGATGAGTAAATTAAGAATAATTCTACTAACAATATCTTACTTTTGTATACTTTTCATACTTTATGAACCACTTTTACATATATTTTCCATTTGGTTTTACCCTCATAGTAATTCAGTTAAATAAATATTCACTGATCACCCATCATGAGCAAAACACTCCACTCAGCAGTGGCTGTTAAAGATGAAAGAAATGAGGAGTCTGACCTCAAGGGGTTCCATGTACTGAGAGAAATTTAAAAGTGTGGTTAATTTCAATAAGGTGTTTTCCTATAGAGTATGAGAGCTCGGAAGGAAAATTTCTGATTCTGAAACTGCAGCAAGCGGTGTTCCCGACCCGCTTTAGCGGGTAAGGGAAACATGGCTGAGAGGAAGAATGAGTTGGTCAAAGAAATTGCAGAACCGACAGCAGGATCTGGTTCTTCAAACCTTTTTTTCCATCTCCCCATCTTTGGAATTTTCTTCTTCCATCTGAATTAAAAGTTGGGTTAATTCAAAGTTGGAACCTCCAGGATCTGAAGCTGCTCAGTTTTGCCTCCTCTAGACCCTTACTGAGCACATATCTATCAAGATTCTACAAGTTTGTAGATTTGTAATGGCAACAATTCTAGTAACCCCTTCCTCACAGTAATTGCACATTTAGTATCCATCACTTGAAAGAAACACATATTGGCAGAAAGCAAGTATAGATTCAATGTTACTTTTAAAGATTTGTGTTTCAATATCAAAGGCATAGAAGCAACCTAGATGCCCATCAATGGTGGACTGGATAAAGAAAATGTGGTACATATACACTATGGAATACTATGCAGCCATAAAAAAGAGTGAGGGCATGTCCTTTGCAGCAACTCAGATGGAGCTGGAAGCCATTTTCCTAAGCAAATTAAGACAGAAACAAAAAACCAAATACCACATCTTCTCTTATAAATGGGAGCTAAATATTGAGTATACATGGACACAAAGAAGGGTATAATAGACACTGGAACCTACTTTAGGATGGAGGGAGGGAGGAGGGTGAGGATTGAAAAACTATCAGGTATTATGCTGATTACTTGGGTGACAAAGCTATCTGTACACCAAACCTCAGCAACATGCAATTTACCCAGGTAACAAACTTGCACATGTACCCCTTGAACCCAGAATAAAAGTTGGAAAGAAGGAAAAAAAGATTTGTATTTTATTTATCACCACTGTTTCCACAAACATTTGAAATAGAGCAAATAATACCTACACATGTAAGATATTTTTATTTTGAATAAATATTTTGATTCTGTTCATATACAATGTTAATTATACAGTGGATTCACAGTCCCTTTGCTATGACATCATTTTCCCTGGGAGGTGAGAACAGTTGATGTGGTTGTTTGTCTATGTAAGGTTGTTGGATGTAGATGCACAGATGGCAACAGCCTTTCCACTTCATAGAAGTGGCTTACACTGGAACCTAATTTCAGGGTGGTAGGAGGGCAAGGTTGCTTTCAATACCCAGAACTAATTTAAGTGTGGGCGAAATCATGACAGGATTTCGTGAAACTAAAATGTTTTCCCTGGCCCCAAATATCCTCCCACACACCCTTCATTTGTCTGGCATCCTAGTTCTAAATGGCTAACCCAAGAATCCATTCTCACACATGTATATCCCAGTGGGAAGCCAAAAAAATGGATTTATTTCTTCCAGTTGGGAGGATTAGAGAGCAAGAAATTGAAGGTATGAAAGTTTTTGAAGAAGGAAGACAAAGGCATATAATCACTTTTCAAAGGAAAGTCAGGCCTGGGTCTTGCGGTGGTTGGTAGCAACATCAAGACCCTGCACAGATGGGATTTTAGGAGTGGTGAGGTGTAAAACCCTCTGGGTCAAACTAAGAAAATGTCAGTGTTGCCTACAGTGGACTAGATTCATATCAATCTAATTCACTAATTCTTTCAGCACTAGGTTTTCTGATGTACATATGTTTTTTCAACAATGCCTGACGGGTACTGAGGAATGGTGGTCGTGGCTCAGTGGTCTGATAGTAAATGTTTAGCCACCTCTCTCCATTTGCTGACTTCTAGCATTTGCCAACTTCCTGGTGTCAATATTTTCACCATGTCCAGTTTTAAGCTACCGAGATGACATCTGAAGTTGGAGTTACGGAAAGATGCCCCACCATGCAGCCCCATATAGTATTTCCACCACACTGAGACAGGTGGCCTAAATAACCTCAATCTCATGGACAAAAGTAAAATATAGCAAAGTAATTAGGAGTTTTGAATATGAATCACCTTTGTTTTTAGCATAACTTATTTGATTTTGAGTTTCTGTTATCTAATTTTTTTTATCATGCCTGTATTTAATTCCTGCCAATTTAACGGTCGATTTCCAGACATTTCCATACGTCCTCTGAAATCTAGGCAGAGGTTCCCAAAGCTCAACTCTTGTCTTCTGCCACATCACGTGGAAGCTGCCAATGCTTGGGGTTTGCACCCTCTGAAGCAATGAACTGAGCTGTACCTTCTTTCCTTTTAGCCATGACTGGAGCTGGAGTGGCTGGGATGCAGGGCACCAAGTCCTGACGCTGTGCAGAGCAGCAGGGCCCTGGGCCTGGCCCATTAACTATTTTTCCCTCCTAGGCCTCTGGGCTGTGATGAAAGAGGCTGCTGTGAAGGTCTCTGACGTGTTCTGTAAACATTTTCCCTATTGCCTTGGCTACTAACATTTGGGTCCTCATCTCCATCTGAGACCACCTCAGCCTGGACTTCATTGTCCATATCACTATCAGCATTTTGGTCAAAATCATTCAACAAGTCTCTAGGAACTTCCAAACTTTCCCATACCTTCCCATCTTCTTCTGAGCCCTCCAAACTGTTCCAGCCTCTGCCAGTTAGCCAGTTCCAAAGTCCCTTCCACATTCTCAGGAGTCTTGTAGCAATGCCCCAGTATGGGTTCTCCAGGAGGCTCCAGAACATCACTAGCATCCTACCTCTGGGTTTCCCTTAGATCCTGCTCCCCAGTCAATGCTGCATTGCTGTCATTCTCCTTCCCTTGAGTTAGACACCTGCCAAGTCCTATGGAGGTAAAGCTCATGGAATTGCCCTTATAAGGGAACTTATGAATTATTTTATCTGATAGACACAGGATCCTCCATATATGAGGGGACTTGGCTTCTTCACTAGCAGCTGGGCAGCTCACCACTCACACTTGTGTTTCTGCCACTTCCCTCACTCAGTGGACAATTCACCCAGAAGTTCTTGGGTTACCCAGCCCTGGGGGTGAGTCCAAAGGACTGTATATGAGGCCCTTGTCCTTGTCATGGAGGAAGTTGGCTGTGATCTAAGGAGAGGGGACATCACAGATTTCCTTCCCTCTCCTCCACAGACACAGAAGGCAGATCCCCCATTCTCTGCCTCATCCCCATGCCTCCCTTTTGTTGGAGGACCCGACCAAACCAGCCTTAAAGGGGTATAACATGTGACTAATTCAGCTGCTGGCAGAGAGGGAAATCAAGCATTTCAGAAAAGCTAAGCTCTCTGAACTTACTTAGGTTTTTGCAAAATTAAAGGCAATACAGTTTCAGTGCTGAAGATAAATAGCACCTTTGGTGACTACAATATGATTGCCCTAGGCAAGCAGAGATTTCTACACTGATGTACACACTGAAGTTTGTTGTTATCAAATATGCCCTGTTATTTCAGTGAGTACAGCATCTTGCAGAGGACACTTACGGGTCCCCTGGGGGGCTTGGGTCTGATTAGTGATGATACCCATGGCCAGTCTCCAGAAATCCACTCATTAATCTCGTCTCTTTAGGCTTTGGTTGTCTACACAATATACCATTTTATGCCTATGTTATTTTACACACTCAGTTGCCTCTCTCAGGAATTCACTTTTCCTCTTCTCAGCCTATAAAACTGTTCTTTGGACCTCAAAAAGTCATTTCAGCTTAACTTTCAACTTAATCAAAAGAAATGGGGCATTCCCCAAGAGCTTTGCCTTCAGGAACTCAGAGGAAGTCACACTGAGGTTTGATATAAGGATTTCTTCTTAAGATTTGAACCATGCAGTGAAGAAAGGGGCTTCCTCCCACAGCTGGGAATGGTCCATCTCTGGACTTGGTTCAATGTAGTTTTGTCTATGTGTGGATTCTGAGCTCCTTATGTTAGGTGTCGTGCCTTATAGATCTTTGTTTTTCCTGTACCTAGAATATAGTAGGTGTTCAATAAATGCTAGCTGTCATTAATCATGAGGTTTATGTGAATTTGGAACATGAGTTAGCACGATAACCTAAACATGGAATGCCATCTTAGTTGATGGTAAGAAATGCAGTCAACAGAGCAAGAGGAAAGGTTTCCCACTGCACTACATCTCAGTTAGTTGTCCACACTAGTACGTCAGTCAGTTCCAAGATGCACCTAACAGGAACCAAACAAAGCAATGCAGAAGGCAAGAGTTCTAGAAACGGTTTGATGCAACCTCCTATTTGTAAACCTGAATATTTTGGAGGGGAATGCATAGATATCTTTGCTTACCTGCTAGTCTGCCTGCATAACTGAAAAAGGCAGAACTGGGACAATGGGTGAAGGTTAGAGGACGTCACATTGAGGTTTGACATAAGGATTTCTTCTTAAAATTTAGAACCATGCAGTGAAGAAAGGGGCTGCCTCCCACCGCTGGGCATGCTCCATCCCTGGACTTGGTTCAAGCAGAGTCCCTAAGCCAGTCTGATCAGTGTGTTGCAGTGGGGATGCCTGCACTGAGACAGAGGGAGGCAGGCCTGCATGACCTACAAACTCCCTTGCAGTTCCATGAAGCTGTGGTTTACTTACATCATGTCTTAAACCTGAGGAGCCTTTTATAACAGCTACTTTGATTTGGAACTGGAATCCCAAGATTCCTCCCAGCAAGTTGCAAGATTTTTAAAAAATTATTTTTTCGTTTCTATCTATCCAGGAGTCTCATTTGCCATTGTGCACATTGACATCCCTGCCACATTAAGACAAATGTCTGGAACCAATATATCTAGACATCTCTAGGTGACATCCACATAGAATTCTAACAGTGAGTCAGAGGCTGGGCCATTGATTGAAGTCACTCAAGAAGCTTAAAGTCAGACTAGGATGAGAGTCTTCAGGGTCTTCATCCTGGTTACTACTGTCTCCGGAAATGGGACCTGGGATAAAGGTCACTAAGGAATGATGGATCCAACAATAGCAAATGTGTCCCCAAATTCCCTCTTCCAATGCCCTTCACGTTGTTGAGATTGGAACAAGGCCTTTCTTATACAATTTATTGTTTGAAAACTCTACCAGCAAATTGTCTAGCTCAGCGTTACTCAGATATTAACGTGCATAGGAATCACCCGGGGATCTGCAAAAATGCAGATTCTGATTTAGGAGGTCTCAGGTGGGGCCTGAGATTCTGCATCTCCAATAAGCTCCCAGGAGATGCCAGTGCTGTTTCAAGCATCACACTTTGAAGAGCAAAGAACCACAGGCAAGGCTGTGGGGCAGGTCAGGCTGCATGATGCTGGATTCCATGGGGTGATTGCTATGAAGGCCCAAAGCTAGTCAGACCGTCCCCAAAACTGACCAGAGACCCCACTTCCAAGGAAATCCTATGAAAAACAGGAGATAGCCCGCTATAGGCTATTGATTATTTTTAGTTTTTTAAGAGGGGGAATGTGCAGAGAAGAGCGAGTAGCAGGAAGGAGTCCCTGGGGAGGACACTGAGTGACTCCTGTGCTGATTATTTTAGGAGGAGAAGCTGAGGAAAAGTATCTGCATCTCAGAAGGAGATAATTACTTTCCACTTAGCTCTTCAGTTTTTCAGGAAGTTTGCAAGGAGGGCAAGTAATTAGTCTCTTGGGAGGTGAAAGAGACAAGTTCTCAGGATGAAAAACTTTTCCCTGCTGGTCTTTACAGCAGAATCAGAAGTATCTGCCCACTTTTGGCAAGGCCCACAAATGCAAAAATGTACTGTGGGGGTTGAAAAAGAAAAAGAGCTATGTTAGAGATCAAGCTAAATGGCAGAGACAGTAAGACAGTGGTGCCTCCAAGCTCTGTGTCCTGGAAGGCTTCCCCTGAAACCATTCTTCATAGTCTTGGCCCTGTGGGGTGGCTCCCACACTGTGACACCACACTGCAAGTTATGAGCAGGGCCTCTCCTCTAG
Source organism: Homo sapiens (assembly GCF_000001405.40). NCBI lineage: Eukaryota > Metazoa > Chordata > Mammalia > Primates > Hominidae > Homo > Homo sapiens. The sequence continues at coordinate 143,061,289 of NC_000007.14, forward strand.
GGATCCTGTGGACAGAACCAGCTTCAGAAATGAGAGGAAGTTTGCATCTACTCTTTGCCCCGCTTTGCTAATCCTAGCCCAGCCCAGCTGAGACTCAGTCTAGTAAAAGAAACCAGACCCGGATCTCTTCCTGCCCCTACCATCTTCCCATGACTTCTCACGCCATCCAGATTTCCGAGGAATGCCTCTCTTATCAGCCCTCCCACCACGTTACCTACAACACCAGTCCCACTCCGTTTACTCCTTCTCATCTGATTTCTACCACCTTTGCTTCTACCATCCAGGGGCCCTGGTAATCTGGCCAGGCTGCTCTCAGGAAACCCAGCCTCAGAAGGCCTGGGCAACTGGTCCTTCTTCTGGAACTTGGATCTAAGATTCTGCAGTAGAAGGGAAGTAGTGGCCCCACGGGAAGGGGAAGGCAGCAAGTCTGAGAGTGCAGACGCAGCTCAGCTTTCCCCCACTCTCAAGTGCATGAAAAAGGTAAGGTCTTCATGACTTTCTATAAGAGGGTTGGAGGAGTGGCTCCCAGAGAGCCATTTCTGTGGAAAGGCAAGAGGCTTTGGGGCCAGATGGAAGAAGTGGGCAGCCTGGGTGTGAGGGGTGCTTCCATCCAGGAGCGGTCAGGCCGAGAGAGGGGAGCCAACAGAAGCACATGGCTCCTCCTGTGTTGGGGTGCCAGGCCTCTCTGCTCTTCTTAGAGCACCTCCCATTTTCAGAACTCTATCATAGACCTTGAAGCCAGGTCCTGAAAAGGAAACACATCCAAAATAAAGGAAACTTAAAAGAATGCAAGCAAAACCACAGAGCTAAGAAAGAAAGGTTTTAATAGGACATTTTAATAATAGCTACATTTACTGAGCTCTTACTTAATGTGCCAGACCCTGCACTAAGAGCCTTATTTGTTTGGATTATCTCTTTTAATTAAGACCGTCCCATTGTACTCACTCTGCATTCCCTATCCATTCCTTAACTATCCCAGGTGCACAGAAACTTGCCTTTGAGACATTCTACCAATGTGTGTCCATTAGTTCTCTGCAGTGCAGGAGAAGAAACTTGCATGAAGATGAGGGACCAGGAGAAAATGAGAAAAAAGAGAGTGAGGAGCTCCAGCTTAGGCATGTGGGTGCCCACCTGCAGCAAGTCTACTCCTCGTGACTTGTCAGGTGCTCTCTAGCCCTGTCAAGGGCTCACCCTCTCACCTACAGGCTGCTGGGTCTCCAAGGAAGATCCTTTTAGTCACATCCTCAATGACCTCCTTGACCTTCTCATTCCGGAAGGTGAAGATGAAGGGGTTGAGGAAAGGGGTTACCATTGCAGTCACCATGGCCACCGCCTTGTTGAGGTATGTGGAGTGGCCCTTGCCTGGCCTCACGTAGATGAAGATGGCACTGCCATAGCCCAGAACCACCACTGTGAGGTGAGAGGCACAGGTGGAGAAGGCCTTCTGGCATCCAGAGGAGGAAGGGATGTGCAGCACTGCAGCCACAATGAGGATGTAGGAGAGGATGATAAGCAGCATGGTGGTCAGCACAAAGAGCAGGGACAGGAAGAGGTCCATGCGCTCAATGTGGCGGGTGTCAGAGCAGGCAAGCTTGAGCAGCGGGGCAGAGTCACAGAAGTAGTGGCCGATGATGTTAGGGCCACAGAACCAGAGTCGTGTTTTCTGCAGTGTGGGAGAGACAATGGAGAGGAAACCAACCACCCAACAGGCCACCACCAGCTTCACACACACTGGACCATTCGTGATGGTTGGGTAGCGCAGGGGGTGGCAGATGGCCACGTAGCGATCAAAGGCCATGACCATGAGTATCAGGAAGTTGGCAGAGCCCAGGGAGAAGTAAAAGAAAGACTGGGTTAGGCATTTGGCCAGGGACATGGTCTTGTGAGTGGATAGCAGGTCTGCCAGCATCCTATGTACCACAGTGGAGGTGACCACCATCTCCATGAGGGAGAAGTTGCAGAGGAAGAAGTACATGGGTGAGTGAAGGCGGGAATCAAGGCAAATGAAGCTGATGATGGCCAGGTTGCCCAGCAGCATCAGCACATATATCAACAGGATCAGAGCAAACAGCAGAACCTGGAACTCATGGAGATAAGAAAATCCAAGGAGCTCCTCTGCCTAGGAAAACCAGAGACCTTTGTTCACTTGTTTATCTGCTGACCTTCCCTCCACTATTGTCCTATGACCCTGCCAAATCCCCCTCCACGAGAAACACCCAAGAATGATCAATTAAAAAAAAAAAAAAAAAAGAAAATCCCAGGAGCACAAACTCCCTGACAATGCTGTAGTTACCCATTGCACTTGATGCCCATTCTATGTGACACCTGTGAGAGGTTGAGAACTGTTAGCAGGAGATTGCCATCAACCTCTCTCTCAATCAGGTCCCCATAGTGCTGGCCTGGCTCCCCATGCACACTAGCCTGTGTGCACAGTTGACCCCAGGAGACACATTCCCAAAAGGCAGGAGTTTCCCTGGGGCGAGGAATGGATTACTGGCTGGGATGAGCAGATTTATGACTTGGCCACCTCTACATTATCACCATTCTTAAGCTCTTCCTCTTCTGTCTTCTACTCATTGATTATATTGTACAACACACTTAATAAGCTCCAACTCTGTGCAAGACATTTGGCTGGGTCTGAGGATGAAGGGGTAAACACTTCCTAACTGCCAAATGTAATGGTCTGTTGTTCAAATAATAGCTGATATTTACTGTTCTTTCCCTGTGCCAGAAGATGCGCTAGATACCTTACACATTATTTCCTTCCATCTTTTTTGCTGAATCTTCATCCTCTTTTCTTCTCTATAACATTTTCTTCTCTATAACATTTCAGGCTACAAATAACCCGTTTTTGAAGTGACTTCCACCCTTGACTGCAAGGACCCTGCACTCTTGAATTTCTCCTACCATCCTGGGTTCCCTCGTCTGTCTCCTTCTCTAGCTCCCTGTCTTTCTGCCATTTTCTAAACATGGATGACCCCACATTTCTTTTCTTATCTTTGTTTAAAAAAATTCTCTATTTTCTCCTTCAGAAATCTCACCTTCTTTAACCAAAGCAATCTTTAAAATGTAAATGAATTTCAAATCTGGATTTTGTCCTCCTCTGAGTCCCGGCCCACATCTCTAACCACCAGATTGACCACCACCACACATTCAACACATCTAAAGATACACACCTAGTCCTCCCCTCCCGCAAAGGCCATGTTTATGGCTCCCAATTCCCCAGTCATCTGGGCTGGAAACTGGAAGCATCTAGCCCTCCTTTGTTTATCCATATCCACCACCCTAGTTCAAGGATCTGTTTCCTCTTAACCATTGCAACAACACTCTTAATTTTTTTTTTATTGGTAGATTGCTCAATCACCAACCTATCCAGGCACCATGCTGCTATTATATTTTATTTTCTTAAGTTATTGTGTCAATCAACTGTTTTTAATAATCTGTAACAAGGCCGGGCATGGTGGCTCACGCCTGTAATCCCAGCACTTTGGGAGGCTGAGGGCGGGTGGATCATCTGAGGTCGGGAGTTCGAGACCATCGTGGCCAACATGGAGAAACCCCATCTCTACTAAAAATACAAAATTAGCCGAGTGTGGTGGTGTGTGCCTGTAATCCCAGCTACCCAGGAGGCTGAGGCAGAAGAATCGCTTGAATCTAGGAGGTGGAGGTTGCAGTGAGCTGAGATCATGCCATTGCACTCCAGCCTGGGCAACAAGAGCAACACTCTATCTCAAAAATAAATAAATAAATAAAAATAACCTGTAACAATGAGATTTCATTTATAATTACTTTCAAAATCAATCAAACTAGCTAGCCATCTATCTTCATCCAGAAAAAGAGTAAAAGGATGCATTTTAAAATATTAACAATGGCTATATCTGGGTGTGGGTTATAGGAGTTTACTTTTAAAAATCTTGTATTGAAATTATACATATTTAAACTGTTGTATTAGTCTGTTCTCACGCTGCTATAAGGACACACCCAAGACTGGGTAATTTATAAAGAAAAGAGGTTTAATTGACTGACAGTTTGGCATGGCTGGGGAGGCTTCAGGAAACCTATGATCATGGCCGAAGGGGGAGCAAACACGTCCTTCTTCACATGGCAGCAGCAAGGAGAAGTGCAGAGCACAGGAGTGAAAAAGCCCCTTATAAAACTATCAGATCTCGTGAGAACTTACTCTCTATCACGAGAACAGCATGGAGGTAACCACCCCCATGAGTCAATTACCTCCCACTGGGTCCCTCCCACAACATGTGGGGATTATGGGAACTACAATTCAAGATGAGATTTGCGTGGGGACACAGCCAAACCATATGAAATGTATATCATGAGGTTTGGATAGAAATATACATAGTAAACTTATTACGACAGTCAAGCTAATTAATATATCCATCTCTTCATATAGTTACCATTTTTCACATGTAGTGAGATGACCTAAGATCTACCCTCTTAGCAAATGTCAAGTATACAATACAGTATCATTACCTGTAATCCCCATGCTGAACATTAGTTCGCTAGAACTTATTCTTCCTGCCCAACTGAAACCTTGTACCCTCTGTTCTTCTATATGTCCACATTCATTTCCAAATTCTCTTCATTTAAATTTGAATTCTCTTCATATATTATTTTAGTGATAAAAAAATTAACAACAATAATCTCTTCCTTTTTCAGTCAAATCAAGCACAGATTCTCCCTGGCAACTCCTGCCCTACATGACTCTCCCCATTCACCACCCCCCATAGCTTCACCCCCACCTCCTTGTCACACACTTTGTGATACCACTGAACTGAACCCTTGATATTCTCCATAAGTTAATTCCACTTTGCCTTCACACACTTCCCTTTTTATTCCTGTGCTTAGAATACTTTGTTCTGCCATCTTTGCCTGGCAAATTCTTAATCACCCACCAGGGACTATCTCAAATGTCCCCTCCTTTATGAAGCTTCATCCTCATCCAGATGTGAAGTCATCCTGCCTGGAGTTCCCAATCAGGAAAGTTAACAAGATCTGCCTTGCATTATAATTGTGTACAGTCAGATTCCAAATCCTGGATTCCTAGTTTCTCAGTGTCAGGGCTCTTTTTTCATCTTTATAACCTTCAGAATACCAAGCAACATGTCTTACACAGTGTAACTACTCATTACATTTTGGTTAAACAGGCCAGGTGCAATGTCTCACACCTGTAATCCCAGCACTTTGGGAGGCAGATGTGGGAGGACTGCCTGAGGCCAGGAGTTCGAGACCCAGACTGGGCAACATAGAGAGACCCTATCACTACAAAAAATAAAAAAGTTAGCCTGGTGTGGTGCCGAATGCCTGTAGTCTGAGCTACTTGGGAGGCTGAAGTGGGAGGATCACTTGGGCCCAGGAGGTGGAGGCTGCAGTAAACTGTGATTACAACACTGCACTACAGCCTGGGCCACAGAGGAAGATGCTCTCTCAAAATAATAACAATTTTGGTTAAACCAATGAGCACACATGTTGGGTTTTCATTTCTAGTCCTGAGAAGGAAAGTTTTGCCAAATGGAAACTCACATTTTCTTTAATGATGATGTGTATGTGTAATGTGGACTTTAACAAAATGTAATGGGGCAATCACGACCCCACAATTTCTTATCAGAAAGCTAAAATGAGACCAATACCAGCAAGGCAGCATCCTGGAATCAAGCACACTATTATTTCTGTAGCAAAGTACACAAATATTCACACTCAATGAAATAAAGGCAGAAATGGCCTCATGTTTAGTTCAAAACAAGTTAAGCCGTCTAAGTGCTTTGACTCAACATTTAAGAAAGAACTTTCAGCATTCAAAGCATTTTGATTATAGAATTGTGGATAAAGGGTTGGGAATGGCTAGACCCCATCCACTGAGGGCCCACCATGCACTGGCTCCCGTGCCACAATGATGCTGTGAAATCGTTACCAACTTCATATCATAGATGATAAAAACTGAGGCTTGGAACGTTTAAGGATCTTAATCCTTATGGTCAATAAATGTTGAGTTAGGTCAATAAATGTTGAGTTAGGATTTGAATCTAGAGTTTTCTAACTCCAATATCTATTTGTTTGTAGTAATCAAAACTTCAAGTATGTGAAATCTGCAGTGTTGAATCAAGCACAGTGCCATATCAATCTCTGAACACAGGACTCAAAGCTTATTGCTTATATCTATGAATAAAAATGCTTATATCTACAAAAAAACTATTTAATGCATGGCAAATGAATGAATGCATTAAAGTCCCACTATCAGCTATGGACTATCAGTGATAGGTAGGAGATGGGGAGGGTGTCCCTTTCCCAGCAGAAAGATCTAACTTGAGTCTCAAATGCTATTGCAAGACTGGTTAGCGGTGCTCCAAACAGGGTCAGTCCTCAGCCCTCCATCTCTTATTGGGAATCCATGACAATCCAGAAATCCAGGAAGCTGCTGTTCCTCCAATTACCACTTCCCAGACTGTGACCTCACCCTTTTCAGCCCCCATATTGATGTCCTTCATATTCTTCAGGTGTCATAAATTCCTAAGCCAGAATGAGAAATTCAACCCATGGGCCTATTTTGTGTTTCATTTGCCACCTGCCACTCAGAAAGCAACATCTTTCTACCAGGTTTCAGAGACATCATGTTTTGAGGCTCTCCAATCTAAAACATCTCAAGTCTTGGAATCAGAGGTCAAATGGGGATTCTAAGATAAACTTTGAGTCAGGAGTACCCCAGTTCATGCGGCAGGCTTAGCTTCATACCACATCGCTGGCATCCTTTTCAAACTGGCCTCCACCACAGCCCCCATTTTTGTGCCCTTGCCCTTCACCCCTCATCCCAAACCCTCTTGCATTTATCTTCCCAACCTCTGTCCAGACACTTAAACTTTTAACACTTAGTTTGTTTTTTCCCTGTTCAAGATCTCACCTCTCCTCTCAGGTTTGATGACTGATGCTCCTTTCTTCATACAAAATTCATGCCAGTCACTTCTTCATGAGGCTTCAAGACTCTGAGTCACAATACGCCCCCCGACCCCTTCCAATTCAGCAAGCCTGCAACTCAGGGCAAGTCCCTGGAGTATGTCTTAGGACTTTTCGTGCTTGTTCAATAATTTTACATTCCAAGTTTTTATTTTAGAAAACTGATTGTTAGTTACAAGTGAAGTTAACATAAGCAAAGTGTAACTTGAATGTCGAATAGACTTTTTTCTGCATCAGAGTCTTTGATAGAATATGTTTCCCTCAGTGCAGCCTCTCTTTGCTATAGAACAGATCTCTCTCAGGCCCAGGAGTCCTGCATTCCTGAGATTCAGGCAAACTCAACTTGTCCAACCAGTAGACCATCCAGTGCTCAATCAAAACAGGCCAAGCACAGCCTGTTGACAGTGGCCTAGTCAAGGCTGTGTTTAGCTATTTAGCATATGCTTTGGACAGCATCCCACGTTAACTGTACTTGCAGCCTGGACTCCCCAGAGTGCCCTCAGCTCCCCTCACTCATTCCTGTTAAGGATCCTTGCTGAGAAGAGATCCTGTTTATCTTTCTAAGTCCTTCATGCTGCAGGTTTTGCAGTTCACAGCTCTGTTAAAATGCCAACTAGCGGAGAGCTTCCACATCCCCATATAATATAATAATCCTCCAGAGACTTGGAGGATTTGAATGTTCTCTCCTGATGGTGTATCTTTCTCCCTCTCCATATTAACTCTCTCAATCCTCCTAACTGAATTATCCTTGTGCATTTTGACTCTTGAAACAATGTTTCTGCTCCAGAAAAATGACTGTTTTTCACCCACCGGGAATGCAGAGGGGGTAGCAGTACTGTCACCCTGGTTCTTTGTGGCAGTAATTTCCATCATCAGTGTCCTGGGGGCATGCTGAGCTCTTTACTGAGGGAAAGAGCAGGGTGAGGAATGAGAAAGAGGAGAGAGCAAGGAAAGTACCTGAACACCCCTCACTTTTGGCAGGTCTTTGCAAGGGGCAGGTGGCCAGGGGAGGACATAGAGGTGAACAGCACCCTGGGGCTAGCAGGCCAGCTAACAGCAAGAATTAAAAGCAATGAATGATGCAAAAGCACCATGCACTAAGCAGAGAAAGGTCTAGGGAGGCTCAAATAGAAAAAGAGACACCGCAGGACTAGACCTAGGCTGAGCTTTCCCAGCCCCAGCCTCAGGAAGGGACAAAAGAAGTGGGTGGGACAGAGATCCTTGGCTTCTTCCCCAGGGGGAGGACAAAATGGGACCAATGCAGAGGATGCAGTCCTGTCATGATGAAATGTAATGCTGCACCTGATGTCAGCAGTAGCACAGTGAACAGGAGGAAATAGCAACTGAATCATTCGTTCACTTACTCACTCATTCATTCAGAAAGTCATGGACAATACCAAATACTGCTGGTGTTCTAGGAATCCAGTGCTAAAAACAGTCCTGGGTTTTGCCATCCAATTGCAAAAAAAGACAGCAAGTAAGTTTAAAACAACAAACTGTGATAGGTGCAATGAAAGGGGCATGACAGAAAGGGAAGGAAGGGGAGGGGGACTCACCAGTGCCAGGTCACATCCTGCCACCCAGGTCCAAATGCAGGACCTGGAGCTCAGACCCTGTGGACAACAGGGCCAGTGCAACGGGTTGAATGGGGCAAAGAGGTTCCTCTCAGACTCCCTGCAGGCACAGTCCCAAATCTGGGTCCTCTGGGGCAGCCCACAGGAAAGAGCAACAACGCGACCCCAGAATGGAGATGCTCCACTCTGCCTGGTGTGCTCTCTTTACCTCTTTCCTCCCGCTATTCAGGAACTCCCAGTGGGAGACCTGGAACTGAAAGGGATTCAGAAAGATCGAAGTTTCCCACCCTCTTCAGTGCTGATGGTGTGCCCCAGCAGGGTCTGGAATAGGAACATGATGGTTGTTCCCAGTGAGCAGTTGCTTCTACTAGGGACTTGGCCACATCCCAGGACCATCCTCAGTTTGGGGAATGTGAGCTCCTGGGAGCAGGCAGCAACTGTGAGTCCACAGGGGCCTCCTAGGAACTGTGACTGCTCTGTCTCACACTCTCCTGTCTCCTGTGGGCACAAAGCTCAGTGCAGCCCTGGCAGCCCTGGGATTTGCAAGCTGGAGTGAGGAGAAGAGGGAGAAGAAACAGGGAGTTGGGCACCGACTGTTTTAGACGCAGGCAATTCAGGAACAAAGAAAATGAGCAAAGAATTGTTACCTCTGGCCACCCAGGAGGGAAAAAAAAATAGGTCCACTGTCTTGTTGTTTTCTCATAAATGAAAAATAAGAGGAATACCAAAGTAGAAAAACACATCTATTTTTAGAAAAACGAAATGGCCAGGGCCTCAGCATTAAGATACTGGGTGAACCAAAATGAGAAATCAGGGATCTGTTTACAATTATAAAATGGAAAATATACATATATATACACACACACACACACACACACATATATGTATATATATGCACATACATAAAGGGAATATGTGTGTGTATAAATGACAAAAATATTTGTTGTCAATTTGTAATTCTGTATATCAGCTATGAAAAATTTTTAATATGACATTGGGACACTTCAATAAACATAGAATTTTGTATCTCTCTCTCTCTCTCTTTTTTTTTTTTTTTTGAGACGGAGTCTCGCTCTGTCGCCCAGGCTGGAGCACAGTGGTGCGATCTCGGCTCACTGCAAGCTCTGCCTCCCGGGTTCATGCCATTCTCTTGCCTCAGCCTCCCGAGTAGCTGGGACTATAGGCGCCCACCACCACGCCTGGCTAATTTTTTGTATTTTTTAGTAGAGACGGGGTTTCACCGTGTTGGCCAGGATGGTCTCCATCTCCTGAACTCGTGATCTGCCCACCTCTGCCTCCCAAAGTGCTGGGATTACAGGTGTGAGCCACCGTGCCTGGCCCGGAATCTTGTATCTCTTTGTCACCAAGACCAGCTTCCCTGACTTCTCCACCCACCCAAGGATGTGCATCACCTCTAGTGCCAAGGACTCAAGAAATGACATAGTCCTTTTCCTTTGTCCCTTGCTGTACTTCATGGCAATAACAGCTATATCACGTGTTCCTGCAGACATTGTCTCATTTGATCTTCTCAACAACCCTGTGAAGCAGCCGTTATGGGTGTCTTCATTCCACCACTGACGGTACAAAGGAAGCCTTGCTCCAGGGCATGCACCTAGTAAGTGGTGTCTGGGTTTGAACTCCAAGGAGCAGAGTACAGGTGATCTTCAGCTTGGGCACTTTAGACTTTTACACATGACCTTGCATACCCCCTACACTGACATTTTCTCATTCGCCTTTCACATTTTCATATATTTGCTGATCAAGGAGCATTTCAAATATCACATATAGCATCTCCTGCCCTAATGGTTCAAGTTTGTCTGTTCAATTGTCTAACAATTTTAACTGAAAACACTAACAAGTGAAAATGAAAACTTGTCTTGTTGAACTTCTATTTGCATAATGCATTTTCATGGGGATGTTGTCAAAACAATAACAAACAAACAAGCAAACAAACACAGTACATCTGTCTCAAAGATTGAGCCCAGGCTAGAGTTTCATGATCGTGCACCTAAGCTTCAGAAGAAGGGGTCTGAGGCAGAATTGAAAGGAAATACAACAGTCGTGCTTCTGTGAGATATGTCTTTTTTTCTAGACTTCTCATCCTTTCCCCAAATATATGGGAAATATGTTTGCCCCGCTGGAGCTTCAAATCTCTGCTCGGGTTCACATTAAATTTGGTGGTGGGCACAACCATCACCACCTTAATGTTTAAATGGCCAAATATAGCAACAATGGAGAGGGGCTTTGAACCCCCAAATCATTTTAAGTAGTTTTGTAACATATTTTATATGTATCTAGAAGCTGTGAGTGACCCATCTGAGACAAAAAAAAAAAAAAGTGGAGATAGAGACTGAGGTAAGATGGAGGAAGCAGGGTCGTGGGGATTGTTTAAAGAAAGTGAGTTTAGGCAGGGCACACTGGCTCACGCCTATAATCCCAACACTTAGGGAGGCCAAGGTGGGTGGATCACAAGGTCAGGAGTTCGAGACCAGTCTGGCCAATATGATGAAACCCTGTCTGTACTAAAAATACCAAAAAATAAATAAATAATTAATTAAAATTAGCCTGGTGTGGTGGCAGGAACCTGTAGTTCCAGCTACTCAGGAGGCTGAGGCAGGAGAATTGCTTGAACTCGGAGGGTGGAGTTGCAGTGAACTGGCGATGCTGGCTCTTTTTTGGTTCCATATGAACTTTAAAGTAGTTTTTTCCAATTCTGTGAAGAAAGTCATTGGTAGCTGATGGGGATGGCATTGAATCTATAAATTACCTTGGGCAGTATGGCCAAGAAAAAAACAAACAACCCCATCAAAAAATGAGTGAAGGATATGAACAGACACTTCTCAAAAGAAGACATTTATGCAGCCAAAAGACACATGAGAAAATGCTCATCATCACTGGCCATCAGAAAAATGCAAATCAAAACCACAATGAGATACCATCTCACACCAGTTAGAATGGCGATCATTAAAAAGTCAGGAAACAACAGGTGCTGGATAGGATGTGGAGAAATAGGAACACTTTTACACTGTTGGTGGAACTGTAAACTAGTTCAACCATTGTGGAAGTCAGTGTGGCGATTCCTCAGGGATCTAGAACTAGAAATACCATTTGACCCAGCAATCCCATTACTGGGTATACACCCAAAGGATTATAAATCATGCTGCTATAAAGACACATGCACATGTATGTTTATTGCAGCACTATTCACAATAGCAAAGACTTGGAACAAATCCAAATGTCCAACAATGATAGACTGGATTAAGAAAATGTGGCACATATACACCATGGAATACTATGCAGCCATAAAAAATGATGAGTTCGTGTCCTTTGTAGGGACATGGATGAAGCTGGAAACCATCATTCTCAGAAAACTATCGCAAGGACAAAAAACCAAACACTGCATGTTCTCACTCATAGGTGGGAATTGAACAATGAGAACACATGGACACAGGAAGGGGAACATCACACACCGGGGACTGTTGTGGGGTGGGGGGAGTGGGGAGGGATAGCATTAGGAGACATACCTAATGTTAAATGACAAGTTACTGGGTGCAGCACACCAACATGGCACATGTATACATATGTAACTAACCTGCACGTTGTGCACATGTACCCTAAAACTTAAAGTATAATTAAAAAAAAAGAAATTGACAAAGAAGTAAACAGCCAATAAACAAGAAAAAATACAAACAGTTAGTAATCAATGAAATGCAAATGAAAACAGCAATGATATACTATTATTTATCTATTATATTAGTTTCTGTAAAAGGTATTTGTCAAAGTTCTGGAAAACAAGCAATTTTGTGATCTTCGTTGGAGCCCTATTATACAGTCATTCACTACATTTCAGTCAACAATAGACTGACTGTGATCCTATGAGATTACAATGGAGCTGAAAAATTCCTATTACCTAGTGATGTCACAGTGCAATGAATTACTCTCATGCTTGTGGTGATGCTGGTGTAAGCAAACCTACTGCACTGCCAGTTGTATAAAAATATAGCACAGACAAGTATGTACAGTACGCAATACTTGATAATGATAATAAACGACTGTTATTGGTTTAAAAAAAAACAGAAGAGGAGAATTTTGTGATAAGGGTTTTTAGTAAATATGTTAAATAAGAAATTACTGGGGAAAATTACTCACCACTTTCAGATCCAATTCTGGAAAGGTTGTATTATGTTCATTAACCCTTTTCTGGGTGTATGAGAAAACAGAAAGTTCAAAAACTCAGGTCCATTTGATCTTTAAGAATGTATTCAATTAAGAAATATCTATTCAGCAATTGCTATGGACTGGGAACTATACTAGGTACTAGTAAAAAAAAATATAAATGACATATAACCTCTGTCCTCAAGGAGCTCAAAATCTAGTAAAGAAGACAAGTAAACAGAAAATTACATTTAATGTGTAAAGAAATAAAGAAAGATATGGAGCAAAATCCTGTGAAAGTAAAGAATGTGCAAAGAGTGGGTTGTCCTTTGTTCTGGGGAAGCCAGGTGGGAGTGACATGCATACTGTTCTTTTAAAAGGAGTAGGTGTTTGAGTGACAGAGAGGAGAATAAAGTGCATTTGAGGCAGGCTTAATGATATGAGAGAAAACAGCATCTTCAAGGAGCTTTGACTTCCTCACTTATGGTTCTAAATCAGAGTTTCCATTAGAGTTCTGATTGAAATGTAATCTGGGAAAAGACTTCAGAAAGGTCAGGAATCAAGGTGTCTTGGGACTGGCCGTCTTCCTCTCTGTGCTCCCCTACTCCCACCCCCATCACTCTTTTGTTTCTCCGGCTACTCTTTTGTCCTCTTCCCTCTTTTGACCAATCTCCTCTGAGTCCCTATTACGTGATACATCTGCATAGCCATAGACTCATCACGACTACCTTGTCCCAACTCATTCTAAACTTTCAGGTCAAATATCCACCAATGCCTTTGAGTTTCCCTTCAAATTCCTGAGGGAGAAATCTAATTGGTCCACCTTATAGTTTTCAGACATGTCCACGGAACATCATAAAGTTTCACATGGTAACCCTAACATATCATATCAACAAAGGAGACATAATGACCATTGAAAAAGTCACTATTTCACTTTTAATATCTAGGTATCTAGTTGAGTATTCTAGATTCATATTTTCAGAATGAGATGATCCACAATTTCAGTGTTTTGCAACCCTGGATGCACATTACAACCACTCCTGGGAGTTTTTGAACACCCAGACAACATGCCCAGAAATTCTGATATAATTAATTGGTCTGGGGTGAGACTTCCCAGGTGACTGTAATGTGCAGACACATCAAGAACCATGAAGACTATCTCTTAGTGTGTAACCTAAGAAGCGATGATCAGCTTCCCTGACACCAGTGACTAATGAAGTCCTTCCAGCTTTGGTCAACAGCATTCGCCATATAGCCAGAGAGTCTCTGACATCATACTCAGCTGATCCCCCTATACCTTAGGTATATTTTGCCGGAAACAAATGGGAGCTTTTTTGAAGGAAAAATGTGTATTCCCTCCCTTCAGAAATGCAGGCATTCCAGTTTATAAAATAGGGGATGAACAAATGGAGAAGGTGGGATGCTGAATGATGGGCTAACTTCTCACTGGAATCTCTGAATTCTATTAACTGGTGGTGACAGTAGCTACATGGCTTATGGAGTGATTCTGGTGTAGCTGACCTTGACAGATAGTATTCTCCTTCCCAGTGACCCCTACTGGGATTTCTATCTCTTTGGTTCAGAGCCAGTTCATTCAATGCTCAGTGAGGGGCATCTTTTCACTTTATTTTGTTTTAGCTCCTAATGTGGTCAGAAGACTAGAGGGGCAGGTAGTCACCTCTTCATCTAGATCATCTGCCTGGCTGGAAAATTACTAGGAATGGGGGGTTATGTTTCACAGTGTGCCCCCTTCAAGAGTGAGGGTAGCCCAGTCCTGCCCAGGCTATTCCAGGACTAGCAATCACAAGGTTAACTTTCTGTCCCAAAGATCCATGTCCCTGAATCATCCAAAAACAACACTGTGAAACTAGCCCAATGTCATCAGTTATTTATCCCAAGATTTATTGGCATGGACCTGCAGCCGGATATTTATCCTCGGCTAGGACTTCTAAGGACAAGGTATGAGAATAAAGCAAAGCAGCAGACAAGCAGCTCTCAGAAGGCTCACATTCTGAGTACCCATATCTCAGAACTCCCAGATCCATGTGCAGAAAGACACTATCTTATATTAGAAACACCAATACACAGACATATACTCATGTATATCAGACTGTGGTCACCATTACCCAGCTTACATGTGAGTTCACACACACTTGTATACACACATAATTCCCCATCCCCTTCCCAATAGCTCATTATCAATACTAACACGTATTTGTGTCAGAGCGGAAATAAATTCCCACTGCCTGAATCTGTGTTCACTTTCATGATGAACAACTAGACCTTTCTACTTCTCCTCTTCTTTCATTACCTTAGACATCACTCTAGAGATGACACACCAGGGATAAGGCACTTTTGCCCATGGAGAAGGAACTGTGCTTCTTTTGGAGGATGAGCTGGCCCTATGGCTTTTCTGTCTGCCTAGTGGGAAGCGGGTGCTCCCCATCTGAAGTAGAAGAGCCCAGAGGTGAATCTGCACAGTGAAGGCAGGAAGCAGGGCACAGACATTTTGACAATGAAGAAGCTTTTTCTCAAATTCTCATCCCTGCTACTATAGAAACATTAGCTAGCCTGGAGGGCTGAGAATGGTTAGCCATTCCTTCTCACTCTTCTCTTTCATATTGCTCTACCTTCCAGAGGTCATCTCATCTCAGAGGTTGTGCCTCTGCCTCCAAGAACTGGTGGTCACCACAGTGATGGCATGCACACTCTCCTGTTCTCTCACCCCTCTCTAAGGCCATGTATCATCAGTCATATGCCAATGCCTGGAGGCTACAGCTGGACCATTTCCAGGTTAATTCCAATGTGAGGTTCTGTAGGACTTGAAAAATAACTTGAAATAACCTTCTGTTTTCCCCAGAGCCTACATAAGTTGTATAGTTTGGGTCAGGCCATGTCTCCTATTTTCTGTCTTCTACAACTGGTTACCTATAGTTTGTCCAGAGGTCTCAGCTAGAGGGAGAGAGAAAACATCCCATGCTCATAAATTGGGATAATTAATATCATTAAAATAACCATATTGCCCAAAGCAATTTAAGGACCTAATGTAATCCTTATCAAAATACCAACATCATTTTTCACAGAATTAGAAAAAAATCTTAAAATTCATGGAAAAAAATGAGCCCAAATCACCAAAGCAATCCTAAACATGAAGAACAAAGCTGGAGGTATGACATTTCCTGACCTCAAATTATATGACAAGGGAGTAAAAAATGTTGGGTAGGAGGAAGGACTAAATTGCAGCTCCCACTTGGATGGACAAAACAGCATGTGGAGACTCATACTGTGGACTTTTGCTCCAAGAACTACTGTAGGAATATATCAGGAAGGCCAAGAGAATACACAGACCCTTTGAAGGGAACAAATTGATCCTGCAGGACCCAGGAGACAGCCCAGATTCTGTGAGTGTCCAAACTGTGAAAGTGGGAAAGGGGGATTGTCCACCCCAAACACATAACCTCACTGGGGAACCTGAAGGTCCCAATCATGGGAGAAGGATTAGACCTTACCTGGATCTGAGACAATTTACAGAACTGAGTGAAATACAGGGATGGATGAAACAGCAGGAAAAGCCCTGTGGGCTCTCTGGGTCCCCAGGGAAGTCATTTCTGACTTGTTTCAAGTGGTCCTTGGGGAGGGCTGCCAGAGGAACTGGGAAAAGACCACAGGGAGAAAGAAACCTCCAGGTGAACTTTTTAACAATTCCAACTGAATGCAAAGTTTCCTGGCCAGACCTCGAGGAAGGGTGTGAATCTGGTATGCAGACTTAACAGGCAGGGAGGCATGAAAGCCCTACTTGCTTTCTCAGCCAGGAGGCTGGTAGCTTAGGGCAAGTTCTCAGCCCTACTCGCCCACTGACTGGAAACAAATTTGGCACTGTTGAGGGGGCATGGTGGGAGTGAGACTGGCCTTTTGGGTTGCATGAGAGCTGGGTGAGGCCTGTAACTGCCGCCTTTCCCCCACTTCCTGATAACCTGCATGACACAGCAGAGGCAGCCATAATCCTCCTGGAAACAACTCCATTGACCTGGGAAGCACATCCCATCCCCCACAGCAGCCAGAGCAAGCCCTGCCCAAGGTGAGTCTGAGCTCAGAAACGCCTAATGCTGCTCCCACCTGATGGTCCTTCCCTACCCATCTTATTGGCTGAAGACAAAGTTTATATTCTCTTGGGAGTTCTAGGGCCCTGCCCACCACCTGATCCTCCTCTATACTACCACAGCTGATGCTCTCTTGAAAGCATCACCTCCTGGCAGGAGGCACAAAACTAGTGCATTAAATAACTACAACTAAGGATCCTTACAGATCCTGTCCATTTCACTCTCCTGCCACCTCCATTGGAGCAGGTGCTGGTATCCATGGCTGAGAGACCTAAAGATGGTTCACACCAGAGAATTCTGTGCAGACACTCCCCACACCACCACCACCCAGTATTAGCCTGGAGACTGTCAGCCCTGCTGGGTGGCTAGATCTAGAAGAGAAATAACAATCACTGCAGTTTGGCTCTCCAGAAACCATATCCCTAGGAAAAGGGAGAGAGTACTACATCAAGAGATCACCCCGTTGAACAAAATAATCTGAACAGCAGCCTTGACCCCCAGATCTTCCCTCTGACATAGCCTACTCAAATGAGAAGAAACCAGAAAGACAATTCTGGTAATATGACAAAACAAGATTCTTTAACATGCCCAAAAAAAATCACACTAGCTCACCAGCAATGGATTCAACCCAAGAAGAAATCCCTGAATTGCCAGAAAAAGAATTTAGAAGGTCAATTATTAAGTTAATCAAGGAGGCACCAGAGAAAGGTGAAGTCCAACTTTAGGAAATTAAAAAAAATGATACTAGACATGAGGGAGAAATCTTCAGTGAAACAGATTGCATAAATTAAAAACAATCACAACTTCAGGAAATAAAGGACACACTTAGAGAAATGCAAAATGTACTGGAAAGTCTCAGCAATAGAATCAAACAAGCATAAGAAAGAACCTCAGAGCTCAGAGACAAGGTTTTTGAAATAACTCAATCCAACAAAGACAAAGAAAAAAGAATTTTAAAAAATACACAAAACCTCTAAGAAGTCTGGGATTATGTTAAATGACAAAATGACCAAACCTAAGGATAATTGGCATTCCTGAGGAATAAGAGAAGTCTAAAAGTTTGGAAAACATATTTGGGGGAATAATAAAGGAAAACTTCCCCAGCCTTGCAAGAGATCTAGACATCTAAATACAAGAAGCTCAAAGAACACCTGGAAAATTTATCACAAAAAGATCATCACCTAGGCACATAGTCATCAGGTTATATAAAGTCAAGACAAAGGAAATAATCTTAAAAGCTATGAGGCAAAAGCATCAGGTAACCTATAAAGGAAAACCTATCAAATTAACAGCAGATTTCTCAGAAGAAACCCTACAAGTTAAAAGGGATTAGGGCTCTATCTTCAGCCTCCTTAAACAAAACAATCATCAGTCAAGAATTTTGTATCCAGTGAAACTAAGCTTCATTAATGAAGGAAAGATACAGTCTTTTTGAGACAAACAAAAAGACTGAGAGAATTTGCCCCTACCATGCCAGCACCACAAGAACAGCTAAAGGAGCTCTAAATCTTGAAACAACTCCTGGAAACAAATCAAAACGGAACCCGTTTAAAGTATGAATCTCACATGACCTATAAAAAATAAGCAATTAAAAAAAAGGTATTCAGGAAACAAATAGCAAAATGAATGGAATAGTACCTCACATCTCAATACTAACATTGAATGTAAATGGCCTAAATGTTCCACTTAAAATATACAGAATTGCAAAATGGATAAGAATTCAACAACCATCTGCTGCCTTCAAGAGACTCACCTAACACGTAAGGTCTCACATAAACTTAAGGTAAAAGGATGGAAAAAGACATTTCATGCAAATAGACACCAAAAGTGAGCAGGAGTAGCTATTCTTATATCAGACAAAACAAATTTTAAAGCAACAGCAGTTAAAAAAGATAAGGAGGGACATTACACAATGATAAAAGGCCTTGTCCAACCAGAAAATATCACAATCCTAAATATGTATGTGCCTAACACTGGAGCTCCCATATTTATAAAACAATTACTACTAGACCTAAGAAATTAGAGAAAGCAACACAGTAATAGTGAGGAACTTCAATACTCCACTGACAGCACTAGACAAGCATCAAGACAGAGAGTAAACAAAAAAAAACAGTGGATTTAAACCATACCCTGGAACAAATGGACTTAACAGATATTTACAGAACATTCTACCCAACAACCACAGATTGTACATTCTACTCATCAGTGCATGGAACTTTCTCCAAGATACACCCTATGATAGGCCACAAAACAAGTCTCAATAAATTTAAGAAAACTGAAATTATATCAAGTCCTTTCTCAGACTACAGTGGAAAGAAATTGGAAATTAACTCCAAAAGGAACCTTCAAAACCATGCAAATACATGGAAATTAAATAACCTGCTCCTGGCTGGCCACAGTGGCTCATGCCTATAATCCCAGCACTTTGGGAGGCCTAGGTGGATGGATCACCTGAGGTCTGGAGTTCAAGACCAGTCTGGCCAACATGCCAAAACCCCATCTCTACTAAAAATACAAAAATCAGCCAGGCATGGTGGCACATGCCTGTAATCCCAGCTATTTGGGAGGCTGAGGCAGGAGAATTGCTTGAACCTGGGAGGCAGAGGTTGCAGTGAGCCGAGATCACACCACTGCACTCCAGCATGGGTGACAGAATGAGACTCAGCCTCCAAAATAAATATGTAAATAAATGAATAAATAAATAACCTGCTCCTGAATGACCATTGGATCAATAATCAAATCAAGATGGAAATTAAAACATTCTTTGAACTGAATGATAATAGTGACACAACCTATCAAAACCTCTGAGATACAGCAAAAGTAGTGCTAAGAGGAAAGTTCATAGCCTTAAATGCCTACATCAAAAATTCTGAAGGAGCACAAATAGACAATCTAAGGTCACACCTCAAGGAACTAGAGAAACAATGACAAACCAAACCCAAACCCAGCAGATGAAATGAAATAACAAAGATCAGAGCAGAACTAAATGAAATGGAAACAAACAAACAAACAAACAAAAGATAAATGAAACAAAAAGCTGGTTCTTTGAAAAGATAAATAAAATTAATAGATCATTAGCAAGATTAACCAAAAAAAGAAGAGAGAAAATCCAAATAATCTCATTAAGACATGAAATTACAAGTAGCACCACAGAAATACAAAAAAAAATAATTAAGGCTAATATGAACACATTTACACACATAAACTAGAAAACCTAGAGGAGATGGACAAATTCCTGGAAAGATACAACCCTCCTACCTTGAATCAGGAAGAATTGGAAACCCTGAAAAGACCAATAACAAGCAATGAGATTGAAATGGTAATAAAAAAAATTACCAACAAAAAAATGTCAAGGACCAGACAAATTCACAGCTGAATTCTATCACACATTCAAAGAAGAATTGGTACCAATCCTATTGACACTATTCCACAAGACAGAGAAAGAGGGAATTCCCCCTAAATCATTTGATGAAGCCAGTATCATCCTAATACCAGAACCAGGAAAGGACACAACAAATAAAGAGAACTACAGACCAATTTCCCTGATGAAGATAGATGCTAAAATCCTTAACAAAATACTAGCTAACTGAATCCAATAGCATATCAAAAAGATAATTCACCATGATCAAGTGGGTTTTATACCAGGAATGCAGGGAAGGTTTAACATATGCAAGTCAATAAATGTGATACACCACATAAACAGAATTAAAAACAAAAAATCATGTGATCATCTCAATAGATGCAGAAAAAGCATTTGACAAAATCTAGCATCTCGTTGTAATTAAAACCCTTAGCAAAATTGGCATACAAGTGACATACTGCAATATAATAAAAGCTATCTATGACAAACCCATAGCCAACATAATAATACTGAACGGGGAAAAGTTGAAAGCATTCTCTCTGAGAACTGGAACAAGAAAAGGATGCCCACTCTCACCACTTCTATTCAACATGGTACTAGAAGTCCTAGCCAGAGCAATCAGACAGGGGAAAGAAATAAAGAGCATCCAAATCAGTAAAGAGGAAGTCAAACTGTCACTGTTTGCTGATTATATGATTGTATACCTAGAAAACCCTAAACACTCTTCCAAAAAGCTCCTAGAATTCAGCAAGGTTTCAGGATACAAAATTAATGTACACAAATCAGTAGCTCTGCTATACACCAGCAGTGACCAAACTGAGAATCAAATCAAGAACTCAACCCCTTTTACAATACCTGAAAAAAAATAAAGTAAAATACTTAGGAATATACCTAACCAAGGAGGTGAAAGAACTCTACAATGAAAACTTCAAAACACTGCTGAAAGAAATCAGAGATGACACAAACAAAAGGAAACACATCCCATGCTCATGGATGGATAGAATCAGTATTGGGAAAATGACCATACTGCCAAAAGCGATCTACAAATTCATGCAATCCCCATCATAATACCACCGTCATTCTTCACAGAACTAGAAAAAACATTTTTAAAATTCATATGGAAACAAAAAAGAGCCCACATAGCCAAAGCAAGACTAAGCAAAACGAACAAATCTGGAGGCACCACATTACCTAACTTCAAACTATAAGGCCATAGTGACTGAAACAGCATGGTACTGGTACAAAAATGGGCATATAGACCAGTGGAACAGAATAGAGAACCCAGAAATAAACCCAAATACTTACAGCCAACTGATCTTTGACAAAGCAAACAAAAACATAAAGTGAGAAAGGACACCTTACTCAAAAAATGGTGCTGGGATAATTGGCTAGCCACATGTAGGAGAATGAAACTGGATCCTCTTCTCTCACCTTATACAAAAATCAACTCAAGGTGGATCAAGGACTTAAATCTAAGACTGAAACTATAAAAATTCTAGAAGATAACATTAGAAAAACCCTTGTAGACATTGGCTTAGGCAAGGGTTTCATGACCAAGAACCCAAAAGCAAATGCAACATAAACAGAGATAAATAGGTAGGACTTAATTAAACTAAAGAGTTTCATGTTTATAGCAGCACAATTCGCACAATTCGCAATTGCAAAAGTATGGAACCGGTCCAAATGCCTATCAATCAATGAGTGGATAAAGAAATTGTGGTGTATATATATATATATATATATATATATATATATATATATATGTGTGTGTGTGTGTGTATATATAATTGTGGTATATATATATAATATGTATATAATTGTGGTATATATATATATATATATATATATATATATATATATAAATACTATTCAGCCATAAAAGGAATGAATTAATGGCATTGCAGCAACCTGGATGGAAGTGAAGACTATTATTCTAAGTGAAGTAATTTAGGAATGGAAAACCAAACATCATATGTTCTCCTAAGTGGGAGCTAAGCTGAGGATGCAAAGGCTTAAGAATGATACAGTGAATAAAATTTTTATGATAATGATGATATAGTCGCTGACTACTCTTTTAATTAAAATAGTAATAATCTGGAGAGAGATGAAGAGGACAAGTGGAGCCCAAGAGAGTCAGATCCACAGCTATTATAACATAAAGTGAATAGAAAACATCTATAATTGATAAATCAATTAACAGAAGTATAAGCTCTTCATTAAGAGGTGTGGAAATAATTATGAGGGAAGACAAAAGTGGTGTTCTCTGTGAAATAGGAACTATATATGTGAGACAGAGAAGGATGTGGGCTACTGTTTTTTAGTACAGGCCTTTCAGTACTGTTTGCTCACGGCAACCTCCACTTCCCAGGTTCAAGAGATTCTCCTGCCTCAGCCTCCTGAGTAGCTGGGATTACAGGCGCATGCCACCTAGCCCAGCTAATTTTTGTATTTTTAGTAGAGATGGGGTTTCACCATGTTGGTCAGATTGGTCTCAAATTCCTGACCTCAGGTGATCCGCCTGCCTCGGACTCCCAAAGTGCTGGGATTAGAGGTGTAAGCCACTGCACCCGGCCTATCAAGGGCATTTTAATAAGCATCAGTAACTGAGCTACCCATATTGAACTTGGGCAACTTATCCAATCTTTAGTTTCTAAGCACAGAGCCCGAGGTCAAGGAAAGGCAAGTACAGTAATTATATTTGACTCCTACAAACAATAGAGCTTAAAACAATAGTCCACAGTCAAATAACCACATCCAAAGACTGCCTGTTACTCACTTAGTATATTGGTCTGAGAAACCTGGTTTTACCTCATTTCAAACAGGAAACTGTTACAGAGCTCAGATGGAATGTCCAGCAGCACATCATGGTATTGATTGTTGCACTGTAAGTGATCTGGGCTTGAGCCCAAATTAACTTCTTACAATATGGCTCCAATTTACCCTCCCAACATTTATCTCCCAACATTTTCATTCAGAAATCCTTTGTTCTAGCTACCCTATCTTTTCACTATATTCTATTTGCACTCTCATTTCTCTGTTTTCACAATGCTTGATCACATCTTTAGCCATTTTCCCACCTAGATCTTTTCTGTTCTCTCCATTTTTCTGACTGCTGCCCATCTTTCAATACTGAACAAATCAGCTTCTTAGTGCATATCTGTGATATGCAAAACACTGTTAGGTGCTTCAAGAGTTAGTCTTCTAAGAGCTTTATGTTTTATTAGAACATGACACAAGTAGGCAAATAACTATAATGCAAGATAAAGTGAAAAAGATTCTATAAGAAAGGTTTACTCAAAATACTGAGGGTTCAAAATGTGTATTATAACATTAATTAGGAAGAATTAGAAAATAGTGCATGTAGAGAGAATTATATGAAATGCACCTCAAGGAAAGCATTTGCCTTTGACAGCTGGAAACACGCACTGTAGAAAGGCATTATTTGGGGTTGAAAGTATGAACAAAGCTCTATCAGCAGAGCATCTTTAAGCCTCAATGAAAAGCCCACTGTGGCTAGGAGGTATAGTACATAAATAGGAAAGCAATAGGAGATGAGTCTGTAATTTCAAGTTGTCATGGTAGAAGGCCCTGAATCCCAGGTTGAGGAATTTTTACTCACTTCAATAGGCAGGAGAAGAACATAAAGATTTTTTTTGAGGGAAGTGGTCCAATCAGAGTAACACTTTAGAAAGATTAATTTAACAGAAGTTTTTAAGATTATTTGAACTGAATGAAAGAAAAGGTACAAACTGCAGTTAGGAAGCTATTCTAGTAGTGTCAGTGACAAGTTTTGCAGGTGGCCAAGAAGGAAGTGAAAGAAAACTGAATAGGGAAGGAAGGAAGACTGCAAGGGACTTGGTGCTGATTGATCCGTGTCTCCATCTCTCTTGCACTATGCAAAGAAAAGGACTCTAGTTTGCATACCTAGTAGACTGGGGAAATGCTGGTAGCAAAAGAGAAGAGATTGAGTAGAATATGTTTTGAATACACTGAGTTAAAGTGTTAAAGAATGGTGCTAAGAGTAAAGTTCATAGCCCTAAATGCCTACACCAAAAAGACTGAAAGAGCACAAATTGATATTCTAAGGTCACACCTTGGCCAGGCATGGTGGCTCATGCCTGTAATCCCAGCACTTTGGGATGCCGAGGTGGGAGGATCATGAGGTCAGGGGATTGAGACCATCCTGGCTAATATGGTGAAACCCCATCTCTACTAAAAATACAAAAAATTAGCCAGGCATGGTGGCACACGCCTGTAGTCCCAGCTACTCGGGAGGCTAAGGCAGGAGAATTGCTTGAGCCCAGGAGGCAGAGGTTGCAGTGAGCCAAGATTGATTGCACTCCAGCCTGGGCAACAGAGCGAGACTCAATCTCAAAAAAAAAAAAAAAAAAAAAAAAGATAAGGTCACATCTCAAGGAACTAGAGAAAGAAGAAAAAACCAAACCCAAACCCTGCAGAAGAAAGGAAATAACCAAGAACAGAGAAGAAGTAAATGAAATTGAAACAAAAATACAATACAAAAAGTAAATGAAACAAAAAGCTGGTTCTTTGAAAAGATAAATAAAATTGATAGACCATTAGCAAGATTAACCAAGAAAAGAAGAAAGAAAATCCAAATAACCTCATTCAGAAACAAAACAGGAGATACTACAACAGACACCATTGAAATACAAAAGACCAACCAAGGCTACTATGAACACCTTTATGCACATAAACTAGTAAACCTTGAAGAAATTGATACATTCCTGGAAAAATACAACCCTCTGAGCTTAAATAAGGAAGAATTAGATATGCTGAACAGACCAATAACAAGCAGTGAGATTGAAATGCTAATTTTAAAATTACCAACAAAAAGTCTAGGACCAGATGGATTCACAGCAGAATTCTACCAAACATTCAAAGAAGAATTGTTACCAATCTTTTTGAAGCTATTTCACAAGACAGAGAACGAAGAAACCATCCCTAATTCATTCTATGAAGTTAGCATCACCCTAATACCAAAACTCATGAAAGGACATAAGCAAAAAAGAAAACTACAGACTGATATCCTTGATGAACATAGATGCTAAAATCCTTAACAAAATACTAGCTAACTGAATCTAACAGCATATCAAAAAGATAATCCACCATGATCAAGTGGGTTTCATACCTGGGATGCAGGGACAGTTTAACATATGCAAGTCAATAAATGTGGTACACCACATAAACATAATTAAAAACAAAAATCACATGATCATCTCAATAGATGAAAAAAAAAGCATTTGATGAAATCCAGCATCACTTTATGATTAAAACTCTCAGCAAAATCAGCATACAAGGGACATACTTCAATGTAATAAAAGCCACCTATGACAAACCCACAGGCAACATAATACTGAATAGGGAGAAGTTGAAAGCATTCCCTCTGAGAACTGAGACAAGACAAGGATGCCCATTCTCACCACTCCTTTTCAAGATAGTACTGGAAGTCCTAGCCAGAGCAATTAGACAAGAGAAAAAAAGAAAGGGCATCCAAATCGGTAAAGAGGAAGTCAAACTGTCACTGTTTGCTGACAATATAATCGTTTACCCTGAAAACCTTAAAGACTCTTCCAGAAAGCTCCTAGAACTGATAAAAAGAATTGAGCGAAGTTTCCAGATACAAGACTAATGTGCACAAATCAGTAGCTCTTCTATACAAAAACAGTGACAAAGCAGAGAATCAAATCAAGAACTCAACCCCTTTTACAGTAGCTGCAAAAAATAAAATAGTTAGGAATATACATAACCAAGGAGTTGAAAGAACTCTACAAGGAAAACTACTAAACACTGCTGAAAGAAATCACAGACAACACAAACAAATGGAAACACATCTCATGCTCATGCATCGGTAGAATCAATATTGTGAAAATGACCATACTGCCAAAAGCAATCTACAAATTCAATGCAATCCCCATCAAAATACCACCACCATTCTTTACAGAATTAGAAAAAACAATTCTAAAATTCATATAGAACCAAAAAAGAGCCCACATAGCCAAGACAAGACTAAGCATAAAGAACAAATCTGGAGGCATCACACTACCTGATTTCAAACTATACTATAAGGCCATAGTCACCAAAACAGTGTGGTACTGGTATAAAAATAGGCAAATAGGGCAATGGAACAGAATAGACAACCCAGAAATAAACCCAAATACTTACGCCCAACTGATCTTTGACAAAACAAACAAAAATATAACATAGAGAAAGGACACCCTTTTCAACAAATGGTGCTGGGATAATTGGCTAGCCATTTGTAGGAGAATGAAAATGGATCTTCCTCTCTCACCTTATACAAAAATCAACTCAAGATGGATCAAGGACTTAAATCTAAGAGCTGAAACTATAAAAATTCTAGAAGATAACATTGGAGAGAACCCTTCTAGACGTTGGCTTAGGCAAAGATTTCATGACCAAGAACCCAAAAGCAAACACAATAAAAATAAAGATAAATAATTGGGACTTAATTAAACTAAAGAGCTTTTGCACTGCAAAAGGAACAGTCAGCAGAATAAACAGACAACCCACAGAATGGAAGAAAATATTCACAATCTATACATCTGATAAATGACTAATATCCAGAATCTACAACAAACTCAAACAAATCAGTAAGAAAAAACCGAACAGTCCCATCCAAATGTGGGCTAAAGACATCAATAGACTGGTCTCAAAAGAAGATATACAAATGGCCAGCAAACATATGGAAAAATGCTCAACAACATTAATGATCAGGGAAATGCAAATGAAAACCACAATGTAATATGACCTCACTCCCACAAGAATGGCCATAATCAAAAAATCAAAAACAGGGGGGAGAGAAGCCAAGACGGCCGAATAGGAACAGCTCTGGTCTACAGCTCCCAGCATGAGCGACGCAGAAGACAGGTGATTTCTGCATTTCCAACTGAGGTACTGGGTTCATCTCACTGGGGAGTGCCAGACAGTAGGTGCAGGACAGTGGGTGCAGTGCACCGTGCACGAGCTGAAGCAGGGTGAGGCAGGCATTGCCTCACCTGGGAAGCGCAAGGGGTCAGGGAATTCCCTTTCCTAGTCAAAGAAAGGGGTGATAGAACGGCATCTGGAAAATCGGGTCACTCCCACCCTAATACTGTGCTTTTCCAATGGGCTTAAAAAACGACACACCAGGAGATTATATCCCGCACATGGCTTGGAGGGTCCTATGCCGACGGAGTCTTGCTCATTGCTAACACAGCAGTCCGAGATCAAACTGCAAGGTGGCAGCGAGGCTGGGGGAGGGGTGCCCGCCATTGCCGAGTTAGTTATTTGATAAGGTAAACAAAGCTGCCAGGAAGTTTGAACTGGGTGGAGCCCACCACAGCTCAAGGAGGCCTGCCTGCCTCTGTAGGCTCCACCTCTGGGGGCAGGGCACAGACAAACAAAAAGACAGCAGTAACCTCTGCAGACTTAAATGTCCCTCTCTGACAGCTTTGAAGAGAGTAGTGGTTCTCCCAGCACTCAGCTGGAGATCTGAGATCTGGCAGACTGCCTCCTCAAGTGGGTCCCTGACCCCCGAGTAGCCTTTCTGGGAGGCACCCCCCAGTAGTGGCAGACTGACACCTCACACGTCTGGGTACTCCTCTGAGACAAAACCTCCAGAGGAACGATCAGACAGCAGCGTTTGCGGTTCACCAACATCCGCTCTTCTGCAGCCATCACGGCTGAAACCCAGGCAAACAGGGTCTGGAGTGGACCTCTAGCAAAATCCAACACATCTGCAGCTGAGGGTCCTGTCTGTTAGAAGGAAAACTAACAAACAGAAAGGACATCCACACCAAAAACCCATCTGTACATCATCATCATCAAAGACCAAAGGTAGATAAAACCACAAAGATGGGAAAAAACAGAGCAGAAAAACTGGAAACTCTAAAAATCAGAGAGCCTCTCCTCCTCCAAAGGAACGCAGCTCCTCACCAGCAATGGAACAAAACTGGACGGAGAATGACTTTGATGAGTCGAGAGAAGAAGGCTTCAGAAGATCAAACTACTCCGAGCTACAGGAGGAAATTCAAACCAATGGCAAAGAAGTTAAAAGCTTTGAAAAAAAATTAGACTAATGGATCACTAGAATAACCAACGCAGAGAAGTCCTTAAAGGACCTGATGGAGCTGAAAACAAAGGCACGAGAGCTACGTGATGAATGCAGAAGCCTCAGTAGCCGATGCGATCAACTGGAAGAAAGGGTATCAGTGAGGGAAGATCAAATGAATGAAATGAAGCGAGAAGAGAAGTTTAGAGAAAAAAGAATAAAAAGAAACGAACAAAGCCTTCAAGAAATATGGGACTATGTGAAAAGACCAAATCTATGTCTGATTGGTGTACCTGAAAGTGACGGGGAGAATGGAACTAAGTTGGAAAACACTCTGCAGGATATTATCCAGGAGAACTTCCCCAATCTAGGAAGGTAGGCCAACTTTCAAATTCAGGAAATACAGAGAACACCACAAAGATACTCCTCAAGAAGAGCAACTCCAAGACACATAATTGTCAGATTCACCAAAGTTGAAATGACGGAAAAAATGTTAAGGGCAGCCAGAGAGAAAGGTCGGGTTACCCACAAAGGGAAGCCCATCAGATTAACAGCTGATCTCTCGGCAGAAACTCTACAAGACAGAAGAGAGTGGGGACCAATATTCAACATTCTTAAAGAAAAGAACTTTCAACCCAGAATTTCATATCCAGCCAAACTGAGCTTTATAAGTGAAGGAGAAGTAAAATCCTTTACAGACAAGCAAATGCTGATTTTGTTACCACCAGGCCTGCCCTAAAAGAACTCCTGAAGGAAGCACTAAACATGCAAAGGAAAAACTGGTACCAGCCACTGCAAAAGCATGCCAAACTGTAAAGACCATCAAGGCTAGGAAGAAACTGCATCAACTAACAGGCAAAATAACCAGCTAACATCATAATGACAGGATCAAATTCACACATAACAATATTAACTTTAAATGTAAATGGGCTAAATGCTCCAATGAAAAGACACAGACTGGCAAATTGGATAAAGACTCAAGACCCATCAGTGTGCTGTATTCAGGAAACCCATCTCACGTGCAGAGACACACATAGGCTCAAAATAAAGAGATGGAGGAAGATCTACCAGCAAATGGAAAACAAAAAAGGGCAGGGGTTGCAATCCTAGTCTCTGATAAAACAGACTTTAAACCAACAAAGATCAAAAGAGACAAAGAAGGCCATTACATAATGGTAAAGGGATCAATTCAACAAGAGCTAACTATCCTAAATATGTATGCACCCAATACAGGAGCACCCAGATTCATAAAGCAAGTCCTTAGTGACCTACAAAGAGACTTAGACTCCCACACAATAATAATGGCAGACTGTAACACCCCACTGTCAACATTAGACAGATCAATCAGACAGAAAGTTAACAAGGATATCCAGGAACTGAACTCAGCTCTGCACCAAGCAAACCTAATAGACATCTACAGAACTCTCCACCCCAAATCAACAGAATATACTTTCTTTTCAGCACCACACCACACCTACTCCAAAATTGACCACATACTTGGAAGTAAAGCACTCCTCAGCAAATGTAAAAGAACAGAAATTATAACAAACTGTCTCTCAGACCACAGTGCAATCTAACTAGAACTCAGGATTAAGAAACTCACTCAAAACCGCTCAACTACATGGAAACTGAACAACCTGCTCCTGAATGACTACTGGGGACATAATGAAATGAAGGCAGAAATAAAGATGGTCTTCAAAACCAACAAGAACAAAGACACAAATACCAGAATCTCTGGGACACATTCAAAGCAGCGTGTAGAGGGAAATTTATAGGACTAAATGCCCACAAGAGAAAGCAGGAAAGATCTAAAATTGACACCCTAACATCACAATTAAAAGAACTAGAGAAGCAAGAGTAAACACATTCAAAAGCTAGCAGAAGGCAAGAAATAACTAAGATCAGAGCAGAACTGAAGGAGATAGAGACACAAAAAACCCTTCAAAAAATTAGTGAATCCAGGAGCTGGTTTTTAGAAAAGATTAACAAAATTGATAGACCACTAGCAAGACTAATAAAGAAGAAAAGAGAGAAGAATCAAATAGACACAATAAAAAATAATAAAGGGGATATCACCACCAATCCCACAGAAATACAAACTACCATCAGAGAATACTATAAACACCTCTACGCAAATAAACTAGAAAATCTAGAAGAAATGGATAAATTCCTTGACACATACATCCTCCCAAGACTAAACCAGGAAGAAGTTGAATCTCTGAATAGACCAATAAAAGGCTCTGAAATTGAGGCAATAATCAATAGCTTACCAACCAAAAAAAGTCCAGGACCAGATGGATTCACAGCCGAATTCTACCAGAGGTACAAAGAGGAGCTGGTACCAATCCTTATGAAACTATTCCAATCAATAGAAAAAGAGGGAATCCTCCCTCACTCATTTTATGAGGCCAGCATCATCCTAATACCAAAGCCTGGCAGAGACACAACCAAAACAGAGAATTTTAGACCAATATCCTTGATGAACATCAATGCAAAAATCCTCAATAAAATACTGGCAAACCAAATCCAGCAGCACATCAAAAAGTTTATCCACCATGATCAAGTGGGCTTCATCCCTGGGATGCAAGGCTGGTTCAACATATGCAAACCAATAAATGTAATCCAGCATATAAACAGAACCAAAGAGAAAAACCACATGATTATCTCAATAGATGCAGAAAAGGCCTTTGACAAAATTCAACAACCCTTCATGCTAAAAACTCTCAATAAATTAGGTATTGATGGGATGGATCTCAAAATAATAAGAGCTATTTATGACAAACCCACAGCCAATATCATACTGAATGGGCAAACACTGGAAGCATTCCCTTTGAAAACGGGCACAAGACAGGGATGCCCTCTCTCACCACTCCTATTCAACATAGTGTTGGAAGTTCTGGCCAGGGCAATCAGGCAGGAGAAGGAAATAAAGGGTATTCAATTAGGAAAAGAGGAAGTCAAATTGTCCCTGTTTGAAGATGACATGATTGTATATCTAGAAAACCCCATCGTCTCAGCCCAAAATCTCCTCAAGCTGATAAGCAACTTCAGCAAAGTCTCAGGATACAAAATGAATGTACAAAAATCACAAGCATTCTTATACACCAATAACAGACAAACAGAGAGCCAAATCATGAGTGAACGAGTGAACTCCCATTCACAATTGCTTCAAAGAGAATGAAATACCTAGGAATCCAACTTACAAGGGATGTGAAGGACCTCTTCAAGGAGAACTACAAACCACTGCTCAATGAAATAAAAGAGGATACAAACAAATGGAAGAACATTCCATGCTCATGGATAGGAAGAATCAATATCGTGAAAATGGCCATACTGCCCAAGGTAATTTATAGATTCAATGCCATCCCCATCAGCTACCAATGACTCTCTTCACAGAACTGGAAAAAACTACTTTAAAGTTCATATGGAACCAAAAAAGAGCCCGCATCGCCAAGTCAATCCTAAGCCAAAAGAACAAAGCTGGAGGCATCACACTACCTGACTTCAAACTATTCTACAAGGCTACAGTAACCAAAACAGCATGGTACTGGTACCAAAACAGAGATATAGACCAATGGAACAGAACAGAGCCCTCAGAAATAATGCCGCACATCTACAACTATCTGATCTTTGACAAACCTGAGAAAAACAAGAAATGGGGAAAGGATTCCCTACTTAATAAATGGTGCTGGGAAAATTGGCTAGCCATATGGAGAAAGCTTAAACTGGATTCCTTCCTTACACCTTATACAAAAATTAATTCAAGATGGATTAAAGACTTACATGTTAGACCTAAAATCATAAAAGCCCTAGAAGAAAACCTAGGCAATACCATTCAGGACATAGGCATGGGCAAGGACTTCATGTCTAAAACACCAAAAGCAATGGCAACAAAAGCCAAAAATGACAAATGGGATCTAATTAAACTAAAGAGCTTCTGCACAGCAAAAGAAACTACCATCAGAGTGAACAGGCAACCTACAGAATGGGAGGACATTTTTGAAACCTACTCATCTGACAAAGGACTAATATCCAGAATCTACAATGAACTCAAACAAATTTACAAGAAAAAAACAAACAACCCCATTAAAAAGTGGTTGAAGGATATGAATAGATACTTCTCAAAAGAGGACATTTATGCAGCAAAAAACACATGAAAAAATGCTCATCATCACTGGCCATCAGAGAAATGCAAATCAAAACCACAATGAGATACCATCTCACACCAGTTAGAATGGCGATCATTAAAAGGTCAGGAAACACAGGTGCTGGAGAGGATGTCAAGAAATAGGAACACCTTTACACTGTTGGTGGGACTGTACACTAGTTCAACCATTGTGGAAGTCAGTGTGGCGATTCCTCAGGGATCTAGAACTAGAAATACCATTTGACCCAGCCATCCCATTACTGGGTATACAACCAAAGGATTATAAATCATGCTGCTATAAAGACACATGCACATGTATGTTTATAGCGGCACTATTCACAATAGCAAAGACTTGGAACCAACCTAAATGTCCAACAATGATAGACTGGATTAAGAAAATATGGCACATATACACCATGGAATACTATGCAGCCATAAAAAATGATGAGTTCGTGTCCTTTGTAGGGACATGGATGAAACTGGAAACCATCATTCTCAGAAAACTATCGCAAGGACAAAACACCAAACACCGCATGTTCTCACTCATAGGTGGGAATTGAACAATGAGAACACATGGACACAGGAAGGGGAACATCACACACCGAGACCTGTTGTGGGGTGGGGGGAGGGGGGAGGGATAGCATTAGGAGATATACCTAATGCTAAATGATGAGTTAATGGGTGCAGCACACCAACATGGTACATGTATACATATGTAACAAACCTGCACGTTGTGCACATGTACCCTAAAACTTAAAAGTATAATAATAATAAAATAAAATAAAAAAGAACATTACAACATGCTCTGCAGGGGTAAATGCTTTATCATGTATTACTACATTTTAATCACATCTTTGTAAAGCCAGAAGCATTTTGAAAGTCACATTACAGACATTGTTTAAACATAGTTTGTATTTACCAAAGCATAGGACGTTGTATCATCTCATATTAATTAGTTAGTTGGCTCAAAATTAGTGGTAATGACTTAGTAATTCAATAATTTCTCTTAGCTTTAAAACCTTCTTTATTTCAGAACTATTTCACCTCTTGGTTTTTGTTTTTGCTGTGCATCACTGCCTGCCAGCTGCTAATCTCTTATCTCCCAGTGGATTACGTGTCCAGTGAAGGGACTGAATGAGATACTAGTGGCAAATTATATTGATGATTCATATTTTGAATAAATAGATTAAGCTTGTATAAACAAACAAACAAAAAAATCAAAAACAGGAGATGCTGGCATGGATGTGGTGATCAGGAAACACTTCTACACTGCTGGTGGGGATGTAAACTACTACAGCCACCAAGGAAAACAGTGTGGAGATTCTTTAAAGAACTAAAAGTAGATCCACCATTTGATCCAGCAATCTCACTACTGGGTATCTACTCAGAGGAAAAGAAGTCATTATACAAAAAAGATACTTGCACACACATGTCTATAGCAGCACAATTTACAGTTGCAAAATCATGAGACCAACCCAAATGCCTATCAATCAACAAGTGGATAAAGAAACCGTGATATAAACATATGATGGAATACTACTGAGCCATAAAAAGGAATGAATTAACAGCATTTGCACTGACCTGAATGAGATTGGAGACTATTATTCTAAGTGAAGTAACTCAGGAATGGAAAACCAAATGTCGTATGTTTTCACTGATATGTGGCAGCTAAGCTATGAGGACACAAAGGCATAAGAATTATACAATGGACTTTGGGGACTTATGGGGAAGAGTGGGAGGGAAGTGAGGGATAAAAGACAACATATATGGTGCAGTTGTATACTGTGTAGGTGATGAGTGCACCAAAATCTCACAAATCACCACTAAAGAACTTATTCATATAACCAAATACCATGTGTACCCCAATAACTTATGGAAAAATAAATAAATAAATAAAGTGTTAAAGAAATATCACAATGGAACAAGGCCCCTAGAAATTAACCTGAGTGCTGAAGCACTTTGTGAGCTAGAATCCGAGACAAAATAGTAATTGCAATGGTCTATTACCTTGATTTGTCCAGAGCTGAGGAGTCTCCCAGGATAGAAGACTTTCAGTGCCAAAACTCAGAAAGTTCTGGGCAAACCAGGATAAGGTAGTCATCCTCAAGACGGTGGAATGCAGAAAGTGGGCAGAAATGCCAAGGTGTGATATCAATTATTTATCTAAATTATCTCAAAATGTGTCCAGGGCTGGGAGGCAGACATTTACATGAAAAGCGTGGGTGAGATTTCTGTGTGTACAATCCAGACAGATGAAGTTCTTGGTTCACATGGGGCTTTCTATCAACGACCATTCACCAATGGAATTGGAGCCCTGAAAATTTACCCAGGGAATGTGTCTGGGGTCACTCCCTAGAGATACTACAAGACTGAATACAGGGTTGGAGTGCAAGGGCAGGGTACTTGGATCAGGGTAGTGCCAAACTGGCAAATGGAGATTCAGTGACAACTATTTCACAGTATTTAAGAGGTTGAAATGGCAAGCAAGTGAAGATAGGTGGATTAAATTGATCCCTGACACAAGCACATTATTTTGCCTATAAAACCAGGAAGAACAATCTGTCTCCTGTCCTGAGGGCACATTCATGACATTTGCCATTGTGCAGCTACTGTTGACTTTTCCTGCAGAAGAAAAATCTGTCTAAAAGGACATCTTGAAAGGCTAAGAGGGCGTGTTGGGACCTTCTGCCAGCTGGCCTGAAGAGGCTCACAAACCACCTCTTCCTCCTGGTTCCTTTGGAAATTCCACTGGGCAATGCAGACTGGTTCATCTTCTTGTACTTAACTGAGCTGCCAGGTTGGAAATAGTCCTAAACTTTTCGCACAGAGCTGTAATCTTAAACTGTAATTTTATTTTATTTTATTTTTAAAATTTTTAAAATTTTAAATTTTTTTTTAAATTATTATACTTTTAAGTTATAGGGTACATGTGCACTAGGTGCAAGTTTGTTACATATGTATACATGTGCCATGTTGGTGTGCTGCACCCATTAACTTGTCATTTACATTAGGTATATCTCCTAATGCTATCCCTCCCCGCTCCCCCCACCCCACGACAGGCCCCGGTGTGTGATGTTCCCCTTCCTGTGTCCAAGTGTTCTCATTGTTCAACTCCCACTGATGAGTGAGAACATGTGGTGGTTGGTTTTTTGTCCTTGCGATAGTTTTCTGAAAATGATGGTTTCCAGCTTCATCCATGTCCCTACAAAGAAATAGGAACACTTTTACACTGTTGGTGGGACTGTAAACTACTTCAACCATTGTGGAAGACAATGTGGCAATTCCTCAAGGATCTACAATTAAACTGTAATTTTAAATTGAGAGATGCAACATGGTGTAATGAGAAGTAGATGGCTTTTGTAACTACAGAAACCTAGTTTAACCTGGCCACTTACTTCCTGTATAACCTTAGGTACATTAATTAGTTTCTATGATCCTTAGTTCTCTCTCCATAACATTGGTTTAATAATATGTATCTCAGGGATTTTGTGATACATAGACATAACCATATGAACATGGAAAGCACAGTGTACATGAG
The DNA here is from genome assembly GCF_000001405.40 of Homo sapiens. Classification (NCBI taxonomy): domain Eukaryota; kingdom Metazoa; phylum Chordata; class Mammalia; order Primates; family Hominidae; genus Homo; species Homo sapiens. The sequence continues at coordinate 143,097,195 of NC_000007.14, forward strand.
GTATAGGAAGCCCCCCTTCCCCCCACCCCCCACAAAGTGGTCTAATTCTCTATCTGTGTGTGTGACTGTGTGTGCAAAACTGTACATGTGATTGTGTGTGTGTGCAGAGCTGTTCAGATAACCCCCTGCCCTACAGCCTTACCCAAGAACAGAAACTCTGTCTCATCCTTCCTCAACAGCTGTGTTGTAAACTGGGTGCATAGCTTTAATTTCACAGTCCACTAGGCTCTACTTCTCCATCTCCCCCATCGAACTCCATGCTCAAGATCACACTTGTGGCTTCTATCTCATTGTAAAAAAAGGAGGTGGAGCATATTTCTTTGCAATTCATGGAGGAACATAAAGCTATCTCTGCCTCTTGGATGGCCTGTCCCAAATGTCTTTCTCTATAGGGTTTGCTATTAACTTCCCTCTCAGAACTGCTTTGCTGCATCCCATAAGTTTTGGTATATTGTATTTCCATTTTTGTTTGTAAGATTATTAATCTCCCTCTTAATTTCTTCTGTGACCTCTTGATTATTTCAAGGCATTTTATTTAATTTCCACACTTTGTAGAATTTTCCAAGATCTCTCCTGTTATTGATTTCTAGTTTTATGCCATTGTAATTGGAGAAGATACTTGATATGATTTCAATTTTCTTAAATCTGTTAAGACTTGTTTTTTGTTTGTTGGTTTGTTTTTGGCCTAACATATGATCTATCTTAGAGAATGTCCCATGTCCACTTGAGACAACTGTGAATTCTGTTACACTTGGATACAATGTTCTGTTTGTCTGGTTTATTTGGTCAAATGTGTAATTCAAGTCCAATGTTTCCCTATTGATTTTCTGTTTAAATGATTTGTCTGTTCTTGAAAGTGGGGCATTGTGTTTCCCTAATATTATGGTATTAGTGTACATTTCTCCCTTTAGATTACTTAATAGTTTCATAATACATTACATGCTCCAATTTGGGGTTTATATGTATTTACAGTTGTTATGTCCTCTTTATGAATTTATCCCTTTATTATTATATATGACCTTCTTTGTCTCCTTTTTAAGGTTTTTGACTTAAGGACTATTTTCTTGATATGAGCATAGCTCTCCCTGGTCTTTTTTGGTTTCCGTTTGTGTAAAATATCTTCTTCCATCCCTTGAATTTTACTCTCTTTGTGTCCTTACTAATAAAGAGAGTCATTTATAAGTAGTCTATACTAAGATCTTTTTCTGTTTGTTTTAAGCCATTCAGCCACATTTATGTCTTTTAATTTGAGAATTTAATCTATTTACATTTAATATAGTAATTGATAGGTAAGAACTTTCTACTCCCATTTTGTAATTTGTTTTCTGGGTATTTTGTGGATATTTTGCCTTTTTCTCACTTGCTGTCTTTCACTATGGTTTGATGGTTTTCTGTAGTGATATGCTTTGAATTCTTTCTTTTTATATTTTGTGTAACTACTATAGAGTTTTGCTTTGTGGCTACCTTGAGGCTTATGTAAAACATTGTATACTTAATAACAAGCTATTTTAAGCTAATAACAACTTAACTTTAATCACATACAAAAACTCTACATTTACAGCCCCTCCCACCTTTTATGACATTGATGACAAAATTAACATCTTTTTGTAATTTTTATCCCCTAACAATTTATTGTACCTGCAGTTGTTTTTAATAATTTTGTTTTTTAACCATAATACTACAGATAAAATTTCTGAATTCACCACATTTATAGTATTAGAGTATTCTGAGTATCACTATATATTAATGTATCATCAAGTTTTGTACTTTTATACATCTTATGTCATTCCTTAGCAGCCTTTAGTTTCAGCTTAAAGAACTCCCTTTAGCAATTCCTGTAAGACAGGCCTAGTGGTAATAAAATCCCTTAGCTTTTATTTGTCAGGAAAAGTTTTTATTTCTCCCTCATGTCTGAAAGAAAGCTTTGCTAGGTAAAGTATTTTTGGTTGGCAGTCCTTTTTTTTTTGCTTTTACCATTTTGAATACATCATCCTACTCTCTCCTGGACTGTAAAACTTTTGCTGAGAAATTTTCTGACAGCAGTATAGGGACTCCTATACTAAGCCTAGTACTCAATAGTTATTTTTTCTAATCCTCTCCCTTCTCCCACCCTTCGCCCTTAAGTAGGCCTCAGTGTCTGTTGTTCCCCTCTTTGTGTCATGAGTTTCATTATTTAGCTCCCACTTATAAATGAGAATATGCCAGCATGGTGACTCACACCTGTAATCCCAACACTTTGGAAGGCTGAGGTGGGTGGATCACCTGAGGTCAGGAGTTCGAGACCAGCCTGGCCAACATGGTGAAACACCATCTCTACTAAAAATACAAAAATTAGCTGGGCATGGTGGTAGCTCCCAGCTACTCGGGAGGCTGAGGCAGGAGAATCACTTGAAACTGGGAGGCAGAGGTTGCAGTGAACCAAGATCATGCCATTGCACTCCAGCCTGGGCAACAAGAGCAAAACTCTGTCAAAAAAAAAAAAAAGGCTGAGAATATGGGATGTTTGGTTTTCTGTTCCTGTGTTGGTCTGCTAAGGACAATGGACTTCAACTTCATCTGTGTTCTCATAAGACATGATCTTGTTCTTTTTTATGGCTGCATAGTACTCCATGGTGTATAAGTACCACATTTTCTTTATCCAATCTGTCATTGATGGGCATTTAGCTTGATTCTATGTCTTTGCTATAGTGAACAGTGCCACAGTGAACATTCACCTGCATATGTGTTTATGGTAAAATGATTTCTATTCGTTTGGGTATATACCCAAAGGAATGAGATTGCTGGGTTGAATGGTAGTTCTGTTTTTAGCTCTTTGAGGAGTCACCACACTGCTTTCCACAATGGTGGAACTAATTTACACTCATATCAACAGTATACAAGCATTCCTTTTCACCACAGCATCACTAGCATCTGTTATTTTTTGACCTTTTAATAATAGCCATTCTGACTGGTGTGAGATGATTTGCATTCTCTAATGATCAGTGATACTGAGCTTTTCTTCATATGCTACTTGGTCACATGTCTATCTTCTTTTGAAAAGTATAATACTTTTTTGAAAAGTCAAATATTTTTCAGTGCAATCAATTTATTGAGAGAAAATTTGAGCATAATGAGAATTTCATATTTTCTTACAGGCAGTTTCAGCAGCAAGAAGCACAAAGTGAAATAGAAACTGTACCAAGTTAAACCAATTCACATAAGAATACACAAAACACACTCATATACCTCAAACATCTAAAAGCTATCTCGGTACACTGAGTGTATTGATCTCAAGGGTTTGTTTATTGTCTTGTTACATTTGAAAACTACTGTATATAAGCAAACACTCTTTCAATATCCCAAACATGTTTAAGTGTCCTGGTTCAAAACACCAGCAGGGAAAATGGAAAAAAAGGGCATACTATTTGTATGTGAAGACTTTAAACAGAAATTACCCAATCCTGTAGAAATGGCTCCCTTCAGTGTTATTAATGGCTAATTCAGTGGTTTCAAACATCACTACAATCTCCAAAGCCTTCGGCCATCAGATGACACCATAAGTTCAAATGAGAAAGCCACAAAAGAATTTTCAGCAGTGATATTAAAATTAATTGAAGAAGATAGCTACACATTGGTTCAAAAATGGCAATTTTGAAAAAACAGACACGCATTAAAAATCTCAAAGTACCTACAACCCAAAGGCAAGAAAAAAATGCCCAAGTATTTAAGAATTGCAAAAGATCAAGAGTCAACAAATCCAGCCAAAGACAATGAATCCTGCCCATCCACACCTGGTGTTATAGCCTTCTGTCTGATGTCTGATAACTCTCCTTCTACTACTTCACAGTATCCCACATGCTGCTACCTCCTGACACCTATTTCCACAAGGAAATTTCATGTATTCTTCAATATAAACTCTCATAATTATTGTAGTATTTATGTATGTTTTAACTATCAAATATGTGTAATAGTGTACTATTCCTTTTGTTTACCTCTTTATTTATCACTGACAATGTACTTGAGTGTTATACCATTAATCCCATTTTTCTCATAACTCAGTTTTTATTGTACAATTTTGCATATTGCAGTGATTTTTAGGAACATATATGGCACATTATAGGAGAACTGACTGTACAGACCCAAATTAAATTAGCGGATATTTGTACCAAAAGACATGTACAAAAAAATCTTAACAGGTTTATTCAAAATAGCAAAAACTATAATGCTAAAATAAAGAATGGTACATTTAGATAATATAGTACTAAACATCAGTGAAAAATATTTAGTTACTGCTAAGTGCAACAGCCTAGGTAAATCCCATAAAAATAATGTTCACAGAAAGAAGCTAGAAACCAGGAAGTAGGTATATTATGATTCTATTTATATGAAGTTCAATAAAAGAAAATAATAGTCTTTGATGAGAGAAATTAGAATCACCGCTTAACCTTATGGGGTATTGACACAAAGAGGTCATCTTAGTCTATTCTTCCTGCTCTTAGAAAATACCAGATACTTGGTAATTTATAAACAATAGAAATTTATTTCTCACAGCTCTGGAGCCTGGGAAGCCCAAGGCCAAGGCAGTAGCATATTCCGTGGCTGGTGAAGGCTTACTCTCTGCTTCCAAGATGGTATCTTGTTGCTGTGTTCTCACATGGCAGAAGAGTGAAAGGGTAAAAGGAGTGAATGCTACATGCTCACATGACAGAGAGAAAAGGAAAAATGTTAGGCAGTTTTCTGAAGCCTCTTTTATAAGGGCATTAATACTATTTATGAGGATTTCAACCTTATGATGTAATCACCTCCCAAAGGCCCTACCTCTTAATACTATCACTTTAGTGATTAAATTTCAAAATATGAATTTGGGAGACATATTAAGACCATAACAGAGCACAAGGAGAGCTTCTAGTGTACAATAAATTATCTATATTTTAATTTGCTTGGTAGTTTCAGAGGGTTACTCCTTTGTAAAAATGTATCAAGGTCAACTTAAAATCTGGGTATTTTATGTATGTTATACCTCAATAAAAATATTTACCAACAAATTATTTAAAAATATGTAGGGAGAATTAAAATACATAGCAGCAATAACATACAAAGTTGGAGACAAGGATAAAATAAAATTATCTAAGGCTTTGTATTGTTCAGAAAGAGTTGATATAATTAATATTAGACTTTCATGTTACATCTGTATGTAGGATAAAATTTCTAGGATAACCACAAAAAATATTTATAGATTGTATAACATCAAAGCTAATGTAGAAAAGAAACTGAATAATAAAAAAGTGTTATAAATTCTAAAGAAGGCAAAAAATAAAAGGAAAAAAATATGGAAGAGGGAGAAAAATATGTATACTATATAGTTTGATAGTAATTAAAACCCAAATATTGTATATCAAGTTTTATGTTAAATGTAAATATATGAAATGTTTAGATTAAAAGACTAATATGTTCAGATTGTAGAAAAATTCCAAAATCCACTTATATGCAGCTTATAAAAGTCACATCCATTAAGAGTATTAAAAGGTAGAAAATGAAAGCATGCAAGAGAATTCAGCAGGCAATAACTAACGAAATACAGCTGGTGTCACTACATTAATATTAGACAGAACAGACTTTATGGCCAAAAATATTCTATGTTTTCATTGCCAAAAGGTGAGTACAACAGGCAAATATAACAATCATGAATTTATATGCACCTAATAACACAGGCTCAAAATGCATAAACTTTTACAAAATAAGGAGAAATAGGAGAAATTACAACTCTTCCATTGTAAAAAATTTTAATATACCACTCTCTGTATATTATTTTACAAATTCAGTATGCATATACACTACCTAATGAAAACAATTTTAAACCTTAATCCAATAGGTATATATAAAACATGGTACTCAAAAATACACATTCTTTTCAAGCATACACATAAATAACTTCACAGAAACTGAAAAAAAATGTTTAAATATATCTCAAATGATGGAAATTATGCAGTATGTATTGGTTTCCTATTGTTGCTGTAACAATTTGCCATAAATGTAGTGTCCATAAACAACACAAATTTATTATCTTACAGTTCTGGTGATCAGAAGTCCTAAATCAAGGAGTTGGCAGGGCTGTGTTCCTTCTGGAGGCTCTAGGAGAGAATGGATTCCAATGCCTTTCCAGAGTCTAGAGGCCACCTGCATTCCTTGGCTTACAGCTCCTTTGCATCATTCTGAACTCTGCATCTGTCATCACATCTTCTCTCCCCTTGACACTCCTGCCTGCCTCTTTCCTTTATAGGAAGTTTTAGTATTGCATTAGGCCCACCCAGATAACCCTGGATAGTCTTCTTAACTTAATGACATCTGGAGAGCCCTTTTTGCCATGTAAGGTTACATACAGTCTCCAGAGATTAGGACATAGACAATTTTTTTTCAAGATATTTTCTATGTTATCTTCATTAGATTTTTAATTACTTAGGAAAATTATGCTTAAAGGGGGTTAAAGTTTTTACATTCATATAACCTTCTGTATTGACTTCAAAGTTTTTTTTATCACTTTGGTTAAATAAGGAACTATTATTTTACAATAATCTATGATTCTGTTTTAATCAAATGTTTTGAACCTTTTAGCATCTTCAAAAAACATTCTCAAAATCAAATAATCATTGCTAATTCTTCATGTTTTATTTTCCAGAGTCAAGAAAACCTTTTTCTTTAAAACTATTTATAGTTTACAAGCTTGAGTAAAACAATAAAGTTTATCTATGTCTCTACCTGATCCAGAATTTGAAAACTATTCAAAATTCCCCTAGGACTAGGGACAATTGCAGAAGAGGTGAGTGCCTGAGATTGTAAGAGCGAGTTTTCAGACAGAAAATTCTTTCAGACCTTCCAAACCAAAGATGGATACACAGGTGTCTAAATAGCTGATGGCTCAACACATAGAATTTATAGATAAGTCAATTTTTTAACACTGCTTTTTGGCTTTGGGTTTTTGGCTCTTATGTTACTTAGAGGGTTTCAAGGATTAATGAGTGCCTACCCACCTCTATTCCCATATAGCCTAAAATGTTTAGTTGTTTATAAGTCTTTTGGCTCAAATTTCCTTGGCCATAGGGTTCCTGCCAAGGGACATGAGGGACCCTGGACAAGTTGCCACGCCACCACAGCAACTGTATGGGACAAAATAAAATATTGGCCATCAATGCTGCTTCTGGTATATCTTGACCAAAAACGGGGAATGTAAACTAAAAAATAAAATCTTAAGCCACCCATCGTCTGAATGGACCCCACCCCCATTGGCCAAGGGAACCCCACAAAAATTTAAAAACTTAGTTCCCCTCCATGATGGGACAGGAAGGCAGACATGTCCCATTATACCCCCTCTCTTTTATGGTGTAGACACAACAACTGACCAGCATTGATATTAAAATAGAGATCATAAGACCGACAGAACAGACTCTGTGTGGCAATAAGATACCAAATTATAAAAGACCTATCTTAGGTCTTAAGATACCTAAGACCATGCCAGGTAAGAGTTAATTCACACACCCCTATGCTTAAAGGATAAATTATGTTCTAACTGCCACAAGGTTTTCTTTTTTCTAGCAGCTATTTTAAGCTGAAAAAGAAAAATAAGGAATCATAAAACAATTTTCAGCTCCACCAGATGCTGAAAAACTGAACTCCTGTTCCACCAGTCACAGCTGTAACTTTTACTGGATAAGATACTGATTTCAGTAACTTTCTTCTGATAAAAATACTACTAATCACAGACTAGTTCTGGCCAGTTTACAGAAATTGTGCAATTGTGTACCTTTTTGTCCTAAAAAGACCTTTGACATACAGGACCTAATTGTAATATATTTAAATGTTGTCTCCACCCCAAAGTAAACATGGGTCATATGTTACATGTTTGTTCAGTACAAATTTGTCAAGGCCACTTTCATAAATATTCATAGTGTCAGGCCTCTGAGCCCAAGCTAAGCCATCATATCCCCTGTGACCTGCATGTATACAGCCAGATGGCCTGAAGCAACTGAAGGTCCACAAAAGAAGGGAAAATAGCCTTAACTGATGACATTCCACCATTGTGATTTGTTCCTGCCCCACCCTAACTGATAAGATATAGTTTCCCCCCCGCCCTTAAGAAGGTACTTTGTAACATTCTCCCCCACCCTTAAGAATATACTTTGTACGCCTATCCCAAACCTATAAGAACTAATGATAATCCCACCACCCTTTGCTGACTCCTTTTTTGGACTCAGCCTGCCTGCACCCAGGTGAAATAAACAGCCTTGCTGCTCACACAAAGCCTGTTGGTGGTCTCTTCACACAGACGTGCGTGACATTTGGTGCCGAAACACGGCACAGGAGGACTCCTTCAGGAGGCCAGCCCCTGTCCTCGCCCTCACTCCATGAGGAGATCCACCTATGACCTCGGGTCCTCAGACCAAGCAGCCCAAGGAACATCTCACCAATTTCAAATCGTGTAAGCGGTCTTTTCACTCTTCTTCAGCTTCTCTCACTACTCTTCAATCTTCCTCTCTCGCTACCCTTCAATCTCCCTGTCCTCCCAATTCCAGTTCTTTTTCCTCTTTAGTAGAGACAAGGAGACACATATTATCTGTGGACCCAAAACTCCGGTGCCGGTCACAGACTTGGGAAGACAGTCTTCCCTTGGTGTTTAATCACTTTGGGGACACCTGCCTGATTATTTACCCACACTCCATTGGTGTTTGATCACTGTGGGGACACCTGCCTTGGTCATTCACCCACATTCCCTTGGTGGCAAGTCAATTGTGGGGACATCTGCTTTGGCTGCTCACCCATATTGCAGCCCAGGGCTGCTCACCACCCCCTTCTCCATCTCTCTACCTTTCTCTTTAAACTTACCTCCTTCACTATGGGCAAACTTCTGCCCTCCATTCCCCCTTCTTCTCCCTTAGCCTGTGTTCTCAAGAACTTAAAGCCTCTTCAACTCACACCTGACCTAAAACCTAAATGCCTTATTTTCTTCTGCAATACCACTTGACCCCAATAAGAACTCAATAATGGTTCTAAATAGCCAGAAAATGGCACTTTTGATTTCTCCATTTTACAATATCTAGATAATTTTTGTTGAAAAATGGGCAAATGGTCTGAGGTGCCTGGCGTACAGGCAGCCAGGCATTCTTTTACACATTGGTCCCTCCCTAGTCTCTGTTCCCAATGCGACTCGTCCCAAATCTTTCTTCTTTCTCTCCTGTCTGTTCCTTCAGTCTCCACCCCAAGCTCTGAGTCCTGTGAATCCTCCTTTTCTACAGACCCATCTGACCTTTCCCCTCCTCCCCAGGCTGCTCCTTGCCAGGCCAAGCCAGGTCCCAACTCTTTTTCAGCCTCCGCTCCCTCACCCTATAACCCTTCTATTACCTCCCCTCCTCACACCCAGTCTGGCTTACAGCTTCATTCCATGACTAGCCCTCCCCGACCTGCCCAACAATTTCCTCTTAGAGAGTGGCTGAAGCTGAAGGCATAGCCAAGGTTAATGCTCCTTTTTCTTTATCCGACCTCTCCCAAATCAGTTAGCATTTAGGCTCTTTTTCATCAAATATGAAAACCCAGCCCAGTCCATGGCCCATTTGG